>NC_000007.14:91294657-91597688 GCF_000001405.40 Homo sapiens
GACACAAGCTTGCACCTCCGGTGAATTTCAACTTTCAACATCTCTCTGGCTCTAATCTATATTTAATGTTTCATGACTGGTAGTCAAAGAAGCTTCAGCTAAATATCAGGTTGGAATGAAAATGATCCTTGGGAGAACATTCGCTTCCAGCGTGCGCCAGCAAAGTGTCTGTGACAGAGGCTTTCCCCAGAGATTTGTTGCCCATTCTTTTGCAGTAATAATAATTATGCCTTATGATTGCTGTGCCTACATAATCAAAGATCGCTTCATCAAATGTGATCCCCAGGGGAAACTGCCTCTACTCCTAACCGGATGTCAGTCACAGAGAGCAGCACCCTTAGGGATCCCCAATCTTTTGCTTGCCCTTTTCAGTACTGTGTTGTTAGCATTGTGTTTCTTCATATTCTTCTCAATGCAAATGATGTGTAAATCATGCCCTCCAGAAGGCACATGTGGTGAGGGGGAGAGGGTGGGGAGGGAGGTGGGGGCTGGTGTATTCTCTTCCAGCCCCCTCCTTAACCTACTACAGGGATTTCTCACATGGAGCATAATTACATCTGTGCCATATGGGCTCATTTATATTCTATAACAGGTTAAGCTAATACGACTCAGAAATATGCTAAAAATACCTCAAAGTATTCTAGAGCTGTCAAAATACTTGTCATTTCTTGCTCACCCATTTGATTGCTAGTGTTTTTATTTTTGTTGGGAGATTTGAAGAGCTAAGAAAGCATGCTGGTGTGCTGGTGTCCAGTCTATAAATACAGTTTAATTTCCTGTACTGTTATAATACTTGGGTTTGCAAAAAAAAAAAATCTTTCTTTATAATCCTGGAATGGCCCCAAGACATGGGCACTGAAGCCCCTATACTTGTAGATTTTAATTTCCCAAGAGGTAGAAAATACAGATTTCAGATGTGCGGTTTTGTCAGCTTTAGAATATTTCTTGTCTTTGTTTGATGTAATTATTCATTGTGATAGAGAAACACCTGCAGCGGGCTGACATACCATAGAAACATGCTGCTTGAGTTAGTTATAAGAGTTTGTTTGGATGTCAGACAAATCTTGTCAAGATTTTACATGTGGCATGATAATGAGAAGTACAATCTGTAATGAGTAATGAGTTCGACAATGATTTACAAGGGCATGTTGGGTTATTTTTATGCAGTGGTTAAAGTCCATCAACATACTAATTTCTACCATCAGTTTGGAAAATTGGTAGGTCATGCTTGTGTAGGCTTTTAACCTAATGGCCTGTTTATGTAATTAATTTTTTCATTATTATTACCTTAACATATTATGGAATTTTAAAAATTAGTCTTGGGAACAGAATAGCAAGCACAAATATTTTACTTTTCCATGCTTGACAAGCAACATTTCCAAGGTTTATAAGGTGCTAATCACATCAGCCATCAGTGAAACACACCATTTAACTGAAAACTAAACTCATACAAAGCCATACTTTTCTTATTTGCTAATAACTGTTCTATGCGAGCTGGTTGATAGAGTGGTTAAGACTACCTGGGCTCCAATCTCAATTCTGCCACTTGCTAGCTTATTATCTCGGCAAATGCCTTAATTTTTCTAGTGCTCAGTTCCCCCAACTGTAAAATGAGCCTAATAACCATAGCTATCCCCAAGGGATTGTGGAAAGTATAAAACAAGATAATATAGTAAATCTTTAGGCACAATGTCTAACACTTAGTAATCACTTCGTAAGTATTAGTTATTATCACTGGTATTGATTTTGGTTTTAACATAAACAGCTTTTAATATAATTATATGACTCTTTTAATTAAAAAATACATTTTACCAAAATCATGTTAGTTGCACAAACTTCCATTTATCTTAGATCATGCAGGCCAGAGATTCTTGACATTTTTGAATCACATAACCAAGTTCTTACTTCATTTAGAATCAGTAGGTATTTCATGGCTGGCTTAGGAAGAAAGGGAAAAATTCAGTGTTAATGTACCAAAGACAGGTTTTTCTATTTAAAGTATTATTTTGAAATATTTGTACCTTAAGATTATTCAGGACACAATGTATTTGAACTCCTGCAATTGAAATGTTACATTTAAATAAGAAGGAATTCTAGTTTATAGTAAGCAAATGATTGAGCCAGTAACTATAGCCAAGTTTTGAAAATTTGCTTCTTTAAATCCTTAGTAAAGAGCGATTTGAATACTGTGAAGGTAGATGTGTGTTTAACACTCTACTGTAGATACATGTACACAAGAGAATCTAATTTTGAAGTCTTCATTTAAGTGTTTCTATTCAGCCTCTTGACCTTGGAGAGAGTCATGTGCCTTCCTAGTTACAAGATTGGGCTCTAGATCAGGGGTCCCCAAACACCAGGGCCACACAACAGCAGGGGAGTTGGGCTGGGGGGCAAGGGAGAGAAGGTTCATCTGTTTTTTACAGCCACTCCCCATTGCTCACATTACTGTTTGAGCTCCACCTCCTATCAGATCAGCAGTGGCATTAGATTAGATTCTCACAGGAGGGCAAACCCTGTTGTAAATTGTGCATATGAGGGATCTAGGCTGCATACCCCTTATGAGAATCTAATGCCTGATGATCTGTCACTGTCTCCCATCACTCCCATATGGAACTGTCTAGTTGCAGGAAAACAAGCTCAGGGCTCCCACTAATTCTACTTTATGGAGAGTTGTATAATTATTTCATTATATATTACAATGTAATAATAGTAGGCACAAAGTGCACAATAAATGGAATGTGCTTGAATTATCCCAAAACCATCTTCTCACTCCACCCCCGCCACCCCTCCTCTGCTCTCCAGTCCATGGAAAAATTGTCTTCCATAATACCAGTCCCTGGTGCCAAAAATGTTGAGGACCACTGCTCTAGATGACCTCTCAGGCCTTTCCCTCATCTTCAGGCTAGTTATACTACCATAAAAGTGGAATAAAGTTCCTATGGTAAGAAGGGCTATAAGTTGCCTAGTCACTGCACACTTTGTATGTTTGAATTGAAGGTCTAATGTAAATCTGATGTAAATATAGGGATCTTCTTTTTCACTCATCTTGGCTTTGTGGTTAGGGATGGGGCGATGGCAAAGCGAGATACAGGCAGCCTTTTACAAATGAGCATCCCCACCCCGTGTTCTGGCCAGGCTGTAGGCAGTAGGTTTTCAGACAAGAGTGGCAAGGATTTGAAATTAGTAGCCAGGGAAATAGCAGTGTGATTTCAGATTCTCATGACTTAGGAAATTCCATGCTTAAAAGCGATATTTTTTCAGCTTTTAGACAATGTTTTCTTTCCTCTCAAAATTACTCCAGACTTTTCTGCAGAGATTACAACATGAACTTTCAATGGTTAAAATTCAGCCACATTTTCTTTTTAGTTTTCTTGTGTCAGTTGTATTGTAAATTGGTTTAAATTAAAAATAAAAAAATTTCCAAAATGATAAATGGGATTTTTCCTCAGACCGAGTCAGCATGAGATTAATGCTTTCACAATTTTGTACAATTTCAAATCAAATGTCATGTGATTCAATCCTAAATCTTTTCTTATATTATCTTCCCTAACCTATTTCTTTATTGTCAACATGAGACTACAGAGGATGTTAGAGAGAAGGACAGGTAGAAATCTACTTGATTGAGAGTCAAGGAGGGGGGGGGTCTTTTTCTCTGTGGAGTTTCTTTTAATAGGTCAGGGATAAAAACCTTTAGGAAAAGCTGAAACTAAAAGTGAAACATAAGACGACCACTAGGTTCACAAACACAAACATGTATTTTGTTCCCGGGGTGGAGAGAAGGGTGCGTTTGTGTGTATTTACTTTTACTTTGAACCAGACTTAATTACAAATTTAAAATTAACTGACATTCTCTTTAAATATGCTTACTTCAGTGTACCTTACCAAAGGACAAAGACCCCACAGTTGAAGCCTATCCGCTCAACTTATCCCTGAATGGGAGAAGCATCTACTAAAGCAATCTAAGTTATAACCATTCTAGTTTTCCATGCCAGATTTGGATGCTTAAGCTTTAGAAACATAGCTACTGTTTTCCCATATTTTCTGTAAAGGACATGTGTCCTCTCTAGAAGGAAAGCTTACTTCAAATTTGAACATCTCCATTTGGAGAACTTTTGGACAGAAACACAACTTTCTAGAGTTTCAATTGACTGAAAAGAAAACTCTTATATGGAAAAAATACCGTCTGAAGATGAAAGAAAATTCAGAAATTGGCTGTAAAACTGTGTCACATCTCACATTACCTAAGTGAACTAACACACAGAAGACAGTGGGAAATCTGGGAGCTGTGACTAAATTATTTATTTTTAAAAATGCTCTTATGAAATTTAATGCACCAGAGATAATATGTTTACTCTCTTTTGTTGTTTTTTGTTAATGATTTTTTCCCTATTTTTTTGTAGGAAATTTAGAAAATAATAAAGATACATAGAAAACAATAAATTTCACCCAGAGATAAATACCACTGACATTTTATTTCCTCAAGTCTTTTCTCTATGCACAAAGATATATTTAAGAAAATGGAATTGTACTACATATAAAATTAAATATCTTGGATTCCCTACTCCCTTAGCATTTTTTAATCATTTCTTCATGTCTTTAACTATTTTTTCCAAAATTCTGTTTTTAATGACTGTATAATATTTCATTGCACAGTTGTAGCATAACTTTGTTTTCCTTAATTTACCTTTTGGGGTTTTAACTTCTTGGTGATCTCCATATGCATGAATCATCTTTCTAGTGTCTTGTGATCTTAGATCCCCGACCTCTTTTTCCCTCATTGTGTGGCCTCCCCTCTGCAGTCCCCACTCCCATGGGCAGGCCTTGCTAGACCATGCTATTTCGTTCTCTCAATGTCATGTATTACATGTGATCAACATTGCCCGACTTTCTCTCTAATACTCTAACCTGACTGGGACCTCCAATTCTTCTACCACCCTTTCACTGTCCATCACCACTTCACGTCCTTACTCCCCTCCATACCCAGCTGAATTCCATCCTCAATAATCACTCTCAATTGCACACACCTTCAAGGAAAAAAATTTCCTTGCTGCTTTTCTACTTTTTTTAATGCTTGTTTGAAAAAAACCACAGGTTTTTAAAATTAAACTCTCTGCATTCTCTGTATCTGCACCTGGGTAACTTACTGGAGCTGGAGAAGAAAAGAACACAACCATGCTGATTGATCTCACTTTAAATTCATAAGCACAAACTCAAGTGAACCCGTCCTGATTCCACTAATCACCCTACGCCTCTTTAGTCCATTTGTTCACCCGTTCACTGACTATTTGATATTCTCTTTTTTCTCCTCGAATCTCTGACATTTCCTCCTCCCATCTGTATTGTCTTAGCTGATGATATTGCATTCTACTTCACTGAGAAAACTGAAGCAATTAGAAGAGAACTTCCCCTGACCCTTATAATCACATGTCCACACTCATTCCATCTGCCTCTCATCTGCTACATTCCCACCTGCTATCATAGATAAGGTCTCCATTTTGCTAACTAAAGCCAGTCCCTCCAGCCATGACTAGTTCCCATCCGGGACACTGCCTTAGCAATTATCTTTTCTGACTCCTATATTATCACAATGTTTCTTCTCTACTGGATCATTCCCAGTAGCTTACAGACATGCTGTTATTCTCCCATCTTTCCCTACAAGTTATCACCTCATTTCTTTGGATTGCTTGCCTCAAAACTTGTTGAAAGGGATGTCTTTAGTAGCCATTTCTGATTCCTCTCCTTTATTATCTTCTGAATCCTCCCCAGTCTGGCTTTTGCTTCCCTCGACTCCTTCACTGAAACTGCTCTTGTCAAGATCACTAGTGACTTCCATGTTGCTAACTGCAGTGGCCAATTCTCACTTCTCATTTTACTTGACCCGTCTTCGTTTGGCTCTGGGACAACACACTGTCTTGAATTTCCTCCTATCTTCCTAGCTGCTTCTTCTTTGTCTCATTTGCTGACTTCTCCTTTTCTACCTTCCCTCTGAATGTTGATCTCCAGTGCTCAGTTCTTGATTCTCTTTTCTTCTCTATCTTTACTTCCTTTTTTAGGCGATTTCATCTAATCTCATGGCTTTAAATACCACTTAAATGCCTAAGACTCCTAAATTTACCTCTTCATCCCACACCTCTCTCCTGACTCCAGGCTCACATACAGTTATCTACTAACGTCTTTATTTGGTTGTCTCAATTGAATATGTCAAAAACAGAACTCCCAATATGGCCCCCTCACTTGTTCTTCTGGCGGCCACTCCCATCTCAATTGATGGAAACACCATCTTCCCAGGGCTCAGGTCACAACCTTGAGATCATTCTTGACTCATAGTTTTCTCATGTTCCATATCCAATTCATCAGAAAATCTCTTGCTCTACCTTCATCCTATATCCATAACATGACTATTTCTCAGTGCTACCTCTGCTGCCGCCTTGGTCTGCACCACCGTCATCAGCTTCCTAACCTTTCTGTTTCTATCTTTGTTCTACCCACCATCTAGTCTCAGCACAGAAGCCAGAGTGACCCTTTTAAACCTAAATATGGACCCAGTGGGGGGGCTTGCTGGCTTGCGCCTGTAATCTCAACACTTTTGGAGGCTGAGGCAGGAGGATTGCTTGAAGCCAGGAGTTTGAGATCAGCCAGGGTAACATAGGGAGACCCTCTCTCTACAAACAAAATTAAAAATTAGCCAGACATGGTAGTGTGCACCTGTAGTCCCAGCAACTTAGGTGGCTGAGGTAGGAGGATCACTTGTGCCCAGGAATTCTAGACTGCAGTGAGCTAGAATTATACCACTATACTCCAGCTTGGACAACAGAGTGAGACCCTGTCTCAAACAAACAAACAAAAAACCAAAAATACCCTACTTCTCTGCTCAGAATTTTGTAACAGCTCCCAGTTTATTCAGAGTAAAAGCCAAAGTCCTTACAATGGTCTGCTAGGCCCTAAGTGTTCGGATCCCAGTTACCTGTCTGATCCTTTTTCTCTTTGCCCAATTTGCCCTGCTCTAGCCACATTGGCCTCCTTGTTGTTCCTCAAACATGCCAGACAAACTCCCCTCTCAGGCCCTTTGCATTGGCTGTTACTTTAGCCTGAAAAGCTCTTCAGTCTTTATGCTAATACCACTTCTCAATAAGCCTGCTCTGCCTCTTTATGCTATATTGTGCCCCAACACCTCCTGCTCTCCTATTATAGTACCTTCCTTCTTCTTTTCCTCCCCATATTATATGGAAACGCTTCTTGTATTGTATAAAAAGCTTCTAACAAGCTACATAATTTATTTATTTATTATGCTTGTGTCTATTATCAGCATTCCTATCTCAAACTTAAGCTTTCACAGTGTCAGGGTCTTCGTTTTTTGTTCACTGAGATATTCTAAACACTGAGAACAATGTCTGACACATAGTAAGTATTCAATAAATATTTGTTCAAAAACCTTCAATAAATAATAAGCCTATTTATATAGAAAAGGCAAACATTTAAAGGCACGTTAACCTTCTTACTTCAGTCTATATTTGTTTTGAAAAACCTGCCTTCTGAAGTGAACTATAATTCCTAACTTTGGTTTGAATCCCCTCACATGAAGCTTCATGTTTCTATTCTTTAGAGAACATAACTTTCAAAAATGTTTTGAGGATGAATAAAATGAGATAGAATAACCAAGCAAGCCAAATAGCTAAGTGAAAAATTAGAACAACCATCTGGATATTTCAGTTACAAGAATTTCAGTGGTGAACTCCTGTTGAGCAGTGGAATATATAACTCCCAGCAGAAATACTTTAATTTGTGGATTGGAGGATAAAGAGTGGTGGGTTGGAATGGGTATACTGGGGTGGGGTTGGGGATTAGGAGTGAAAAGGAAGTGGAAAGTAAAATGGTAGGAAGATGGCTGTGCTAGCAAAGGCATCAAATACCTAACTCGCATAAATGACCATGCCTATATGTTACAGGTTGGAAATGCCTACGTTTTTTAAACAGATAAATTGCACACATTTACTGTACAGCATAAAAAGGATGACATTTATCTTTTCCTTGGGTCTGAAATGTATTTCTATCACTTGGCTGGTTTGTTTTTAACTCACACTGAAAACCGAACTGTAAGAAGTTTGCCTAAACTTCTCCCCCACCCCATGTTATACAGCCTCAGCTCATGCTATTACTCCAAATACAATAATCTGTTGGGAAAAATCAGGGTGATTTTAAAGAGATCATTTTCAAGTATGAAAGCATTTGAAACCAGTTGGGAAGACAGGAGGGGCAATAGCTAAACAAATACCTGCATTAGTCAAGGAGCACTCAGAAACAGGGCTCGACCTGCTGGGAGAGGATTTTGCTAAGGAAAGCCTGTACTCACAGAAGAAGGAAGCAAAACGGCCTCATAGGAAACCAGTCATGTGTGTGTACACTGTCTGCAGCCATTTTCAGTCACTTTGGTTTGAATCACCTCACATGAAGCTTCATGTTTCTATTCTTCAGAGAAAATAACTTGATTTAGAGAAAAAAACCTGATCAGTTTTAATCAGAGTTTCCTATTTGTATGTTTTTCCAGTTTACTTCTAGTGTTGAGAAAAATTATTATTTAATGGTGAGCATAGGGTAGGATGGGGCAGGAGTAGGGGATGGGGGAACTCTCACAAAGTAATCACTCTCCTTCCTTAATATTGCCATGTTTTACTTATTTAGGAGAAATAAAAAGAAAGTAAAAGAAGTCATTATAAGGCCCCAACAAGGATATTCAAGTCTCAGAAGGGCAGCAGGTAGCCAGGGGAGCAGAGTGCTGGTTTTTTAGGAGAACAGAGAAAACTGGCCAGTAGCAGAAGAGAGACAGGAATGCTAGGATGGGTGGATGTTGGAGACGCTGACATTTACAACAGAATAGTGATACAATGCTTTATTGAGAAGGGAGCACTTGAGCCAAGACCTAAAGGGAGTGGGGCCATAAGTGATGGGTAGCAAAGACCCTGGAATGGGGACTTACATGGTGGGTTTGAATAATTTCAAGGATGCTATGTGGCTGGAGTTGAGTGACCCTGCTTTATTTCTCCCTGTAACATTCAGCACCGTCTGACGTGTGATACATTTTCTTATTCATTTGTTCTTTTTCTATATCCCCAGCACTTAGAATGGTGCCTAGAACATAGTAGCTGCTGTAAGGGTGCAGTGCTTTGCAACCAAGATCTTCTTCAAAATGAAGACTCCTGTGAGTGCTGCCAAAAGACAGTTCTCACCTATCAGCCCTCATTGGAGATTGCCTATGGCCAAAATTACACAAGACCTGATCAAGCAAAGGTATTGTGAAGATTGACTGAGCAGAGATATAAAAGCCTGGACACCATGCCCCAACTTGGGACAACTCTGAAGGGCCACAAGTTCCAACACTTCCCATGGAGTTGCCTGAACCCTTTGCTGAGACCACATCAAAGCTCAACTTTTCCCTTTGCCCAGTTTTGCTTCCTTTCACTCCTTTTCACAGGTATTGATTTCAAGAGCCCTCCCTGTTTAATGTGCTCTGTCTCATAGCCTGCTGCTCAGAGAACTCTCAAATCTCTTCTTTCTCTGGTCCACTGAGAATAACTGCAAACCCCAAATCCTTCCCTCAGTTTCAAACACATTTCAATCAATATCTTTATGGGGTCTGAGAGGTTGAATTATTTTATCTGACTCTTTATTATTTCCTGTGTCTACATTCTATGCCTGGTAGTTTTGCATTTTCTGCAACTAAAGATGGAATGTCCTTCTCAGCCTCTTAATTTTGGGCTGGACTATGTGTTTTGCTTTGGCTAATAGAATGTTAGCAGATGTGATGCAAAAAGCAGTTTGAAAAGTGCTTGCGTGGTTGGGCTTGCCATTTGGTGTGCCTCTGCCATCACCATGAGAGGAATGTACCCTGAATAACTCAATGGGACCAAAAAGGATGAAAGACATGTGAGGAAGACCCAGACCTGCAGACCTGCAATGTGAAGCAAAACCTGCCCAGCTGACTCAAACATCTGGAGAAACAAAATAATTTTTTTCAGTCACTGAATTTTGAAGTTGTTTGTAATACACCATTGTGGCAAAGGCTAATTGCTGCAAGATGTAATTCTTACCACAGTAAAGTCAAATGTTTACATCTTTATGCAAAGTAGTTTAGCTACTTGTCCCAATTGTCTCCATTCCAGAGTAGCATTTTAGCTTTAACTTTGCATAATGAAAATGCATGTTAGAATTATTTCTCATAATGAAAAGAGAAGTCTTCTTATAAAGGTGAATTTTTTCTCTATCTATGGAGGTAGAAAACCTATAACTACTTTTAAAGGGCAACTTTCTTATTTCTGAAAAAATATGTGAAAGCTTAGCTGTGCATTGTGCTTCAGACGAAAATCCAGATTTACCAAGAAGACAAATTAGTGAGTGATTGGTTTTCTTTCTGATCTTTCTGATGCAGTATTTATCCATAAATATGCCCTTCATTTATAAAAATATTTTTTGGAATAATGATTCTCTTAGTATGTCTGTCTCCTGCCACTGGATTCTATGTCTCCTAAGAATGGACAGGAACAGCATCCTGTTCATCTTATGTCTCCAGTAGCAATTCCAGGGCCTGGCTCATTGTAATTGGTCAACAGTTGCTTGTTGAGTTTCTTTATAATTAAATGCAGATCCCGTAGTAATTCACATGAGTAGGAAAACGATGAGGATTGGGATGACCTTAGAGGAGGTTCAGAGAATAAGTGTTGTTGGTAGTGACCCAGAAAGATTGGATAGAATTTGAGTTGACAGAGAACAGAGGGAAAGTAATTTAAGCAGGGAGTAAAATGAGCAAAATGCAATGACTGGAAAGCACAAAGCTCATTTCAAATGTGATTTACTTTACAAATATTTTTACATATACAGTCATCCCTCAGTATCCATGGAGGATTGGTTACAGGACCCCCTGCAGATACCCAAATCTATGGATGCTCAAGCCTCTGAAATAAAGTGGGTAGTATTTACATACAATCTATGCACATCCTCCTGTACACCTTTAATCATTTCTATGTTATTTATAATACCTAATACCTTGTAAATGCAATATAAATAGTTGTTATGCTATATTTCTTAGAAATAAGGACAAGAAACAATCTATACATATTCAGGTAAGACACAACCATTTGTTTTCCTTCTCAAGTATATTCAATCTATGGTCGATTGAATCCACAGATGCAGAACCCATGGATAAGGAGGGCTGACTGTAATATCAAAGAAATGTCTGTTATAAAAAATGGAGATAATCTATGCTGAACAAACCAATACCGATAATATTTTTCCAAGACATCGATGAAAGTACAAGCACAATGGAGCTTTGGAAAAACAAAACATACAAACAAAAAAGCCCAAATATTTTATTTTCATTAATATGTTGAAAACTGGTAAGCAGACATATTCCAACTCCAATTCCATTTCTACCTTAATCCCATTGCCCCCAATTTCCCTAAACATTTCTCTGAAATTTCTTTTGAACTGCATTGCATTCTGTACACCATTGTTCTTCATTTCTCAGACTTTACTTGAAGCACATTTGAATCAAATGAGCTCAACATATTTCCATTTACCATTTGTCTTGAGACCCTAATACATTGATTTGCATGTAGCAAGTACTCAAAGTAGTTGCTGTGATTATTATTTTTATTTATAGTTGTATTATTAGCAATAGCTACATTAGTAATAGTCTAATCAGACTGACTCATTATCTCAATTGCTCTTTAAAGTTGGTACCAAATTTAAGTGTACTTTTCAGTTGAGGAAGCTGAGGCTTAGAGAGATTAAATGATTAAGAGATTAAGAACCAAGTCACACTAGTGGCAGCACCATGACTCAAGTTCAGATCTGCCTAACAACAATGCCAGGCTCTTTTTAACTAAACTGACACACATGTTTAAAAATATATTCTGATAAAGGGGTGATTAAAAAATAAAAAATAGAAAGATCATATAGAAATGACTATATTTCAGCCGTACTTCCTATTCCAGTCCCTGGTCAAATAAATCGTTGCAATGCAAAGTGATACATTACACATTATATAAATGTGTGTGTGTGTGAATGTGTATATAAAGGATAATTTGCCTTTCTCACTTCTTGATTATAAAACTTAAAGAATAATTGTTTCTGTGACACACAAACTCTGCACATATTTTTTTTCAGTTTGCACACCCTGGAATGCTCATTTACCTCTCTTCAGCTTGGGAGTTTCAATGTGCTCATAGCCAGCAAAAGTGAGCTTACTGCTGCTGCCTTAAAGTCAGTGCTTCAACAATCTCATAAAAAATTGAAATTTCCACCTTTATTCAAGCTTGTCAGGAAATCTCCCCATAGCCCTCTGTATCTGAAAATACATTATAACTTCTTTAAAGCACCGTGGGAAAGAGTTTTACATTTTTTCAGTTGCACATAAAATCACCTTATGAGCTGCCGAATGAAACTGGTAAAACTCAGTGAATGGGGATGCCTGCTTCAAAATTTCCTTTCTGAAATGGAGCTGCCATATTCCTTGCTTAAATAGTTAGCCTGCTTGTTTTACCTCTTCATTTAACTCCTAAATAGAAATTAGGAATTCTTGAAGACATGCTCATTAATTAAAGTAAGATATAACCACTTCTTACTAGTAGAACTGACACAATGAATATATCCCAAATGTTGCTCTCACACGGGAAGGGTTGAGAGTTGATATGTAATGGTATTGGAGCAAAGTTTTTATATAGTATTAAAATTAACTTGGTAGTAATCCAAACTAGAATATTTTAAACTAAGATGTTAATTCTAATCTTCAGGGCAACCACTAAGAAAATTTAACTCTAAAAAATGATGTAAAATAAACAACAAGGGGATTAAAATGATACACTAGAAAATATTCAGCACAAGGAAAGGCAGTAACGGAGGCGTCAAGGAATAAAAAAGACATGACATATAGAAAATAAATAAAATATGGCAGCTGTAAATCCTACTTTATCAGTAGTAGTATTAAATATAAATGGATTAAACACTCCAATTAAAAGCCAGAGGACTGGCAGGATAGATATTTAAAAACGATTCAACTACTTACTATCTACAAAAGACACATTTTATATTCAAGGATACAAATAGGTTGAAATTAAAAGGATGGGAAAAATGTCATGCAAGTAATAACTAAAAGAGAGCTGGATTTGCCATATTAATATCAGAAAAAAAAGACTTTAAGCCAAAAATTGTTACTATAGACGGATCATTTGATAATGATAAAAGGATCAGTCTATCAAGATGACATAGAAATTATACACATATATGCACCTGACAATAGAACCCCAACATGTGAAACAAAAACTGACAGAATTAAAGAGAGAAATAGGCAATTCGACAGTATTCAATATCCTACTTTCAATAAAAGAATAGGCAGAAGATAGACATGGAAATAGAAAACTTGACCAATACTATAAGTCAACTAGACCTAACAGACATTTGTTGAATAATCAACAGCAACAAAATGTACATTCTTCTCAAATTTATGTGGAACTCTCTCCAGGATAGACCAATATGTTAGCCATAAAACAAGTCCTGAGACTTTTAAGAAGACTGAAATCATGTAGAGCATATTCTCTGACCACAAGGAAACTAATTTAAGATAACAGAAAGAAATTTGGAAATTCACAAATATGGGGAAATTTTTAAAAATATACTACTGAATAACCAATGCATCAAACACGAAATCACAAAGGAAGTTAGAAAGTCATTCTCAGCAAATTAACACAGGAACTGGAAACCAAACACCGCATGTTCTCACTCATAAGTGGGAGTTGAACAATGAGAACACGTGGATACAGGGAGGGGAACATCACATACTGGGGCCTGTCAGGGGGTGGGGGGCCTAGGGAAGGGATAGCATTAGGAGAAATAGCTAATGTAGATGACAGGTTGATGGATGCAGCAAACCACCATGACCATGTGTATACCTATGTAACAAACCTGCACGTTCTGCACATATATCCCAGAACTTAAAATATAATTTTAAAAAAAGGAGAAGAAAATTCAAAAAAAAGGAAGTACTTTCAGGAAGTGTACATTTTATAAAAACAATTATGGGATACAACAAAGATACTACTTAAAAGAAAATGTATAGCTCTAAAACCTATATTTAAAGAGAAAAAAGATCTCAAATCAATAACTTACCTTCCACCTTAAGAAACTAGAAAGAGTAAACTAAACCCAAAACAAAAAGGAAGAATTAAAAATAGATAATTCTCCAAAGGTTAAGAAAATCAGTAATTTTTCTATAAACACAGTGAAAATTTTCATTTGAAAAGCTTATTATAATTTATAAGTACAGAGATCAATTTGAATTTGATTTTATGATTAAAGAAAATACTAGTTCACTGTGTGAAGATTTGAAATTGCCAAAAAGCATTTTAAATATCACAAGCTGGAGTTATCCATCTTTAATATTTTGGCACATTCTCTTCCAATCTTTATTCTAGGCCCATGTACATAAAACTTATGCCAGAGAACAGGAAATATATACATATTTCTATATATTTTGTCACTCAATATTTGATTATAAATTTTCCTGTGTTATTAACACTTCTTTGAAATATTATCAATGACTGTATAATAATGCTGCCTGCAAATGAAGCTTAATTTATTGAACCATTTCCCTGATTTTGGACATTTAGAATGTTTCTGTGTTTTTTCTTTTTTTTTCTTTTTTTTCCCGAGACGGAGTCTGCTGTGTCGCCTAGGCTGGAGTGCAGTGGTGCGATCTCGGCTCACTGCAGGCTCTGCCTCCCGGGTTCACGCCATTCTCCTGCTTCAGCCTCCCGAATAGCTGGGACTACAGGCGCCCACCACCACGCCGGGCTAATTTTTTGTATTTTTAGTAGAGACGGGGTTTCACCGTGTTAGCCAGGATGGTCTGGATCTCCTGACCTCGTGATCCACCCGCCTCGGCCTCCCAAAGTGCTGGGATTACAGGCATGAGCCACCCCTCCCGGCCTCTGTGTTTTTTCTTAGAATAAAAGTTCTAGATGTGGGATTACTAGGTCAATGATTAAACTGCTTTAAAAAACTTTCTCCTGTTGTGATTTGCTTTTCAGAAAGGTTGTACCAATTTGCATTAACACCAGCAGTGTATTGGAATGCCTGTAGAGATCCAAATTGAGTCATACAATATGGCAAGTACTAACATATTACAGAATCAAAAATTAAAATATTTTAATGTCAAGACCATTCCAGAAAATTTAGGACGTGATTTTAAAAATCAATAAAGAAATTACTATTTTCCTTTTCACACATCACCAAAATATTACTAGAGTGAGTTTAAATTTTTTGCTGCATCTATTCATAAAATCTGGAGTTGAAATGGAATTTAGAATCCCTGTGTCTAACTTCTTATTTTATAGACTATTTAACTAAAGCCCAGAAGGATAAAGTGAGTAGCCCAAGTCACACAGCTGTGCCCATGACTTACAGTCTGGTGCACTTTGTTTTTTAAACAACTTAATATTTAAAAATACAAGTAACATGTGAATATACCTCTGTAAAAATTCAAATATTACAGATATATAAATATAAACATATAAATGTACCGATAATATATAATGTGTATAATATACAAATAATATATAAATATATTTAATATATAAACATAATATGTAGAAAATGTTATATGTAATATATATTACATATAAATATACAGATGACCTAGTATATATTTATAATATATTATATATAAAAATATAAAATGTATTATGTATAGATAACTGTATTCATGTATATATATTCACACACACGCACACATGTTCCCTCCATCCCTCATCCTCAATTCCATTCTAATTCTCAGAGCCCTCCAATGGTGGAGATCTTTCCAGACATTTTCTAAATTCTTAATCTATAAATTTAAATTCGTATTATAGTTTATCTTCAACTTATTTTTTTCTTTTCTTTTTTTCACTTAACAATATGTCATGTACTGAGGCCTTTAAGAAGCTGGAGGGTGGGAGGAGGGAGAGAATCAGGAAAAATAACTAATGGGTACTAGGCTTAATACCTGGGTGTTAGAATCATCTGTACAACAAACCCAACCCCCATGACACAAGTTTACCTATGTACTTGTACCCCTGCACTTGTATCCGCGAACTTAAAAGTTAAAATAAAACTTAAATATTTTTTAAAAATGTGGAGGTCTTGTAACATAATATGGTCATATCATAACTTATTTAACCATTCTTTTTCGAAGAATATTTGATTTGTTTTAATCTCTTGCTTTCACAAATGATGCTGCAATGAACATTTTGAATGTACATTTTTATGCACATGTGCAAGTGTTTCTGTGGGATACTCAGGTGTCAAATTGCTGGGTCAGTGATAATGCGTATACTGCCAAACTGTCCTACAAACAGGCCATCCTCTAACCGTTAGTGTGATAGGCAGAATAAAGCCTCCTCCCAGACATATCCATGTCCTAATCCTGAGAGCCTGTGACTATGTTACCTTGCACAGCCACAGAGAATTTGCAGATGGGATTAAAGTTAAGGACCTTCAGATGGGGGAATTATCCTGGAGTATCTAGTTGGGCCCAATCTAATCACATGAATCATTAAAAGCAAAGAATCTGTCTCAGCTGTGGTCAGAAAGGGGGCGGTGACTACAGGAGAATGATCAGAGGGTTGCAACATCGCTGGCTTTAAAGATGCATGATGGAGGCCAGGAATGCTGGCGTCCTCTGGAAGGCAAGAAAACGGGAAAGGCAAGTAAATGGAAAAGGCAAGGAAGTGGAAAAGGCAAGGAAATAGATTCCCTCTAGAGTCTCCAGAAAGGGATACAGCCCAGTCTGACACCTTTATCTAAGCCCAGTGAGATTCTGTGGGACGTCTGATCTGCTAAACTATAGGATAGTAAATTTGTGTTGTTTTAAGCCACTAAATCTGTGTCAGTTTGGTACCGCAGTAATAGAAAATAAATAAAATTGATGTTAGAGAATACTCATTTAAAAATCTTAGCATTAGATGTTATCAGTCTGTTTAACTTTTTCAAATCTCATAGTCAAAATTGGTGAGCCACTGTTGCTTTCATTTGAATTTCCCAGGTTACTGATGACACTCAGCTTTTTTTCATAAGTTTTTGACCTTTCGAATTTCTTTTGTAACTTGGCAGAGAAGTATCTGGGCTTATTCTTCTGTTGGATTGTTTGACATTTCTGATTAACTTGTAGTCTCTTTTAAATGTTTGCATTCTTATAGTAGAATTTTGTAGCCTTTGCTTGTTAGATGTGTGCCAAATATTTTTCCCCAGTTTGTCACTTGTTTTATTTTCTCCACACTCATTCTACTTTACCAAGTTGCTTGGTCTGCCTCTTGATTTCCTAGCTCATCCCCTAGTGTGGTTTGCGGGTAAGCACTGACTGCATGTCACATGCACAAGAATGTTGTTGAAATGGGAACCATCTATGCTGGTGGACTCTGCCAAGGTTGAATAGATCAAAATGCCACCTAACTCTAGGGAGGAGAGGTGGAGAGTTTTTTAGTTTTTGGGTTTTAAATATAGGAATGGTACAACATGGTAAGTAAGGTTGCTTTCTTTAAAGAAAATAATCCACAGATCCTGTAAAATCAATGAACTGAAGTTAACAGATTGATTCAGAATGTTGAGTTTTTTTCCTCAGAGTTGACATAACCTGCTGTACTGAACAAAGTGGTGTTTTGTCAAGCACTTGGCCAGCATGTGTGTTAGGGCTAGCTCCATTTGGTTCTTATCCTATTCTGTTCTCACTAAACCAAAATTTTTTTTCAAAAATGTCTAGGGTCTTAGGAGAGTTGGACACATTCAAAACACAATATGTGATTAAGAAGATTAAAGATTAATACTTATTGATGGATTACTATGTGCCAAACTTCCAACCGAATCCTGACAACAATTCCTTAAGGTGAGTATTTGTTGTCCCATTATAAAAATGAGAAAACAGGCTC
Organism: Homo sapiens; assembly: GCF_000001405.40. Classification (NCBI taxonomy): domain Eukaryota; kingdom Metazoa; phylum Chordata; class Mammalia; order Primates; family Hominidae; genus Homo; species Homo sapiens. Next base: position 91,312,606 of record NC_000007.14, read on the forward strand.
AGAGAGTGAGCAGCTTACCCAAGATACCATTAAATGATAGAACCTGAATTTGAACCTCAGAAACCAATGCTCTTAAGCACTATAACAGCTGAAAACTAATTTTAGCCATCCTACAATAAAAATTCTCCAGTAAACTGAATTAGTAAAGCATTCTGAATTATACCATTTTTAGATGCTTTTCAGAATATTTATAGTAACTAGGAACTAGGCTACAAAGTGTCCAATGGAAGAGTTGTTTTTTTTAAAAAAAAAAACTTGATTGAATAGATAACAGTGCTTTACAATTAGTCATCAGTTTATCAGATGATTACCTGCTGATGGATGCTTCTGAAATAGTGCATGGTTCTTGAAAAGTAGCTTTCCCCATTTCTCTGCAATCTTATTTACCCTATAATTTGCAAAATAAATCTTTTATTTAGAGATAACACAGAAACTTTATTATAGCTCCTATATGATTTATCTCAAATTCTAGATTTGTGGAATCCAAATTAAGGAGTTTAACTGTTAGGTCTTGCATTTCTGGTTTCTCTTCGACATGCCTATACGAGGAAAAGAAGGCAATCAGCTTCCAATGTGGCAGAGAGTGTACTAACTGCTTTCTGGAGAGAAAAATATATTCTGGGGACATTTATAGCCTGTTCAGCAGCTGTCAGAAGGTCCTAGGGCTACAGCAGAGCCATGAGGCTGGCCCTGCCCTGGAGTCCTCCGGCCCCTGGGGCTGGGGAGTGATCCAGAACAAGCCCACGCAGAGCCATAGCAGCATTCAGCCAAGGCTGGCATTCCCCCGCTTATCTCACAGAATCAGGGTCTCTGCTCACAGAAAAAGCCCAATCAACCTCTTCAATAAAATTCCTTTCCCAGTATCTTTCCAGAAGAAATTAACCACTTTATTGTCCAGAAATACACAGGCTGCATTTTGATCAAATAATGGAAAAGGTGTGTGTATGAGAAGGAGAGATTTGGTAGGAGTTTGGTTTTTTGAAAAATCCCATTTCCCACAGTCCCCATATTTGCTTATTTATTTATTTATTCATTTATTTTTGAGACAGAGTCTGGCTCTGTTGTCCAGGCTGAGTGCAGTGGCCTGATCTCGGCTCACTGCAACCTCTGCCTCCGAGGTTCAAGCAATTTTCGTTCCTCAGCCTTCAGAGTAGCTGGGATTACAGGTGTGCGCCACCACACCAGCTAATTTTTGTATTTTTAGTAGAGATGGGGTTTCACTGTGTTAGCCAGGCTCATCTCAAACTCCTGACCTCAGGCAATCCACCCACCTGGACCTCCCAAAGTGCTGGGATTACAGGCGTGAGCCACTGTGCCTGGCCCATATTTGCCTATGTAAATTACAGTATCAATAGTAGTGGACATACATTGTTTCCTAGAATCCATTCTGCCTTTGGGGAACCACCACTCCCTACTCTGTGCCCCCACTGCTTCTCAGGATCGAAGCGGGAGCTTTGCTGGCCAATGAGAATGAGCCCTGGCCCCACTTACTGCCTCAGGGAAGGGTTTGGGGATCAAACTGGCAGGGTTCTCCCTGAGGTTCCTGCTAGAGCTACTAGGAAATTCTATGTCTTGCTTTTGCAGATCATTTTGTTAGAAAGATCTGAAGTCAGCTTATGAATGGCTGAAGTTTTTTAGTTACACGAGGGAGGTGGCTATCTGGAATGAAAAGAATGAGGGCAAAACACAGAGAGAAGCAGAGTTGGTGCAGAGACAACTCTGAAGACATCACCTGAACCCCCAGATCCAGCTGCCCCTAGGGCCAGCTCCATCCATGGTTTCCCAGTGACACGAGTCAAATCATCCCTTTTGGCCTAAGCTAGATTCTGCTCAATTCTGTTGTTTTCAGTTAAGGTCTCTGAGTAAGACATTTTTCCGTGTATATTCAAACACCTATACTTTCTTTCCCCTTTTACAAAATAGGGTCATCCTATACATATTGCTTTACAACTTGCTTTTCAACTTAATGTGTCACTGGCACTTTTCCAGATAGTACATTTAGAGCAACCTTGTTTTTGTTTTGTTGTTTATTTTAAACAGTAGAACATGCCATATGAACACATCGTTCCTCTATTTATTTCTACTCATCAATGAGTGGACATTTTGTTGACTTCCTAGTTTTTTTATATTACAACTCAGTCTGCAATATACATCTTTAAAAATTATCTTTAGGCATTTGAGCAAGTACTCTTATAAGATAAATTCATGGCAATGGCATTTCTGAGTCAACAATTTTATAAGGATTTTCATAGAAATTTTATAGAAATTGCCAAATTGCCCTCCAGGAAAGTTATGTCAATACTAGGCATATATTTTTAAAAACTTCCTTTCCTATATGCTAACCAAGCTGTGAGATATTATTACTCTTTTTTATCTTTGGTAATCTGAGAGGTAAATATATCTCTTATTGTTTTTAGATGTGATTATTTAAATTTTAGTTAGACTCTTTTCTTCTGTTTAATGGTTATATATATTTCTTTATCTGGGACATGCTTGTACAAATCCCTTGCCCATTTTCTCCTGGGATGTTCATATTTTTCCCGGTGATTCATAATAACTTGTTATGTACCAGTACACTGCCTGTCGTATAGTGTCATTTTTTCCCAATTTGCTTCATTTTTAAAATTTCTTATTTATGATGTCTTTTACCAGGCTGAAATTTTAATTTTCACATAGTATATAAATATTTTCTTCTTTTGTTCATTTAAAAAACTCAGTAAGGTTATGAATCTACTTCTAACATTTACTCTCAAGTATTTTAATAGCCTCCAATAAAGAATTTAAGTTTGTTGGCTAGAAGATTGTGTGCTAATACATTTCGGCTACTAGATGTAATTGGTAAAAATTTTGTGAGGAAATCATTGTATGTCTCTTTTTAAGTTGTTCTATTTCCATCTGTGACATTATTTTGACTCTGAACAAGTGTTTGTAGCACATTTTTCTATTAAGTAATGATTGGCAGTTGAGACGGGGGATGGTCAAGGTTTCTAGCTCATCTCTACACCATCTTGGTGAATGATCTTGGGTGAACCAAGTAAGCTTTCTAGTTTCGTCTTCTACATTTTGAAAGGAGTGGGTTAGATGACATAAGCTCAGAACTGTTCTAGCACCAAACTTTCAAGAGCCTGTGAATTCTTTGCTCGTATTTTTTAAAATGTAAATCTTATTCTAATTGATACACCATTTTCTAATACACAGTAAATAGTACTTCATAGTTTCTTTTTAGAGTGTGTTTTTGTGGAGAAAGAATGAATGAAGAGGATTACATTTATTAAGTGCCTACCAGGTTCCAGGTACTATACATATATTGGTTTATTTAGTCTCCACAACAAACTTTTGAGATGGAAAATGTAACTCTGTTTTATAGATGTGGAAACTGCAGTTCACTGAGGTTGACATTTCCGGGTTCATACAACAAGGATGGGGTAAGCTGTGATATCATCTGATCTTCATGATTTTTTTATGTAGGTATTATAGATATTATCTTCTTTAGCTATTTTTGTTGATAAACTAAACTTATTATTGGTTTCTTTAATTTTTTTGAATAGGTAAATTATTTCAATGAATATATTTGGGCACATGTGAAATTGTATATATAGAGAGTATATATACAAATTGTATATATATACATAATTGTATATATACACATAATTGTATATATAAATGGTATATATACATAATTGTATATAAATGTATATATAATTGTATATATAATTTGTATATATACATTTATGTATATATACAAATTATATATACAATTATATATATAAATGTATATATGTACAAATTATATATATAATTGCATATATACGCACACTTTTTTTTATGCCAACATTGTTTTTTAAAATAAATTTCTTCCATTCTTACCTTTTCAGTCCCCAAACCCAAGTATCTCCCACTGTCTGCTTTTGTTTTCTGATCATTACTAAAGTAATTCCCCAAACAGCTTCACTGATTGCCCCACAAATTCACACTAGGTCCTTGGTGCTGCTCAGGAATGCGTTTTATTATTCACCATTGACTTCCTATTGAATTTCCCAAAGCAGAATTTCCCAGACCTTAGTTTCTTTCTCTATATTTGAACCTAGCACTTGCTTCCTTAATCTCAATAGGTGGCACTAACAAAGCTGACTTGGAATCCTCTGATGGATATTCCTTCCATTTCTCTCTTGTTCAAAATGTTACTTTTTCCTTCACATTGTTTTCCACCTGAGTTTCTGAGGAAATTTGTATTCCCCTTTGAGCAGTGCTAACCCTAATTAATCTTACTACATACAAAAAAAAACCAAAAAACCTAAGACAGACACTTTCAATTGCTCACAAAATACCAATGCTGTCCTTTTCCCTCAAATTAACACAACCCTAATTTTTAGCTGAGTTCATCAATGTCTAGTTAAAAGTTCTATACCTATGTAACAAAACTGCACGTTCTGCACATGTATCCCAGAACTTAAAAAATATATGTATAAATACAAAATTCTTTACGAAAATACAAAAGCTTCTCTACAAGCTAGGTAGGGCTACGTGACTGAGTTCTGACCAATGAAACATAAGAAGTACAATTTGGCAATTTCTGGAATATTTCTTTTAAAAAGAGGTTGTGTACCCCCTGTCGTCTACCCATCCTGCTGCCTGGAATGCTGGGATTACACACATGTAACCACGTGGCTAATCACAGTTCTTAGAATGTGTTTTGGTTATTTATTGCCATGTGGTTCAAATCAATGATTTTATTATTTCTTACGATTCTGTGGGTTGACTGGACTCAGCTGGGTAGTTCTTCTTCTCTGTGTGATGTCATTTGGGGCTGTATTCTTCTGGGGCTAGACAGGAACATCCAAGGTGGGCCAAACACATAACTGACAGCTGGGGCTGACTTGCAGTTGGGGCTGTCAACCAGAGTGCCTCAGCTTTTCTCCACATGGCTCCTCACATGGTGAGACAGTTCCAAAGGGCAAGAAGTAATGCTGTTAATTATTTTAAGGCCTGACCTTGGAAGCCTTATAATATCATTTTCCCTATATTCTAATGGTCAAAACAGTCCCCATAATTAAGAAGTTGGGGGAGCTTATGCGTATAGTACAGAGAGGAATTGTCAGGGCCAACTTTGGAGACGAGCTACCACAGACCATGATGATAAGAGTCACCCAAGGAACGACAGGGCTTAGAACCCAAAGGATTCCATAGTTGCCATTTAGTGCCCTGAACTTTTCTTATGAGAGAGCCAAATAAGTTTCCATTTTAGCAACTTCTATTTTTGGTTGTCTCTCACATAAAGGTGAACCCAATCCTAATGAATACATCAACTAAACAGCAAGTTACCCAACTACACTCCTTGACTTTGCAACCCTATCCAGTCGCTACCGACTTTACTTCTTCTCTCTCACCATTTATCCCTTTATTTCAGGGTTATTTTTCATGAGAATTCCTCAAGCAAAGGTAATGACTAAAAGGAGAGAGAGGGAGGGAGAACAGGGAAGGTGGGCTATCTGGAGAGATGGCACGGGGTCACTGTAAAAGACTTATCTTTGTGTTATTAAGGCATAAGTGATCCAATTTAGGGACAATCAAGTCATTTCTGTATCAGTCAACAAGATAAAAAATAAAAATGCTTAATATCTGTTTAAATGAGAAGATCGGGACTTAGGTCAGTTATATAAATACAGTCATTGGAACTCTCCCACACTACTAGTGGGAATGGAAAATGGCACAACTGCTTTGGAAAACAATTTGGCAATTTCTTAAGAAGTTAAAAATATACTCACCTATGACCCAAGAGGAAAGAAAGTGCATGTTTATGCAAAGATTTTTACATAAATGTTCCCAGCAGCTTTATTCATAATAATCAAAAACTGGAACATCCCAAATAGCCATCAACAGGTAAATGGATAAACAAACTCTGGCACATCTATATGATGAAATAAGAAGGAATAAATAGGAATGTCTGGAATACTAGGAATAAGTAGAATTAACTGTAATAAAGAATAAAGGATGATAACACACAACATGGGTGATTCTCAAAATTATGCCTAGTGAAAGAAGCCAGGCAAAAGAGAGTATAGTATATTGCATGATTCTATTTACATAAAATTCCATATTAGCAGGATTCATAGTGATAGAAAGGCAATCAGTGGTTGTCTGGGAAAGGAGGGATTCATGGGGAGGAAAGGATTATGAAGAGGCATTAAGAAACTTTGGAAGGTGATGGATGTGTTCACTATTCTGATTGCAGTGATGGCTTCATGGATGTTTACATAAGACAAAACTTATTAAATTGTACATTTAAATATATGCAGCTTATTTAGGGTCCATTAAACCCACAATAAAGTTGTAAAATTAAAAATGGATATATTCAGACAGAATTTCTTTAGATTTAACGGAATAGATAAATGTACTAATCATGAAGACAACTAAGAGCCAACTTCTTTTAAAACAAAGACTTTATCAAGTTTCCAGGAGTTTTTTTTAGTTTTTAATGGACAACTCATTACTTATGTCTAAAGAAAGCACTTCTTACTTAATTGTAGCATGTACATACATTTTCCTATATCATATGTCTCTTGCATTAAAATTTTTGATTAACCTCATGATGACTTCACTGACATTACCTAAAGTGGTGAGAAATTAATCTCTAAGGCATACAGAGGAATGTTGGATGTGTGGAATTCTTTTTAATCCAAAAAATGAAAAGCACTTAAGATTCTCTGCCCAAGATGTGCTCTTAGAATAATTTTACTCTGATATTGGTTGCAAAAAAGCATTTTTATTTTTTTTAAAAATAATGCTTCTCAGCTTTGACTGACAGATATTTTAAACATGACCTCTCCCATTCTGTTTTGAACGATGATTTGTAAGTAAATATCTCATACTCTTTAAGTTCAAATGATAGCTGCCTCTGAGGCAGTCATGCATGAGGACACGTGTGGTGTGTATTCTGCTGGCACTACCCTTTCTCCACACATTTTCAAAATTTCTCTTTGGTAGAATCATCGCAGAGCCAGAAGGAAAATGGGTCTCTTCATTATAGTTACAAATCCCCAAAATGTTATTATCCAGTTTGATGGTCTACTTTATCTACCAGACCTCATTTCACATCATTTCAGACTATTTCTAAAAATCCCGAAAATTAATCCCTCCCTCCAAATAAAACTTTGTAACAATATTTTGAAAAAAAAAATTCTACCCTTATTTAACTAGTAGGTTACTTGACCAATACCCTGCTACAGAGATGTCTTTTTAAATTTTCACCAGTAAAGAAATAAAACATTTTCTTACATTCAATTGTCACTAATACATTGGTTCTTTGTGGAGGTATCAACACGCACACACACACTACACTACAATATAGTGTCAATAAAAATAGAAATCAACCACATATTTCACTAAGATCATGATCCTAAAAATGATTATCTCTAGAGAACAGTATTTAAGAGGACACTGTCATTTTCAGACATGTTTTAAAAATCAAACTCATTTTGTAGCAGAATTACAGAATAATGTTTTAATTAAATTTGTTTCTCAAAAACTATCAGATTTTTATTTCTTTTGGGGGATACTTTGACCAGTTTGTTGTTCAGTTCTACAAGTTAAACTTTGTTGCTATTAATAATATTAGACATATTAAGAATATTAGAGAGATTGCATTAATTGCTTTTTCATCTCAAAAAGACATGGGAAATTTTGCTAAACAGTCATCTTTAAAGGCATGCAATAATGACATCCCCATAAACATCCTAAGAAGACACTCAAAGTACCAATAATGTAATCGACAGGCATATCTTGCCCCTTCTTAAAGAGCTGAGTAAGTTAAAACTGATGTTAAAGAACACATAATACATTGAAGTTGCTATATAGAAGGGTTCAATATGTCCAGGGCCCTGTTTAAATAATTAATCTGTGTGCTTACACAGACTGTGAGGCTTAGCAGCAGAAACCAGGCCAAGGGATGTCTCAGCAGAGACTTTCCAGCAGAAAGTTCTTTAAAACAATGCTCAGGCCTTTAACATAGCAGACTGAAAACGCTCTGCTTACAGAGCAGATGGTTATGTAAAGACAATGCTCAGTTTGTGGTGAAGTCCTAAAACCAAGATTAAATCAAGACTACAATGGCCACAAGTTTTACAAAAACCATAAAATGTGGATCACCTAGCTTGCAAGACATTTTATGTAAGGTCTCTATGTCCTCTCCTTTTGAAGGATGAATGACTGTAACTGCAGACCTTTACAAGGACAATGAGAGCTCCTAATGGAGGCGCTAAGGCAGCTGGCCCAGAGGCAGTAAAGTTGGCAACCTCATTGGCTCCCCTTGAGAGTCCGGCCCACCACAACCATTCTTTTAGATATGCATGGTCACTTAGATCTGCTTTCATGGTTCCTATCCTGGTAAGAGACCTTGTTTTTGTTTATTTCAAAGTGTACTTCTCCCCACTAAAAATGCTGGAGCTCAGAGACAATACCACACCAATATAAAAGTCATTTATTCCATGCCTTTGGATATAACATTTGTTACTAAAGAAATGTCCATGAATAACACTGATCACAGAAAAAGAGAAACTGTTATATTAGAAGTAATGTGATTCAGTCTTCAAATCTGAGACTTTCCCCATGCAGATTTCATGGGCTACTATAGCCTCCACCCCCCATTCCCCTGCCTTCATCTACATCCAGTGGGAAGTAAGCACCCTGTGGGCTGCAGCTGGGCTCCTCTCTGTGGGGTGTTCCAAATTGCACCTACTCAGGATGATCTCTGGCTGCCTTTGCTGCCTCATCTCATCTTAGCAGTGGCAACTTGCCCTTGACCTTGTAATAATAGATGTCAGTAAATATATATTCCATGGCTGAATGAATATGCCATTGACCATAATGCTCATTTTAAAAGAAGGAGGTTCCCATCAAGCATGTAGCTTCCCAGAGTGATTACATAAAAGGTGGTCTGAACTTGTATTTGTGTGTGTATAATTCAGTGGGCCCAGTGAAATCTGATTTTAGTATGATTAGGCCATAAAATCCCAACCCAGGAGGCCATAAAGGGAGAGTTATCACAGAATGCCACCTTCATCAAGACACTAACCTTTCAGAGTTGTTAATGTCCAATTGTGAGTATAAGGAAACAGAAGCTGTCAGTCATTTTCCCTGAATGTCAACGCTCTGAAAAATGACTAGGAACGTTTGTCTTTTCCATCTTCCCTCCCTAACTTCCTCTGGTAATACCTAGTACCACCACATAGAAGAGTGAAAACAAAAAAATCTTAATGAGATGTTCTTCTGCCCAGAAACACTTCCAAGCAGAATTTAAAAGAGATCAAAGACTAAAAACTTTCATTTCTTTCTGGTTCTTTTTTCAGTGGCTTGTCTCCTATTTTCTTGTGGTCAGCACAAGTCCTCTGTATGCTTCATGGAGCCTCACTGTGTGTCTCCCAGCCTGAAGGGATTATGTCCTTGAATGATGAGATAGCTCTGTGTCCACACTGTTGGACCTCTGGCCTCTTCCTGTCAGGGAGGTGGCAGGGAAAAGCTGCAGGTCGTGTACTGGCATAGAAAATGGAGGTGCCTTTTGCTGGCATTGCTCTCTTGTAGTTTGTAATTGTAAAATGAAACTCGCTGTGTTACTAATCCAGAAAGGCAGCTGGAATTTTCATGTCTGCTATAAAATGCCCTGTTAATGTCATATTGGATTATATTATAATAGTGGGATAAAGCCTTCAATGAGTTATCTCAGCCACACTGCAGATGGTAGAGTAAAACAAAGTGGGCTAGGAGGTAAAAACTCGGAGAAAAGCGAGAGCACTGAATTAATGAACCATGTTCAGTTGAAGAATTGCATTTGGTTTGCTGTCTGCTTCACCATGTAGTCTCTACCAAAGGACCATGTGACACATGAACCAAGCTTATTGCACCTGTTTGGATTGACTTTGTTAGTATTTTCCATGTCAAATGTGCCTATAAGGAAATAACCTTCATTGTTTGCTGTCACTGAGAGGCTCTGTCCCTATAATTGTTCTTCTCTACGGTGTCATTCTCAGGGATGGGTTGGGGGAGAAGGCAATATTTTCCTTTTACTTCATCTCTCCCGAAGAACCTAAGAGAGCGACTCAAACATACTAGCTGTTCATGTAATATGACCTGTGGTTTTTTACTCTTTATTTAAAAGCGCTAACCTGGGTCATCACTCTCAGGAAGGATTGGTGAGATAGAAACACTGTCGAGCTTTTGGATGGAAATCCTGTGTGCAAATTCAGGTTCTGAATTCAACAACTTTATAAATTCTGTCAGCTTCACTTCCACATTTGTAACCTGCAGGGTATGTTACCCCCCTCAAAGAGTAACAATCAAGTGAGATAATGGATATGAAAATACTTTATATGTAGGAAAAGAGATGTAAAAACAAGGCTTTATTATTACCCTCTAGACCAATGATTCCCAATTTAGCTGATAATTAGAGATATCTGGGAAGCTTATTAAAAATGTAGAATTCTGAGCCCTTATGTAGACCTATTGAATTAGCATCTCTGGAGATGAGTCTTGGAAATCTGTACTTTTACAGCTTTGTGAGCAGTTCTGAAGATCACTCAGGCTTGGGAATCACAGCACTAGGGTTTGAATTTCTTGAAGATGGCTACTATGTATCTGGGCATTTTGAAACCTCTGTACTTAGAACATGGTACTTACGTAACCAAATACAAATATTTACTAGGGCCTACTGGGTGCCAGGCACCATGCTAGGTACCAGGAACACATGCAGCTGTATACTCTTAATTCTTTTAATGTGGGGGTTGCAAGGAAAATACAATAGTTTCAATGCAATGTGCTGAGTACTGTCAGAGAGGTGGAGCATTGAAGAGTTTTAAGCAGTCCTTTGTGATATAATCTGTTGTTGAACCTATCAATCCTGCCTTTATGTTTGATGCCTGAGAATATTCCATTTTCAATGCTTTGTTATAGGCAATATTTCCTGCAGAAAATAGTAAGAAGCTTTAATGAAAAAACTTAGTGCATTTTCACATTGGTCAAGTTTCTTGTTTCTTCCTACTCAGTTTCCTTGGACACGTGCAGTATGTTCATTTTTCCACAAACAATGTATTGGAGACAAATGCTAGTGGAGATACAAAGTCTAAACACCACAGGTGCAGAACATGAGATGCCAAAGGACATGCCAGGAGTGGGAAGAGTGAGAAAATAGATCCTCTGGGAAGTATCACTCCACGGTGAAATGAGCTATTAAAACATAAAGAAACTGCAAGAAGGAAAGTTAAAATTCCAATATCTGTCTTGGGATGTGAAGTACAGAAATGTTCTTGCTTCAACCCAAACATGGCCAGCTGACCCCAGTGTCTGGCTGACCCTAGCATAGCTGGCTGACCCAACTTTTGCCTATCCCTTGAACTAAACTTGAACCTTATGTAAGCTCTGAAGTCATTCAGAAGATCATTTGAAAATATTTTCCCCTCTTTGTCTCCTGGTTTGCTCTGGGACTGCTCTGGGGAGAGCTGTGTGGAGCTGAGGGGTGAGAGCTCAATTTTTTAATATTTGTAAGTGCTTTTATAGCCATTTCCCTGTAAGTGTTGGCCAAAGAAGGATCAGTGAGCATTAAGAGACTCCTTGATTTGTTCTTGGTGGTATGAGCACATGCAGCTTCCCACTGAGGCCATGTGGTAGGAGAGGATGCCCAGGACGCAGACTTAGAAGTCGTTGTTGAAGTGTCTTGCTCTAAGAAGCCATTCTAAACATGTGCTGAATGAGCGAAGGAGTGAACAAATGAAGGTGTTCAAAGCAAAACTTAAGACAAATTAAATTTAATAGAGTTTGACTGAGCAAAGAATGATTTGCAAATTAGGCAGGCCCCCTGAACCAGAATAGGTTCAGATAGTCTCCACACTGCTATGTGGTTGGAGAGGATTTATGAACAGATAAAGGAAAGTGAGGTACAGAAGCAGCCAGATTTTGATTACAGCTTGCCATTTGTCTTATGTGAACACAGTTTGAACAGTTGGCTGCCTTTGAATGGCCAAAACTCAGTGATTGGTGCAAAAGTAAATTACAGTCTGTTTACATATCCAGTTAAGGTTACTATATATGGAGAAAGCTTCACGTTGGACTTCAAATACGTAAGGAGGTGCTTTAGGCTAAATTTAATTTAGCAAAAGAATGCTAGCTAGGTCTGATTAAGACACTTTACTAAACATGAGACTAAATGCAGTAATAACAGAAACCAAGAATCAGGGGGTTAACACTATGGGGTTGTAAATGTATCCCACATGCTGGGCAGGAAGCAAAGACTTAAGATGTAGCCCGTTCACAATCTGAGAACCATTGAGTGATAAACTCCAAACCCCAGAGGCGGTGTACAGGAAAGATCTTCTGTATTGGATTCTGCATGAAGCAGGAATCAGGACCAGAGCTGAGTCTTTAAGGGTGAGAAGAGTTTGGATAGGCAGAAGAGAGGGGTAGAATGCATCTTAACTAACAGGCTGAGAAAAAACACAGATGGGGTTTAAGTCATGATGATAACATTTGTGAAACAGTTAGCTGACCAAGATGATTGACAGAAGTGCTGGGGAGTGGTAGGAGAGCAGGCTTGGGAGTGGGCAAAGGAGTAAGAACTTGCTATAGGAGGCTACAAGGAATCACTACAGGCTCTTGAGTTGAAGAACGATGTTCTTGGTGAATGATTGGTCTGGCAGAGTGGATCTCTCTCCATCCATCTCCTGGCCAACTCTTGCTCTTTGTATAGCAGCTGAGGTTGGATGGAAATACAGCTAACATTTCTGGAGCTTCCCAGGTGAACAGATCTGCAGATGTGTGGGGCAAGACCCCTCATTCACTCCCTTGTCCGAAAATTAACCAGCATGATGGAGACTAGATCACACACTTTCAAAAACAAACCAAGGCCCTCTTCCCTCTAATATGATTTGCCAGATGACAGATGATCCCAATCCCTGTAATTAGTTAGATACTTTAATTGACTTTCAGTGGCAGTAATAAGTAACTGGAGTCCTGGCTTGTAGAATTTCCTTTCTAATTGTCAGTGTTAAACTACTCATTATAGGGATAAATAGCATACCGCTTTATTTAAACAATTTCCTTCATACATGTAAATTCCAGCGGAAGTTCCCAGTATTTTCAGGCCCTTGGGAGAGCTGTTTGGGGTCTAGCAGCAAGGTGATGCATTTTTGAGGGAGCTGCTTAAGCTGGTTGGCTGTTTCATTTGAATAAGCAAGCCACAAGTTTCCAACACTGACGCACTTCCTACTGCTTCGTTTTTTAAAGGCTGTAGAAAGGATAATTGACCACAGCTTGTCAGCAAGAGAGATTTACTGTCATTAGTGCAAACGCAGATGAATTACTTTAATATCATGGAATATAAAAAATGGCCAGATAGTTTCCTTTCTCAGTAAGAGTACTTAAACAGCTTTTCACACTTCACTTCTGCATTTGGGTGTAAAAGAGGGAGGAAGTCATAAAGACCCATGAGTGGGAGTGGAAGGAGGAGTGGGATTAACTTAGCAGAGGTAGGAAAAGGCAGATCTCAAATTCTCAAATCAAATCCAAGTGAACAGACCGGGGTTGCTTGTTTTAGGGTGGTATAAAAGCTAAACAAGCATTCATTTTTTAAAAGTTCCCACTTTTGATTTCTATTTCCAGTATAGTACTCATTCGGAACATTCTTTTACAACTTCGGTTCTTTGTGTTTTGACTCAATTGTAGAAAGAATTAGAAATATTGCAAGGCATATTTTAAATCCTTTATTAAACCATAGACACCAGCTTGGGAGATCTGAATCGTTTTACTCGGGGCCATGCAAAAATTGCCTGTTGATGTGTTCTATTTTGTTTTGTCTTGCTTTTGAACCGTCCATGTTTCTGAAAATTGTGTATAAGCCAGCCAGGGCCCAAGCACAGAGAATGCCTAGAACCTGGAGCAATGTATTTTCATTTTGCTTCCCCATGGTTCTTGTTGCAAACATATTTGCCTCCTAACTCTTAGAACCCAGTGTAAGCTGCCACTGGCAATTATTTCATTTTGATTTTAGGAAGCAGGGCGGCATCCTGTCTGATCATTGAATCTAGACTTGCTTTATAATCTGTTCTTTGCTTCCGCTAAGATACAAATATGTGGGCCTGGTTCCTGTTGCTATTGTAACTGAAATGGAACTAATCTCACTCGTTTCTGTGTGGCTCAGCACTGCGGGTTAATATCTGTGGATGTTGTTGCCAATTGCTATTGCTCTATTAATTCGTGGTATGTGCTATTTGTTCTTTCGAGAGTTATTTTCTCTTTTTTATTTCTCAAACTCTTTGTGACATACCTGAGAAGTGAAAGTAATAGAAATTTCCTTCTGAAAGGAGGGGAGAAAGTCTGTAGAATCCAACTGCATATGTAGTTACTGTGTATTTGGGTGTTTCCCCTTTGCCGCTGAGTGTCATGGCAATAACATAGAAGGAAATGAGTATTTCATAACATAATCTCATTAATAGCTATGCTGTTTAAAACATATAAACAACAGCATAAACAACCTAACGGCACCACAAGCAATGGTCTCTTCTTGCACTGGCCATCTTGTCTCATGGTTGAAGGTGTGTGGGCTGGACTTTTTGGGATCCGTGAGTGGCGGCAATTCCAGAGACTTGGGGGTTTCTAACATTTCAGGTTAGTTGTTGCTTTACCTACATCCCATTAGTCTAGTGAGGCCTTGTCTCTAAATTGCTTTGAAAGTGTCATATTTTGAGTTTACTAATTCCATTTTCAAAATTCAAATGGAATAGAACTCCCAACCCCCTGGCTATTTGTCCAGACTTTGTATGTTTGTGTGTCACAGAGAAAGACATCATATTTATACATAAAGAAAAAATATAGAGAGAGGATAGAGTTAGAAAGACATTTGAGGAAGTAAATTCAAAATTGTTGAAACACAGTTATAAAGTGCTTTTGCTTCCCCATTCCTACAAGATAGGCAGTAATGGAACTACCCTTATCATTGCAAAATGTGTGTGAAATGATGACAACCTTCACAGGATAAAAAAGAAAATGGCAAGAAATAGCAGTGTACCTGACTAGGTCATATTAGCGTATGATGATTCGTTGTTGTAGCCAGAAGTTATTTCATGTTCTCCAACACAGATTGGATCCAGGCCTGACCAGGATGACAACATTTCATCTTGAATGGATAGTCATGTGTCCTTTTAAATAAAATCTACATGTCCTAGCTCTGCTTGTTACGAAGCTTAACTGGCCCATCATGTCTGGTGGAGTGTCTGAGTCTAAGGCAGGTTGGAAATAATGCAGCACCTCAGATGGGAGATGCTTGCAGAAATGTTGGGAAGCACAGACAGAATGCTGATCACCCCTGTAGCCAAGAGTGTGCAAAGCAAACTTACTCCATTTCCAGGACCAGAATGCAGAGGAAATAAGGCAACTTTTAAATTTAAATATGTCAGCTTGCCACTTTCTCCAGGGGTGGTTTGGCCATACGACAGGTTATAAGGAATTTGAAATCTGAAGAAAGGAAGAAAGAGAGAGAGAGAGAGACAAGGAAAGAGAGAAAGAAAGAAGGAAGGAAAGGAGGGATCAAAGTAAGAGAGAAAGAATAAAGCATTAGATTTAGTTTCTGTGCCTGTTTCATATTTTTGCAATGAAATGCTAAATGAGCTGCATTGAATGTTTCACTTGGTTGATGAGTAAATCCAATTCTGGATATAGTGGGCATGTGGTACATGGGCACACTCTCCTGGATTTCATCTGCCTTGAGGGACACACCACTTGTCACTTTCACCCTTACTCTCCTGACGACTCAGATCCTCTTACTGACATTAGAGAGACCATCAATCCCCAGTGACCTGTGCATGTGTATTGGGGAGGGTTGACTTTTAATATATTCCAGTTTGGCATTAATATGTGTGTACCCACTATTGTTGTGTCTTTCCCCCCAAATTTAAATAATTTTATACAGTGCCAAGAGGTATAAAGATGTAAATGAAAATAACTTTTAATCTTACCAACCAGTGATAACCCATTTAATACTTTGCTAAATATCTTTCTACATGTTTTTGCTATGCAAGTATGCACATAAACACACATAGGCATAAACATACATATATTCTTTCAAAAACCCTCCTTTTTCATTTGGAAACATCCAAATTCCCACGCCCATAACTGTGTTCTACATTATTCTCTCAAATGGTTTCTTAGTATTTATTATAGGGTGGTTGTTTTCTTCATTATTAAAAAGTACTCTGCAACTTACATACTTGGGAATACACCTGTCTACATTTTTATGACATCTTTAGGATAAATTTCTAAAAGTAGACTTGTTGATTTGAAGATAATATGTATCTGAAATTTTGATGTGTGGTGTTCCTTTGTTGTCTTTTAGAAAAAGATATCAATGATATTCATCATGAGTGCATCCATGGGAGAGGGTTTTTAAATATATAAGATAATGATGCTTATACGTTTATTTCCTGCCTTTCCATGGTACAGAAAAATAATTACTATGTAAGATTCTTCTTGAAGGAAAAGTCATGCAATATTCAGATGATTATTTTGTAAGTTAAGTTTCTTTTATGATTCCTGGATTTTCATTATTATTTGCTGTTAAAAAGTAGAATTGTTGATTATTATTTTTCTTTTTATGAGACAGAGTCTTGCTCTGTCACCCGGGCTGGAGGGCAGTGGTGCGATCTCGGCTCACTGCAACCTCTACCTCCTGGGTTCAAGTGATTCTCCTGCCTCAGCCTCCTGAGTAGCTGGGATTACAGGTGTGCACCACCACTCCCATCTAATTTTTGTAGTTGTAGTAGGGACAGGGTTTTGCCATGTTGGCCAGGCTGGTCTTGAACTCCTGGCCTCAGGTGATCTGCCCACCTCAGCCTCCCAAAGTGCTGGGATTACAAATGTAAGCCACTATGCCTGGCCATTTCTTTAAGTTTATTTGTGATTTTCAGTTATAATGTTGTGGTTTTGAACTATTTTGTGTGGGCACAGTGACTTTTGGGTAGTTTACAGGCAGGCATACATGCTGGATTTGCTTTGGAGTTTATATTACAAAACAGCTACATGATTCCTATGGACCATGTAATGTAAATGCAAGTCAAAGATATGAGGTGGTTCATCCCCATTCAGCCTGGAAATGAGACCCCACCCCTTGCCCAGCAGCAGGCAGTGAATATATCCAGTCCTATGTACATGTGAAAGTGTGTGCCAGGAAGACACATGCATATATAGATTTGAAAGTTCTTAGCCCATTGCTAATAGAACATGTACACAGTCTTGTGAATAAATAGGACAGGCAAACTGAGAGTGTCATGTATGAGTGTGGGGAGAGGTGAAGCAAGAGTTACTGTGGCTGGAAAATATGAGAAACTTTGGGGAAAAACTGGGGATAATAGCTGCTTCTCTGAGACACCAACATATCTAGACATATCAGCAAAATAATCAAATTAAGGCAAAACATGTAGTCCCTATGGCAAAACGGAATCTTCAACACAAACTAAACACTTGTGTAAATTCGGTTTTTACTGATTTCAGTTTGTGTGTATATGTGTATGACTGTGAGTTTGCATAGATCTCATTGTTAGGAGTAGGAAGACATACATCACACTGCCTGATATATTTTCCAGTGAAGTTCAGTCATTTAAACATGAAATCATAGCCAACCTCTCTGGGTGAAAACATAAGGCATGAGAACGAGTCCAGCACCACCACCATTATTATCTGTTATCTGGGCCCTTCATTAATATTTATGGAGCCCATAGACTAAGCATAGACCCCACTATCACTCAATGAGCCAACACTGTACTCTGAAAATAGTTTAATCTTGGCTTTTAATGTAAAAGCAACAGTTTTTAAATGTTTGCCAGAAAAAGAAAGTTTCCCAAAAAAAAGTTTCTCAAGATAGGCTACGTGGCTTTACAAAGTTCATTTTTCTTGAATTGAGAGCCCATATCCTGTTATAAAATAACCCTCTAGACTATTTTGGCTCCTCTCCCTATCTAAATGGTCATTTTTTGAATTGCATCCCAGAGGGATAATTTTCTCCATCTCTCATTCTGTCTTCTTTTCTTATGCAAAAGGGAGAAAGGGGTAAAAAAAAAAATCCTACAATTTGCTAAGCATCTCATATATGTCAGGCACTGTGCTAAGAATGTCAAATCATTCAGTGCCACAGTTTTACAAGGTAAGTCATGTCACCCAGCTGCAGAGAAGCTAAACATCTGAGGTTTTAAATCTATTAATACTTGGTGGAGAAGGACTCAAACTTAGGTTATCATAACAACAAAGCCACACGCTTTTTCTCTGAGCAGCCTGAGCAAGCAGCAGAGTTCTCAGGATTCTTCATTTGTCTTTGGTATCCATTCTGTGCTCTGCATCACGGGGGGTGCAAAAGAAGTAAGATGTCTTGGTCTTTGCCTGAGGAGAGGTCCTAGAGCCTCTAGTCCATATTACATCAATTGGCTACCCCCAAAGACAGCATTGGGCAATATTCATTCACAGCCAGACCAGCTGAGATGACTCAAAAGGGAGAAGTCGGTAGAAGTCTGTAAATATCAGCTGCCTTCTTACATGACAATAACAAGCAGATTTAGGACACTAGTTGTTCTTCACAGTAGCCACAGTT
The DNA here is from genome assembly GCF_000001405.40 of Homo sapiens. Taxonomy (NCBI): domain Eukaryota; kingdom Metazoa; phylum Chordata; class Mammalia; order Primates; family Hominidae; genus Homo; species Homo sapiens. The sequence continues at coordinate 91,331,219 of NC_000007.14, forward strand.
TTGTGAATAGTGCCCTCAAAATGTGAAATAGTCTGAATATATTTTTAATTTTCAACATATTTCAAGAGAAATCTTATACTCTTAGTAACTAAAAGAAAAGATTGGGGGTAATTTCCTAGTTGAAAATGTTCTCTTTGCAAGTTGCTTGACCTAATTTGAGTTTTAAGCCAGTCATAGTGATGTTGATGATAACGATGGTGAGATGGCTAAAATGTTGTGACCACTACTCCTTGCTAAATTTTGTGCTAAGCACTTTTCTTGTATTATCACATTTAGTCTTTATGGCAATCCCATGAGGTGTGTACCCGTCTTATAGATGAGGAAACTAAGACCTGGAAAATTAAATGATTCACTCAAGATTTCATAGTGAGAAAGCTGAGCCTTGACTCAAACAAGTAGGCCTATAGAATCCATATATACTCTTCTTTAAGCAGAAGCAGCAAATTGTGCTCTCTACAAATAATTGATCTCATGTTTGCCTAGTAATGGGCCCAGCTCTGCATGTAGGTTGTATGTAATGTGAGGGTCCCTGCTAAGTTGTGTCTATCTGTGCACTTTGGGCCCACCTCACCTCCCTCCACCAGCCTGCTTCCTATTTTATCTATAAATGTCAACATCTGTGTTCTTCCTCAGCTGGTCTGGCTGCGAATGTTCATTGCCTAGTCCTATATTGGGCACAGGCAGTAAAAAAGTCAGGGGATTAATTCCAGAAAGCTGCTACAGTATTGAAAAGTATAGCCTGAAAGGGAACAAAAAGTCCTGGGGCATGACCAGGGTGGAAGAGGAATTTTCTTTTTTTTTTTTTTTTTTAATTTCTTATTTTATTTTATTTTATTTTATTATTATTATACTTTAAGTTTTAGGGTACATGTGCACAATGTGCAGGTTAGTTACATATGTATACATGTGCTATGCTGGTGTGCTGCACCCATCAACTCGTCATTCAGCATTAGGCATATCTCCTAATGCTATCCCTCCCCCCTCCCCCCACCCCACAACAGTCCCCAGAGTGTGATGTTCCCCTTCCTGTGTCCATGTGTTCTCATTGTTCAATTCCCACCTATGAGTGAGAACATGCGGTGTTTGGTTTTTTGTCCTTGTGACAGTTTACTGAGAATGATGATTTCCAATTTCATCTGTGTCCCTATGAAGGACATGAACTCATCATTTTTTATGGCTGCATAGTATTCCATGGTGTATATGTGCCACATTTTCTTAATCCAGTCTATTATTGTTGGACGTTTGGGTTGGTTCCAAGTCTTTGCTATTGTGAATAGTGCCACAATAAACATATGTGTGCATGTGTCTTTATAGCAGCATGATTTATAGTCCTTTGGGTATATACCCAGTAATGGGATGGCTGGGTCAAATGGTATTTCTAGTTCTAGATCCCTGAGGAATTGCCACACTGACTTCCACAATGGTTGAACAAGTTTACAGTCCCACCAACAGTGTAAAAGTGTTCCTATTTCCCCACATCCTCTCCAGCACCTGTTGTTTCCTGACTTTTTAATGATTGCCATTCTAACTGGTGTGAGATGGTATCTCATAGTGGTTTTGATTTGCATTTCTCTGATGGCCAGTGATGGTGAGCATTTTTTCATGTGTTTTTTGGCTGCATAAGTGTCTTCTTTTGAGAAGTGTCTGTTCATGTCCTTTGCCCACTTTTTGATGGGTTGTTTGTTTTTTTCTTGTAAATGTGTTGGAGTTCATTGTAGATTCTGGATATTAGCCCTTTGTCAGATGAGTAGGTTGCAAAAATTTTCTCCCATTTTGTGGGTTGCCTGTTCACTCTGATGGTAGTTTCTTTTGCTGTGCAGAAGCTCTTTAGTTTAATTAGATCCCATTTGTCAATTTTGGCTTTTGTTGCCATTGCTTTTGGTGTTTTAGATATGAAGTCCTTGCCCATGCCTATGTCCTGAATGGTAATGCCTAGGTTTTCTTCTAGGGTTTTTATGGTTTTAGGTCTGACAGGTAAGTCTTTAATCCATCTTGAATTAATTTTTGTATAAGGTGTAAGGAAGGGATCCAGTTTCAGCTTTCTACATATGGATGGCCAGTTTTCCCAGCACCATTTATTAAATAGGGAATCCTTTCCCCATTGCTTGTTTTAGCATTCTCCCATCTATGTCTTATCCTCATTGACTCATGATATCTTTGGGAACCATTTAGCAGTTGAACCTCAAGTGACTGGACGCAGAACAGGTGAGCTGCCTAAGTTAGGAAACCATCCCTGAATGCTCATCATAGGTTAAGAGGAGAAAGTACAGGAGAGGTTGTTAGACTGCAGAAGGCAGGACTTTGTTGATGAACACCTACTTGTAAGTGCATGAGATGGGTGCTTTCCTATGTGCAGAGAGATTTGCAGTGTCTATATGAATGATAGACATACCAGTCCCTGACCCATATGAAACATAAAGAAAATAATAAATTCTACCACAAATCAACCAATATTAATTCATTTTAACACAAATCAACCAGTACCAAAATAGAGCCAAGGAGTTGGAGGGGATGAAGCAAAGAAGACAAAGTGCAATCAAATGCATGCCCTAATTCCTTCTTATTACATCATTTTGACTAACTCTTTCTAACACTTTTGCATTCACATGAACACTCATTGAACACCTACTTTGAGTTTGGCACCATGACAAGAAAACAAACAAGTTATGGACTTAGAAGATATAGACTTATGGTGGAGACAGAGACATGGAATAATAACCCAAAGTAGCTCATCTTCCTAGAGGTAAGATTAAAGGATGGAGGTCCTTATAGAGGTGGTGACTTTAGTCTGGATCTTGTGGCTGGGGGCATTTCACATTATGAGAGGGTCAAAAACAAGCAGCCAACAACTTGTTTGAAAAAAGCAGGAATTCCAGTATGAGGTGAATATAAGCATGGGTTTAGAGTTAGGGCTGGGAACGGTAAGAGGGATAAAGTTCTGGAGGAGCCTGGAGGCTGTGCTTGGAATTTTGGATTATCCTAAAAGTTGCTGAAATCCCATGGAGATATTTCAGCCAAGAAGTGATATGGTCTGTTTTTATCAGAGCTCATCTGCCTTCCATGTGATGGACTGACTGGATATGGAAGATATTTGGGTGGCCTCTTCCCAGGTGTATCATCTCATTTAAACTGCAAACCCAAAGAGCTCTATTCTCACTCATAAAAGGCCACTAGATCTGGACTGTTCCTAGTCAGCTCTGGTCCTTTCAGCGTTAGTCTGAATTATCTTTTCCCAAAGTTAGCTTGCCGTCTGTGGTTCTTTGCTGAGAAAGCTTCTGGATCAAAACATTTATCTGGAACAGGCATTTGGGGCTCATCTCCAGGTCTTCTAAACTGATGGGGACAGAGAGGGACAAGAGGTGGTAGGGAAAGGGAAATAGGCCCTCTTGGTGGCTTCTCTGCCTCTGATAAAACCTTTCCAAGAAGAAAACATTTAAGAACCAGACACGCTTTTAAAAATACAGAGCCCATAAAAGTCATGGAATTTTGGAGCTAAAAGAGGCCTCAGAGAGCTGGTGTCTGCTTTTCAGGATCAGGATACTAGAAAGAGTACAGGAATTGAAATAGAGATCCTGGTGTATCTAGGACTGCTTATGCGACTTTAGGCAAATGACTTAACTTCTCTAAACTGCCACTTCACCTGTTAATTAAGGATAATAATACCCACTTCTCAAGGTGTTATGAGGAGTAAATTAAATGCTTAATGTGAAGTAGGTGAAACCATGAACAACACGGTTGTGACTTCAGATAAAGAAATGGACACACAGGGAGTTTAAATGGGCATATGGAAAAGTGGTCATTTGACTGCTGTGAGTAGATTTCTTCACAACCCTAACCTATGAAACTCCACTGTGGCTTTTCCAAGTCTGTAAGCATTACAAAGCTGATGTGATGCTTTTAATAAAAATGATGAAACCTTTCTACATGCACTGTGTTCTCATGTTCCCTGAATTTTTTATGTTTCTTGTTTTAAATCAGCTGATGCCATCGAAACCTGATCATCTATCAATCTTAGTTTTAGTGGTGAAGACTCATGGTGGATTTTGCCTAGCAGTTCATAATTTGTCTCAAGGGTGCCTGAGTGTCTCAGCGTCTCCAGAAAGCCCTTCGTGGTTGTTTCTGGAATGAGTCCCAGTGCTCACCTCACACAGGTGTGTAAGCGCTCCAGCCTCCCTGACTTATCCACCAGCCTCCACCACTCGATCACCAGTTAAAGATGGCTGCCTACTTGTTGATTCATCTTCTGCCAGCAATTGGGCAACAAAATATGATGATTCCCTTGACTGTTTTATCCCTTTACACATCAGCCTGGTCTCTTTTTCTTGTTACTGTGCAGGCCTATTCTTCCTCTTCCTCCAGCCATTGCCTGTTTGACATGAGATGTGTCCTTCGATAAGTCAGTAGTGGATTACCTCAAGGCAGGGGACAACTAAGGCTCCAATAGAAAGGATGAATTGCAAGAATGGGACAGAGATCATATTCTCAAAAGGACTTTTTAATAAAAACTCACTGAAAGCAATTAATTTTTCTTGATGATTTAATTTTCTGCCTGGACAAAGCTGCTGTTTTAACTGTGTTTACAAAGCTTCTACTGCTGGCCATGGCTTCTGGAATTGGTCTCTGATGGCTGGATCTTTCACACTGGAGCCCTGGTTTTGATTATCCAAGAGATGAAAGAATCACTCCCTAAACCTTCCGTTGTCCACTACAGAGCTTCTCTTCCACCCCACCATGCTGCCTTTCCTGTCAGGATGACAACAGCAAAGACAGCAATAATAAAAGCTAATGCTTACATTAGTGCTTGTTATGAACCCAAGGCTTCCCTAAGCATTACATCTATGTTAACTCATTAACGCCTACTCACAACCTCCTTTATAACACCTAGGAAGCTGGGAATAGTAACTTCTGGTCAGAGCTGTGACAGAGGCCATTGTCAGACTGTAGAGATTTTTGGTGCCAAAAAATTCTTCTCAACAGGGGGCGATTTGGCCAATGTTTCGAAACATTTTTGATTGTCTCAACTGGGGGGATGCTACTAGCTTCCAGTGCATAGAGGCAAAAGATGCCACACAACATCTGGTAACCCTCCACAACAGTTATCCAGCCCAAAATGTCATCAGTGCAGAGGTTGAGAAACCCTAGTGCCACATGATTTAAGTGCTTTTGCCCAAATTGCCTAAATTCAAATCCTGCTTCTGCAGCTTACTAGCTGTGGATCCTGGGCAAGTTGCTTAAGCTCTTTGTGTGTCCATTTTCCCATCTTTAAAATGGGAATGAAAATAGTAATATTACGTCATGGGGCTGGTGCATGATTAAATGTATTAATGTAAGTAAAATGTTTAGCGCAGTGTCTGGCATGTGGTAAGGGCTCCATATTTTAGCTTTTATTTTTATTATGTAGAGCCTTTCTGGCCTTAGGGAGACAGATTTAGGCTTCTTTTTAGTCTTGATAGAAGTCTTGAGAGGACATTTTCAGTCCATGCCATCCCAGGGAATAGTTTTTGTCCATCTAAATCCTAAAGAGAATACTCTATCTTAGCCCACTAGGAAGTTTAGGAAAAGTTATCCTTGATGTGTTTTAATGCAATGTCTCTTTGTCATCTTTTTTTCTGCACCCTGTTTTACAATAAAAAGCCAGTGTTTCTGTCTTGCACTTGCATTTTATTGTTTTGCTCTTTTCATGCCTACCTTTAGAGGCCTAGGCTGTTCCACCTGTTCCCCCTGCATCATCACACCATGGGGTGTGCTTAGTGAGAAGGGAGCCTGCCATGGTTTCATCCAAGTCCACGTCTCTCTTTAGGATTGGTGCATTCTCAGCATGTAGGAAGAAAACCATGGCTGATTGTCAGGCAGAATCATGGGCTAAAATTACTGGGATCATCTAAAAACTGAGACCAGGAGAGTGTCACTAACCTGCTTAAGTTAACTGACAAGTGAGTGAGTGAGTTAGGAATATATCTAGCCTCCAGTCTCCCCCTTCCATGTTCTTTCCAATCCTCACTAGGGAAATGTCAGTGAACTGTTTATGCCTACATCTCAGGTCTTCAGTGTGTCATGCAATTATTTACTATGTTTCATGGTGGGAAACCCTCTTTGAACCTGAGTTGGGTTCAAATTACTGAGTTGGGTTCAAGTGCAGGATTATGATTCAGACTGGCTGGACATTTCTGAGAAAACCTGCTAAAAAATTACCAGAAGAGGAAGCTTGAAAAGTGTGACCTTATAAAGCTGTGGTAAGTCATACAAGCTTGATAAGTGTGACCTTCTAAAGCCATGATAAGTTATGGTGGTCAGGAGTAAGGAGTAGACCTGAGTACAGAATGGTGTCCATCACTCAGTTTCCATGAAAATGAGTCCCCTCTGAGCCCAGTGGGTTTATAGGAATCCTGTGGTAAGCAGGGGCAGAATAAGTAAATTTAAAAGATTTGTTTCAGGAAAACATAGTGCCCATGAAACACAGCTATGTGTCTACCTAACACAGCTATGTGTCTACCTAACAGAGTGTGAAACGAATCAGAACACTCAGAAGTTTGGCATGTAGAAGGTTCTGGTGCCTCAGCTGATGGGAAAACATATGTTCCAGGAGGTCACAGCAGTACCCATCAATTACATGGGAGAAGAAAATGGTAAAGGAAGTGGGGCTCTGGCTAGAGCTGACAAGAAACCCTCACTGAGGACCCAATAGAAATTCCTTGGAAGCGTTTCTGCAGGCAAGAGCCTGTGAATTCTGACGTGTAATGTTACCACAATGAGGAAATGGATAGCATTTGAAATTTCACATAGATTTGGGTACCTCAAAATGCTAATAAATGTGGCAATGTTTTACACTTTCCTTTTAATACTTCAAATTGGCATTTTCTTCTGGCATGCATTGTAGATTATTACTTTCAAAAACCTGCAACACATTGCTAGAAACAAAATACTTACAGAACAGCCTGAAATTCTGGAGGAATGGTCTCATCACGTCATTTTTTAAATTACCTCAGTATCAGACAAGGCATTCATAGCAATCAAAACACATTAATTTTAAGTGACATTCTGTATTTTAGACTACAACTACTATATCCATATTGAGGTACTTTAAATGAGGTCCACAGAAATGTCAGGCAAAGTACAACTGCCAAAATTATAAGATAACTGTCAAATGCTTGAATGGCAGCCCAGGGCTGGGCCTCAAAATGTTAGAAAGGAGCTTCCCCAGAGAACTTCAAACTGTGCAAGCAAAGATATATTTTGGAATTCCATCCACTTGAAATTTGTGTCTACAATATGTTGACTACCTACGTTTACTTGGCTCCAGACTAGGTAATGAAAGTGATGGGGCTGCTAGGAAGCTGACACGAGGAGACTGGTGAAGAGAATTAGTGTCTCAGTTATCTATTACTGCCAAACAAACCATCCCAAAACATAGGAACTTAAAACAACCATTTTATTATTCCTTATAATTCTGTGGGTTGGCTGGGCTCAGTTGGATGATTCTTCTGATGCTCTCACTCACAGTCTCTTATGTAGTAAAATATGGTGGATTGAAGTGGATTATCCAAGATGTCTGTCTCCACTCACTTGTCTCAAGTGTTGACAGGGTTGACTGGAAGGCTGAAACATCCATCTCTTTTTCTCTCTCCATATGGTCTGACTATGAGTCTAGCTTGGTCTATTAAAATAGGCTCCTTAAATTTGAATCTCATGAGCACAAAAACAGAAGCTTCCAGGTCTTCTGAAGGCACAGACCCAGAACTGGCACAGTGTCACTACGATCCTATCTTATTGGGAAAAATGAGGCAGAGGACTAGCCACAAGTCCACAAATACTTGGAGGTGTGGGCCACTGGGGCCATCTTTGGAGACTGGCTGTCATAGACAGCCAAGACAAAAGCTGTAAAATGAAGATAGGGAAAGTGAGCTCTGAGCCTGGGCAGATGAAAACAGCTAATTCAAAAATAGATTAAGCATGTTAACCAGTATGTAAGGATACTCCCAAAGTACAGAAAGTTGTACCCCCTGCATGAATATTTATTTATTTAAATCCTGAAAGACATATTGGATGACAAAAAATTGGATGAGAATAATCTTGGGTTTCTCATCCTGAAAATGTACTTCTGGTAAGGATGACATTATCTTATTACATGAAAAGAGAAACATGACTTTATCCATTTGCAAGATAAGAGATAGAAGCCAGATAAGAGGGATATGTTTTAAAGTAAAGAAAAGCTTGAAGGGAGAGAGGCTAAGAAACTTCTTACTGAATGCCCTTCATTTTCTTGGGCAGCTAGAAGAATAATTATTTACTGATGGTTCAGAAGGGCAGAGTTGCATTTAGCATATTCTGTGGACAATGGGAAATGCTTCCAAATAAAGGGACATAAAATGCTGAGAATCACCAGCCCCAGGTGATGTGGGACTCATAAACATGCAGGGTGGCCCATAGCCACACTGTTTGCTCTACGGGTTTCTTCTACAGCACATTGGCAGGCTGGGACACAATCAGAAATCAGTAGTTAGATCCCCAAAAAGAACGCACTGTGAGTACTGGTGGTGTGTTCCTCCTTCTTTCCTTTGGGAAGACTAATGGAGACAGCTTAAGGATCTTGGAGGATCCTCCATCCATTAGCTGTCTTTGAAGAAGCATTCAGCTTCTTCCCACAGGTGACTTCTTCCAAAAAACTCTGCATGGAAAACAAGGCTTACAGGATTCTTTCCAGTTGACTTCAAGATGGAAAGCTTTTTCAGGATTCCAATTTTTTCCTTATGCATTTACAAATTTGCTATAAGCAAGTGTAGGGCAGTGTCTTACACTCAGGATTAGTAACATAATTTTGGGAGCTCAATGCAAAATTATAACATAGGACCTTCATTCAAATACAAAGAATTTCAAGATGGTAATACAAGAGCAGTAAACCAATCCTGAGGTCCTTCTAAGTGAGGGCCTTGTGCACTTGCACAGGTTGCAGACTCATGAAGTTGGCTCTGCTTATGCCCTTATCTCAAGCATAAGCAATTTACTGGCTATAGAACTTTCTTCTTCCTTCCCTTCTCTTACCCTCAAGGGCAGCTTTGCGGGGCTACCAGAATGTTTGTAGCTTCAGACATGGCTAAGGCCAGTCCAAGGGACCATTGTCCTCAGGTTTCATCCCTGACAAAACAGGCGGATTCTTTACAGATATTTTCCATTTTCTTCTTTAGGTGCCTGCTGCCCTCCCTTAGGCCTCACTGCTAAGGAAGCTATACCCTCTTATAGTTCTCTGAGGGCTGGGGGTCCCCCCACAGTACTCTCCTGGCCATCTCAGAGGACAGAGCATTAAACCACAGGAGTTATTCTTGAGCCTTGAAATGTAATGGAATTTGTCCTGCTGGATTTCAGGCTTGTTTGGGACCTACGACTTCTTTTTCCATTCCAATTTCTACCTTTTGGAACAGAAGTATCTCTTCTATGCCTATTCCATGTATGTACGTATTTTAGAAGCAGTTAACTTGTTCTCTAGGCTTCACAGGTCCACAGATGGAATTTTACTCCAGTATGGACTGAGCCCAGAATCTTGCCTATTCTTGATTTAGATGATTTAGCAGCTGAGAGTTGGGACTTTTTGAGTTGATATATTTAGATGAGACTTTGGACTTAGGGTTGATTCTTTTAAGGATTTGGGAAGAGGGTGGATGTATTTTGCACATGGGACAGATGTGAATTTGGAGGAGGCCATAGAGTGTTCTGTACTGGATTGAATTTTGTCCCCTCAAAAGACGTGTTCAAACCTTAACCCCTAGAATCTGTGAATGCGACCATATTTGGAAACAGGGTCTTTGAAGATGTCATCAAATTAACATAGGGTCATACTGGCTTAACCCAATGACCCATATCCTTATAAGATAAGAAAAATCTGGACACAGAGACACACAGGAAAAAGTCCATGGGATGATGGAGGCAAAGACTGGAGTGGTACAGCTGCAAGCTAAGGACACTAAGGATTTCTGACACCCACCAGAATCTAAGGGAGGAGCATGGAACAGATTCTGCCTCAAAGTTTCCAGAAGGAAGCAAATCTACCAACACCTTGCTTTCAGAATCTAGACCTCAGAACAATGAGAAAATGAATTTGCAAGGTTTTAAGCAGATACAGACACAGTTTCACTTATGATCATTTGAAAATGATCACTATAGCTAAGCATGGAGAATGGATTTTAGGGGAGCAAGAATATCAGTAGAGAGACAAGTCAAGAGGCTTCTGCACTGGTCCAAGCATGAGATGATGGTGGCTCAGATTAGGGTGGTAGTAACAGAAATACAGACAAGTAGTTGGACCCATATACATTATGAAGATTGAGCCGATAGGATGAGCTGGTGGCTTGGAGCAGGAGGGGAAGGAAAGTAGAGGAATCCAGGATGACTCCAAGGTTCTTGATGGATCCCTGGGTGGAGGCTGGTTATCACATGCTCAGTGGGAAGGCTCAAAATGAGCAGGTCTGGGGAAGCTCAAGAGTTCTCATGATTGAGCTCCTCATGAAATTTCCCATGGAAATATCAAGCAGTAGAGTCCTTTCAAGTCTGATTCCTCAGCTAGTCTAGAGGGCAGTTAGATGTCCAAAACACTCAGCAGACTCCCAATGGGAGGCATCATGTGAAACAGGACAGAGGAGAATCTGATGACATTCTTGGAACTCTTGGATTCAGCCCATTCCTAACGTCCAGCCCACCTCTTCAAGTTTTCATTAAGTCAACAACTTCTCTCCTTTCATATTGCTTAATTTAAGTTGGGTTTCTGTCATTTGCCTCCAAAAGAGGCCTGCGTACAATTGAAATACAATTCAGTAAATGGTAAAAGAACTGATGACATAGTAAGGTGCTTTATACATTGATTGAGAAAGTTTTTTTAAAAAACAAAGTTTATAGTCTATTTCTACCTGTTTCCAAAGTGGGGAAATGATTTGAGGTCTCTATAAGCGGGAATATGATATTAAAATATTATTTTCTTAAGCAAACATTTTTTAAAATCCCAGTTACTTATTTATAAAAAATGAGACCAAGGTGAGTTGCTCCCTGTTCTGACTCTTCACCCTGGGACACTGCTTAGCTGCCTCCCCTCATGGGGTACCGTAGAAGGAGCAGATGTCTGGGAGTAACGGCCTATCTTTAAAGCTGACTCTCTCATCAGCTGCAATTCTCCCAGGCTTTAGATATAGGTCTCATCTGCCAACAGCTGGTTCATGCCTTAGACCCCAGATCCTGCCAGGCAAGTCCTTGAGGCTCACAGTCCTTCTCCGCACAGGAAGAGCGGTGTGGCACTTGTTTCTGAGGCGCTGCAGGAAAGGAAGAGCGGGGCCAGGTTGGGAGTATTGTTAGCTTAGCCTTATTAATAAAATAGGGTTAATGATTTATTCATGGCTGGGACAATGCGGCTCCGCTCTGGAGTACAGCACAGAACGGTTTCATTAGAGATGAGCAGCTGCTGTGGAAGAGATGTGAGCCTTCCGAGAAACAGTCTCGGGCTGCTACTATGTATGAGGCAGTGAGCAGATTTATCTGACCAAGTCAGAGCTTGGAGGCAATTATTTGTATACTGTGGATGTTGTAGGATAAATGCCGGCAATGGAGGTCCCTGGAAAGATGCCCCTTGCTTTCCCATTTCTCATCTAATGAGTGTTTGTTCACCTTCTTGCTTTATCCTCTCTTCCTCAGTACCTGGAAGATGCCCGAGTTTGTAATTCAAGATGTGTTATCTGGGGAATATCAGTATAATACACATCTGAACGTGATCCCCATCAAAGGGAGATCATCCCTGGAAGCAGAAGAGAGAAATAGTATTTGGGCTTTTCTGGTGCTAGGCTAAGCGTACACTATTTTCAAAGATTAAATCATTTAAAATCATATATCTTCCTTCCCAAATGAACCGTGGAATTTTTATAAATAGTTAGAAAAGGGATTTAATACACTGCAGAATGCTGATAAATAACTGAGTGAGATAATGTTTTTTAAAAAATGCCAATTACTGTCACTCTTGTTAAGGACAGGCTAGATGTCTGTTAGTTCATCTGCTTGGTGGATGATTAGTTGGTTGATGTGGTTCACAGGGCAAACTGAGCCAGGATTTGACAATCTGCAGAAAAACAAAGGTAAGAGAAATCACTTCCCAGCAAACAAAATCAGCCTTGGCTGAAATGGACAAAAATCAGATTTATTTACTGCCATGTTGCTGTTCTTGCTTTATTGCCCCCATCTGAGCTTGCCCAGCCTCCCCTATGACTTCAGGAGATTTAGATCAAATGTCAGAGAGGAGTGCTGGGCTTTTCCCCTTTGGTGCCTGACTAGAGGGGAGAATTGAAGGCCACAGGAGGCATTGAAGAAAATCTCATTGTTGGTGTATATGCTTCCACACAGCAAGCCTTCCTGAGGGACTCCCCTCCCCTCTGCTCAGCTTCCTCGAGAAGAGATCAAATGTTTCAAAGCACTTCCACCTTTACTAATTTTTAATGCTTCTGCCAGACTTAGACTTGCCCACTGGAAAAAAAAATCTACGCTTGTTGAAACAGCCAAAAATAAAAGTGATCCTCTAACAGTAGTACACTTAACTTCCTCTACAACTATCAGCAGGAGCCAAGAAGTATAGCATTTGCCCAATATATTAAGCATTAAAAATGTCTTGGGGAAATGATCACACTAGAAATCAGAATATGTTTAAATACAGTTCTCAAAATTCAGAGTCTCCTTACGAAAGAATCAAAGAGGCGATCACCCTGATCCTTACCTGCAACTTCTCCAGCTTCTGGCCCCACCCTGACCATTCCTTTCCTTTGCTCCTTTGCCCAGTTTCCCCCCAAAACCACCCACCAAGGTCTATGTGGGAACCAGGAATGTAACCCTAGGGTTTGGTTTCCCAGGCCATCAGGAGATAACATTGCCTATCAGCCAAAAAAATAAAGCTTCCTGACTGCAGTTGCAGAAATTATAGCTAATTATACGCTCCATGCTTCCTGCAAAATATATATATTTTAAGCTGTTGGGCTGACTTTCTCCCTTGGCTGTATTTAAAGGTTAGTTTCTGACCTGCTTCCTGGTTTAATGGAAGAGTTTAAATATTACAAATCATTACTTGATTCTAACGAATTATATCTCCCCTGGCACCTCACAAACTCCTTATCATGCCAGAGGAAATAGTTGGAAAGAACAGGGAGTCTCCAAGATAATAAACAGAATAATGTGCCATAGGGTTGTAGGTTTCAGGATCCCCGGCTTCTTGGGTGGTTGAAAGCTTTTGGCCCTCAGCCTCACACTCAGCCGAGCACCTGAGGCATGTGGCTAAGCAGCATGAACTCCCACTCCCCCGTCTTGCACGATTGTTCACTCAGCTTAATTGTCAGCTCCTGCTAAGAACATGTAACATCTCATTTTCCCAGAGATTGTGGAAGTGTTGAGCTTTGCTTGTGGCCAAGTTGGGTAGCTGAATACACATCGTTTCCTTCGTTGATGCACAAAGGCAGGGACTGTCTAAATCTATCTCTGTACGTAGAGGCCTTTTATTGAATACCAGTTTCCAATTCTAGTGATGATCTGGACCCAAACGGTTTCCCTTTGTGTGTAATTGTGTGGGTAGATATTCTCATCCAACTCTGCCTATTTGCATACATTGCCAATCTTATTAAATTGAAAGAAGTAACCAAAACACATGTACACAATGACAAAAGTGATATTCAAGGCATGGAAGAAAGGAACACATGAAAGGCCCTTCTCTCTCCTCAGGGACTAGAGGGAAGAAATTAGTCTCTTGATTCGAGCTAAGCAGAGTACAGCAAGGTAAGACTGTGGAGAGCTCGATTAGCCTTGGTAACTGAATTGTGAACTTCCATCTTTAGTTGTTTGACTAAAACACCCATGTGGAAAGTGAAGAATCCAACCAAGCGTACAGATGATTTGTTTGTGTTGTACTAAGTGCTCTACTTTTCCTCTCGGTGGCAAGCAGATTTGAAAGGGAGATGAGTAACCATCGAAGTATCAATGATGCATCTCATGTCTCATGACACTGAATTCTCTTGCAATCTACCTGAACTATAAATAATAAAACTTCTGAAATCTAGCACTATTTTTAGAAAGGATAAGCCTTGTGAGTGTATGGGTTTAGGCTGCTGAGGTGATATGACTGAAAGGTCTACCTTATTCCACAACCTATTCAAATATCTTACACTGTTTTGTGCAAGTAATTCCATCATTAGAAGCTAATTTATTCATTTTTTCCTCAGGAGATTCTTTATTAAAACTCAAAAGCCTCTGGGAGAGGTAATTCACCTTGGGAAGATAAATTTATCTGAAATGTTTCTAAGATGATGAGTAAGGCAAGGGCCTCAGTAAAGTATCTATGCCCCACAGAGGAGACTGTAAAATTGGAAATGCCCAGCAGGTGCTGAAAGAACCTGAAAACAAGACTGGCCCTCTCTGCAGTATGCAAAGTGTCAGGAGCAGTTCCCTTGTAAACTATTAGCAAAAAGGAGAAATGGCCTCCTCCGGGATAGTCACTAACCACACCCAAACAGAGAGGAAGGTACTCAAATAGAAAATTGAAGTTTTTCATTTGTTTGTTTTATAGAATACTACACTAATAAAATTAAGTTTGGAGCCTTTTATTTATTTTATTTTATTTTTTTAGATGGAGTCTCACTCTGTCACCCAGGCTGGAGTGCAGTGGTGCAATCTAGGCTCACAGCAACCTCTACCTCCCAAGTTCAAGTGATTCTCCTGCCTCAGCTTCCCAAGTAGCTGGGATTACAAGCATGTGCCACCATGCCCAGCTAATTTTTGTATTTTTGGTAGACATGGATTTCACCTTGTTGGTCAGGCTAGTTTGGTCTCGAACTCCTGACTTCAAGTGATCCACCGCCTCGGCCTCCCAACGTGCTGTGATTACAAGCATGAGCCACCACGCCCATCCTGAAGCCTTTTGCTTTTAAGGTTTCCATTTCTGAGAGAGAGAGAGAGAACCCAAATGGGAGGGAAAATTGTCAATAGGGCCTGTGGAGACACTTTCTCTGAGAAAAGTTAGGTAAAACCAAAACTCTAGTAATGATAGGGTTGAGGGTAGATACAATGAGAGCAAAAGCCAATTTACAAAGAGGATCACATGTAAAAGGGTGCATGTCTGTTTTTTGTTTTGTTTTGTTTTGCTTTGTTTTGTCCAGAGCATAGGAGACTACAGGGAAGCAGGGACCCTTCAGTCGATTTTGCAATGAAGAAAAACAGTCTTGTGAGATTCTTAAAATTTGCCTGAAAAGGAAACTCATCTGATGTGTGTTTCAGCATCTTCAAAGATACTGCAGAAGGAAGGTTTTAACTGAATATCTCTGTCAGCAAGATGGTTTATCACACTCAACAGGAATGACAGTAGAAGGGAAAAAAAAGATGGGAAACCATTCTGGGGTGAGCAAAGGGTGACAACAGGATGGGAAAATCCAGCTTCACCAAATATTTATTCATGCTTATGTAAACCTCAATTAGCTATCTTAAAATGCTAAGTCTCTGTTGAAGAAAAGGAGTGCTTGGAAATGTGACTTGGAAGTTGGTTGGTGTCAGTTATTTTGCTGCATTGTTGATTAATGTAATTGAAGTATATATTACAGAAACAGAAAAGGAAATGTGACTTCTTCAGGGACCCATTAATTTCTTAAGCATAAAGTGTTTGAAGGTTCAAAGGCTTTGTTGAAGCTTATTTTAAATTTAAAATTTCCATTGCCAAGGGATTGATTACCATTCTTATATTAGCTTTGTCAAACACCAAGTTGATCTTAGTTCTTTCAAAGTTTTGTGGCACTTGACTGTTTTCAGAGCATTTTTTTAAAGAGAAGGCTGTCTTACAAGTTTTCTCAAGGACAGACTTGCTTTCTCTTTATAAGAACAGCAAGAGAAAAATTTCTAAAACCTTAAAAAGAGCAATTCCCACTGTCCCCAACTTTGGGATCTTGAAAGTCATTCCTGCAAGTCAGGTACCATTACCTCCTCATTCAAACACTTTCCCATATTTGTTTGTATTTGGTTTTCCTTTGACTTTAAAACATCAACCAATTTAGGCATCTTTGTGTATTTGAAGCTTTAGTTATGTTGTTTAGGGACTCCCCAAATTATTTAAGCTTTTCCCATCTCTCCACCCCAAATGACTACACATAATTCTTCTTATAGCTCTCTGCTGTCTTCCTCTGATCATTGTTTAAGGCACTCTCAGAAACAACACTCTCTGAAAGTGAGCCAAGATCTCCCAAGCACCAGTCTTTGTTTGTGCTGTCCCAGTAGTGAACTCATTAGTTCAAGAAGTCAGACAGCAGGATTTCCGGCTCCTTGGAAACCAAGCCAAAAAGAGAACTGTCATTTCACACAAGGGCAATAAGAAGAAATATGCCATTAGGAAATCAGGGTTAAGATGGCACTGCCATCCACCCAGATGAAGGTGTGGTAAGAGGATTGTGAGGCTGCATTAGAAACGAAAACATTGCGACCCAAGGCTTTGCCCCAGGAAATCAATAATGAGATTGTGGACACTCTAAGAGCAGTTCAACAGAAAATCTATTTTCTTACCAGAAGAAAGTTATTGTCTCTTCCTCAATTTTGCTCTTCCCTACCTTTCCAGTCCTGATGCTACTGCACGTTTTTGGGAGCATGAGGTCAAGCCAGCAGGGGCTTCCTGTTGGCCTACACCTCCTTCAGGGATGTCTCCAAGTACACTGGGCAGTGTGGATGGAAAGCTGTGACCAGAGCTCAAGAACTGTCCCTCCAAAGCTGCACCCATGCCTTGGTTTCATGCAGCCCTGAGAACTGTTTGGCCTTGGCTAACGGGGACATACATTCTCGTATCTGGTATGGAAGATTTTGCCTCAAGAAATGCTGTCACCCACATTGACTTTATTTTCAATGTTGTTTCTATTTGTGCTCAATTTTGGGGATGATAATCTTGATCCTATTGCAAATAATCTCAAAGGCAGAGGCAGGCTGGGTCTGGAGGAAGGTAGCGTGACTTTAAAGACACTCCCTCCCCCACATCTTCTCATAATGGTGTATTTTAGGCTTGCTTCTTGTTCCAGATCTTTGTCTCAGCCTTCCTTCTTACAAGCCACCCTCCAGAAACAAATGTATTCCAAGGGCCTGCTTCTGACTCCACCATCCCTAAAGAATTGGCAGGAGAATCTGGACTAAAAATGGCTTTAATGTGCTCTCAATCTCTAGTTAAACATTTGTAGATTAACCAGCTGAAAATAGTGAATTGTGAGACTGGGGTGTGAGTGTGTGTCTGTGTGTGTGTGTGTGTTGATAGGGAGGGGACATCAGGAACTAGGTAAGACCATAGTGGGTCTTATGTGTGGGGAGTGATTTCCTATCTGTTAGAGATGAAGTGGTGCCTATATCCACTGTCATGCGCAGACAGTCAAATGCCCAGCAAATGGGCCCTTAATAAAGGCAATGAATGATGACGATGTGGACTGGGGGGAAAGGGAAAATGTGAAGTAGAAACACAAAACCAGAGGCTACAGTTTCATTAATGCAAAACAAACAAATAAACAAACAAAAACAAAAAAATTCCAGTGGCTGGCTGCTGGACAGCATGGAGAAACACTTAAGGGGGCTGGACCTTGCTGTTATGGTCAAGCAAAAAGCCACTCCTGGGTATTACATTCCAATCTGGTAAGCACCAGAGAGGAAGCTGAGCAGGATTTCCTCTGGGGAATTCAGAGGTGCTGAGTTTTTGCACCATTTTTCAAACTTTGCAGGCCAGTTTCCTCTGCATCTAAGAGCATGGAGACATGCTTGGCATTCTTCACTCTTAAAGAGACTTCTTCTGTGGGGAGCTGCAGGGCTTTCACAGCAAGAGAGCTGGTGAGTGGCCTCAGTTCTGGGTTTTGATTTATCCAAAAGGAGTTGTTTGTTAACAGTAAGAGGGTAGATGCCTCTGCAGGAATCTATACCTCTGCCTCTGCCCCCACCATTTCTTTAGTATTCAACAAGCATGAAATTATGTCCTCACCATAACTAAGGTCAGGCACTGCCCAAGGCATTCAGGACACACAGGAGTAAGTGTCCCCTGCCAGGAGCACAGAGGTACACAGTATTACCACCATTTGAGAGGTGACAAAACAGGGTTGGAGAGGTTAAGTGGCTCAGAATCAGAGTATTCTAAATGGTGGTTTCATTAGATATCAAATTTGAGAATGTAAAAGCTGGAAGAGACCTTCCTGGTTTTCACAGACATTTCTCCTTCATCAGAGGAGGCAACACACAAGCAAACCTGTGATACTCCTTTCCCCTGCCATTATCTCCACTGAATGAATGGACAACCTGAGCTGGAGGGGTAGTGACCATCTGGGTCTTACTCTGCTATGCAGGCTGCCTTATGCTGGGTCTCTATCAGCTCAACCCCAATCACCTTCTCAGGTAGCCTGGCTTTACCTTACAGTTGCATCCTAGGCCACTGAATGATAAAGATGAAGAAGAGCATGACGGAAGCAATAATTACTGCTATTTCTACTACTACTTGAGTTTATTCTAGATGTCAATTTCACTACAAAGGGTTATACAAATATCAACCCTGCAGGTATCATGTTCACCCCTGTAGCGTAGTAATTGAAAGCATAAGCTTTTGAGTCAAACAGATCTGGGTTTGAATAATTACAAATGAAGACACTAAGGCTCGTAGTTTGTTACTTGCAGGAAATCACAAAATTTGTAAGTAGAAAAACCATGCCAAGATTTGACCTGTTCCTGTGTTACTCCAGAACTTATACTGTTTCACTATGGGATACTATCTACCCACTTTGATCCCAGCATTTATAGATAAGAGAAAACATTTGTTAAGCACTTACCATATGTCAAGAACTGTGCAAAACACTTTATATACATTGTCTCATTGAATTATCTTCAATGATTATTTATAATTGCCCTGATTATACAGAGGAGGGAAGAAGATCTAAAGAGATTTAATAACCTGCCCAATATCTCACAGCTAGAAAGTAGTAGAATTCAAACTCAGTTCTAGGACTGTCTGGCCCTGAACATTCTCTTGACCACTATGTATGCTGTTTAGACAAGGTAGCTGAGAAGGACTGATGTATTGGTGTCATATTCAAAATTTCCTTTCATCACTGTGTAGGTGTTTTCATCACTGCTTTTTTTGGATACAGAAAAACTGAGTGCCAGTTTAGAAAGCCAGGTTAGCAGCACAGGTGAAACAAATAAACACAAACACAGATCCTCCTATCATTAAGCCTTTAGTTAAAAGGGACTTTCAAGGTCATGTAGTTCATCTTATTCTTTAGTTCAGAAAGTTGATATTTCCATATCCCTGTCAGGTGGAGGAGATCTCATATCTGAAAAAAAAGTTCCAGCCTGGATTACCTAAAATGCACTTTTCCCCACTGAAATTTAATTTGTTTGAAATGGGCACAATACCCAATATTAGGTTTGGATTGTTACCACCAATAAATGTGGTGCTATTTTTAATTAGCCTGACTTCTGAACCATGGGTTCCCTGGTGCTACTATCTTCATTAATGATGGGAGACTCTCCAAATGCTCATGGTCAGGAGAGCTTGCAACCTTTTATGTAAGCCATAAATACACAAAATTAGGGATCATTGGCCTGGACATAAAAGTAGAAAGGAAGTTCTCAGAAGCGGTCTTTTGTTTGTTTTTAAAACTTCTCCTTAAGTAGTAGTGTCTTGTTGGATTTAGTGTGTGTGACAAGGCCATCTTGGTTTCAGCTTATGGCCACTGCTCCCAAGACCAGGAAGGCTTGGGAATGTACCCTCTCCTCTCAGAAACTCTGTTCTCAGGGGTGTCTGGGGCTGATGGGGACAGAGGACACTTTCTATGGAATTCCTCTCAAATGACATATCAGTTCTACGGTGCTATAGGAGATTTAGCTCTTACCAATTTGTAGTGAGAGGAATTGTTTAATTCTCATTGGTTTATTTATCAATAAGATTAGACTTTTCTTAAGCTTTGTGCTTTAGTTTAAAAATAATAAAGCAGTTACCATTCATTAATGCTAAATGCTTTATGTGTAATAGGTATCATTTATTCTTTCATTAACCTTATGAAGTAGGTGCCATCATCTCCACTTTATAGATGAAGAAACTGAGGCACAGAGAGATTACATAATGTGTCCTAGGTCACACAGCCATTAAATGTTCATCCTATGTTTCAAACCCAGATCAGTGTGACTCTGAAGACTGTGCTATTAATAATTTTAAAATAAGGTGATAATAAGAATGAAGTTTTCATTTGCCTTTCATGTCCTATTTATACCCTATGACAACTGCAAGATGAAAGTAGGTGGTATTATTCATGAGAAACTACAGTTCAGACAGGTTGTGACTCATTCAGTCATTTATTTATTTAACAGGCATTTTTGAGTGCTTATGGTGTCCCTGGCACAGTAGCAGCCCTGATAATATGCTTGTATCCAAGCCGAAGACAGTGCAGGTTTAGAAGCATGAGCACTGGAGTCAGACACACCTGTATTTGAATCTTGCTTCCATAACTTAACTTATTTGTTTATTCATTTATTCAACCCACATGTATCGAATGCTGTTACGTTCCAAACACTATGTGCAGGTCCAACTGCAACTGGTATTTTGGGTAAGTTATTTAACCTTTCCATGCTTCAAGCCCTCAGTTGTGGAATGAAGATGAAGATACTTATTCCATGCTTAGGGTGAGGTTAAATGTGGTAAGGGAAGTAAAACTCTTGATAAATAGTAGCTATCAAGGCAGACACTGCCCCTACTTGCACACAGCTGGCAGGCTAACAGAAAGGACAAAAAACTAAATAAGCGATTAAAATAAGAAATGTAAGTGCTCTGAAAATATGAGGAGGGCACATATTATTAGGTCTATTAGTCTGCTCAGGCTGGCATAGCAAAATACCGCACAATGGGTGGTTTAAACAAAAGAAATGTATTTCCTCACAGTTCTGAAGGCTGGAAGTCCAAGATCAAGGTGTCCACAGATTTGGTTTCTCCTGACGTCCCTCTCCTTGGCTCACACACGGCTGCCCCTCCAGGCTGTGTCCTCACATGGCCTTTTCTCTGTGCCTGCACATCCCTGGTTGTCTTCCTTGGCGTGTTCTAATCTCCTTTTATTATTATAAGAACACCATTCAGATTGGATTAGGGCCCACCCTAATGGCCTCATTTTAACTTAATTACTTCTTTAAAGGCCATGTCTTCAAATACAGACACATTCTGAGGTAGTGGGGGGTAGGGCTTCAACAGAATAATTTGAGGGGAGGATAAAATTCCATCTATAACATTAGGGACTCTTTTGTTTTGATTTTTTTTTCTCTAGCTTTATGTCACCATAAACATCTTTATTTACATCAACGTTAATATTAGTATTGTTAGCAAGTTAGAAGATGTTTAAATTGTCCTGTGTAAGTAATATTCATAAGGTCATGCTTTTGAAAAATATTAAGAAAAAATATATTACCATTGAAGGTAGAAAATTTAAGTGTTTTTGAGATTCTAAAATTTCACTCATGGTAAACATAATAATATAAATATATAGAAAAATAATTGTATATTGAGTTGTAAGACTACTAAAAATAAGAATAAAAAGTTTTTAAAAACAGTTTTCCAAAAGTTTGTTAGCTCATGAATGATGTTTTAAAATGTAATCATTATCAAGAATGCAAGAAGATTAACTGTGGGTGATAGAATTATTGAATTTTGTTTACTGTGCTTTTCTGTATTTTCTAAGTTTTCTATGCTTTCTGCTATATAATCTCCTCAGAATCAGGGGAAAAAAGTTTTGTTTTGTTTTGCTTTTTGGTTTTTGTTTTTTTGTTTGTTTTGTTTTGTTTTGTTTTTGAGATGGAGTCTCGCTCTGTCACCCAGGCTGGAGTGCAGTGGTGCAATCTTGGCTCACTGCAACCTCCACCTCTCGGATTCAAGCAATTCTCCTGCCTCAGCCTCCTGAGTAGCTGAGACCACAGGCACCCGCCACCACACCTGGCTAATTTTTGTAATTTTAGTAGAGACAGGGTTTCACATTAGCCAGGCTGGTCTTGATCTCCTGACCTAGTGATCCACCCCCGTTGGCCCCCCAAAGTGCTAGGATTACAAGAATGAGCCACCATGCCCAGCTCAAAAATGTTATTTTTAAAGAGAACTCGGTGAATGAGATTTTATTGGTATTAAATAGTAAAGTGGAAACACCATAGGCTCCAGAGGTAGAAAAACTTCAATATTGAATCTCGCTGTTCTCTGTGTGGTTTGTAAGGCATTGGCCACTTTTTAACTTCTTAGAATTTCAGTTCCATCTGTCAATAAATATTGCCACCTGCCTTCCAAGATTGTGCAAAGATTAAATGAGATATTGATGTAAATCACTTGTTAATTCTCTTCTCTTTCCTTCCCTTCCTTTCTCTATTTTTTTTTTTCCACCAGTTAGAAATATGACTTGGGGCAGGAGGGTAGGGAGTGGCGGCGGGGTGGGGGAGGTGGAGGGGGCAGAATGATGTGTTGAAGTTCCTAAAAGCATTTGTCAAATGACAAATGACAAAGTCCTTAAGCCTCTTCCCACAGTGTCATGACAATAGCAGCTAATGAACTCATAAACATAAAACAAGTAAAGAGAAAATTAGGCAAGAAAAGGACAGGGGTAGCTAAAATCCAGTAAGAAAACATTTCAAGAGTCTATATATAGCATTGTAATTTAAGTTCTCATCTGCATCTCATTACCTTAATAGTCCAAACAATAGTTCTTCGATGTCTTGCACAGAAGGATGGGAAATAATTTCCTTGGACAGGGTACCCAGACTCTCTATCACATTAGATATTATTTCCAAATGCTGAGTGTCAAGGGAGTGTTTCACATTCTCCTAACCATTAAACAGATAATCTCCCTTCAGGGAAGGATGAGTCTGGCAACCCACAGAGCAGCCATGTGGAAGAGACCTCTGGAATTCCAAAGCTCCAACAGAGATCCAGTGCAGCATGGGGAGCCTCCAGAAGGGTTGCTTTATCCAAATCTGCATCCCGCTTCTGGAGTCTTTACAGACAAAACTCATTTTTGTCTGTAAAGACTCCAAAAGCCATGTAGAATTCATTTCACTTTTTTCTCCTGGAAAATGTAATGTTTTTTAAAAAAGGATTTTATTTTGAAATATTTCAAACTTACAAAGAAGTTGCAATAATAGTACAAAGGATCCGATGTATCCTTCACTCAGATTCTTCAAATGTTAATAGGTTAGCAGTTTTGCTTTCCCATTTTCTCTCTCTAATTATATACAATTGTCATCATTACTGTTGTCTAACCTTTTGAGAGCAGGTTGCAGATATCATATCTCTTTACCCCTATACATCAGTGTATATGTCCTAAAAAAACAAGGGTGCTTTTCTTACATAAACACAGTACAATTATTACAATTAAGGGGTTAACACTGCTACACTGTTATCTAATCTTTAGAGCTTATTCAAATCACTACTGTCCCAGCAATAGACATTATAGCAAAAGGATCAAGGATCCAATCTAGGATCAGGCATTGCCTTGGATCTCTTTAGTCTCTATTAATCTTGAACTCTTCCTTTTTTTTTTTTTTTTTAATTTTGTCCTTTAGGACCTTAACATGTTTGAAGAATATAAACCAGCTGTTTTATAGAATGTCCCTTAATTTGGGTTTGCCTAATGCTTCTTCATAAATATTTTCAGGTTACACATATTTGGCAGGAATATCACAGAAGATATGTTGGCTCTTTCTCAGTGTATTATCACACTTGATGTCAATTTATCATGTTAGAGATTTTTTTTTTTTTTTTTTGAGACAGGGTCTTGCTCTGTCACCCAGGCTGGAGTGCATTGCCATAATCATAGTTCACTGCAGTCTTGAATTCCTGGCCTCAAGCAATCCTCCTGCCTCAGCATCCCCAAGTAGCTGGGACTATAGGCATGAACCACCACACCTGGCTAATTTTTTATTTTTGATGGAGATGGAGTCATCTTATGTTGCCCAGGCTGGTCTCGAACTCCTAGCCTCAAGTGATCCTCCCACCTCAGCCTCCCAAAGTGCAGGGATTATAGGCATGAGCCATGGCACCCAGCCTAGTTTTTCCTATTCTTGATGTTATTGTTCTTTTTGTAATTAATAAAAATCTTGTGGAGAGATACTTTGGGACCATGTAAACATTGTGTTTCTCCTCAAACTTGTACCCACTAGTTTTATCTTTTAAAACATTTTAGAATTTGACCCTTTTGTAACGTTTGGCTAAACACAACAAAGATATACTATTAATTAAAGCTCATCTCCCCAGAAAGCCACATATAAGAAGGGTGCACTTTGTGGCACACGAGGCAACCCCCCATGACAGAGCCCTGATACCCTGAGACCAGGCTTGCTCTCTCTGGGTGTCTTAGGAGCTCACTATGTCTTTAAAGATTCCTTCCACTCTCACTGGGAAAGAAATGTTTCAAATAGTCCTCCAATTTGGAAGTTGGGACAAACTGGGCCCCTGGCAGCCTCCAGAGAATCTAGTCTTATGCCCTGAGAATGGGGTCTGGTGCTTTGTTTGGGGGGCTCTACCTGCAGAGCTTTTGTTTCTTTCATGTCTGTGGATGTCTTTATGATGGTTTCTCATTGTTTACATTGGAAGTCACTAACTTTCACCTCCGGCAGAAGTCAAAGCTCTGAGCCCCTGTCTGAATGGGAGACTAGAGTGAGCATTAGAATGACCCCCTGCTACCATGCAAGAGCTCAGTCACTTTATTCTTCAAAAGACCCTGTGGAAATGCAAACAGCTTGGGAGAGGTTGTACCATAAACACGACAGACAGACAGACATCTCTTCTCAAGAGGAACTCCTGTCCCATTTGAGAGGCTGCCCACCACCACAGTCCCCTGGGTGCTGGCCCCTGCTCTTTCCCTCCGACTGCCACCTGACGTAATGAGCAGGACACACACCCGTGGGGTCAGCCTTTTCCTTTCAAACCCTGCTCTCATTTACAAACAAATGAGAAAAAAAGAAAAAAGGAAGAAGTTAACATTCTTTTCTGTGTGCTCATGGTCCGGTGGGGACTTTAGGCTGCCAGGATCTGCAGTACCTGCCATCATCACCTAGAAGGCCAGAGCTGGAGCTGCTGAGCTCAGCCTGGGTGCCAGCAGCCTCACCACTCCAGAAGAGGCCAAATGCATTCTCTTTTCATGTGTTTCTTAAAAAGGAAACCTGTGATATGAATTGAAGTTCGAGGGGTAGGATTTAAAAAAAAATAGCTTTATTGAGATATAGTTCACATATCATACTATTCATTCATTTGAAGTGTACAATTTGATGGAATTAGTATATTCACAGAGTTGTGTAGTCGTGACCACAATCAATTTTAGAACACTTTCATCACTCTAAAAAGAAGCCCATACCCATTAGCAGTGACTCCCAAGGGGTAATTTTAAAAATGGCAGACCCTCTGTTTCTTGAACAATAGTTGCCCATCTTTTGTTCCCTTCCTGGATTTAACTGTTCAGTTGCTATCTTCCAGCTGAGCTGTGCCTGCGCTGGGCTCTTATGAAGATGTAATTAATTGATGGCGGCTATGCAGTTGAGTTTTCTTCCCTAAGATGCACTAATTTGAACTTGTGTTTAGTATATTTAATTTTCAACTTCTGACTTTTTCCCTAGGGAATCACAAATGGGTCATCCTTAGACAAATTACAGGATTACGGGAATCATCTTTTCTAAAATTTACAGTTTAAGTTGCACTTTCACACAGAAAATGTTATTTTCCCAAACAACAGATGTAAAAATAACAATAGAAATCACTTATAAAGTGCTTATTCTGTGCCAGGCAGCTCTTAGAGTTCCCATATGTGTTCCCATAATTCATCTAATCCTATTATGGTCTGAATGTGTGCCCCAGAATTCATATGTTGAAACTTAATTGCCAATGGGCATAGTATAAGGAGGTGGGGCTCTGGGAGGTGATTAAGTCATAAGACAACACCCTCATGGATGGAATTAATGTCTTATAAAAGGGTTTGATTACCATGGCACATGTATACCTCTGTAACAAACCTGCACATTCTGCACAGGTATCCCAGAACTTAAAGTACAATTAAAAAAAAAAGGGGGGTTTGAAAGGGCCAGTTCATTCCTTCCATCTCTTTTGTCATGTAGGGATGCACCAAGAAGGCCCTCGCCAGACACCCAATGCCTGCACCTTGATCTTAGACTTCTCAGCCTCCATAATTGTAAGAAATAAACCTCTGTTGTCTGTAAATTATTCAGTCTCAGGTATTTTGTTATTGTAGCACAACTGGACAAGATGAATCCTCAACCACTAGATGAGTCAGATATTGTTAAAATTAGCCAGAGGTGCAGCAAGGTTAAGTGACAACAAGCTTGAGGTCATAGAGCTAGTAAGAGCAGAGCTGAGATGTGAGCATATGCAGTCTGATTCTAATCTGAACTCTAAGCTCCACTCTAATTGCTTCCAGTGTTCCCATTTGAGAAGCAAGAACTGAGCCTTTGAGAGGTTATACATTATGAGAGGGACCTAGTTAGGACTTAAATACTGTACGAGTATTCAGACCCCAAGCCCAATGCCTCCATCAATGACTTACCTCAGTATCTTGCCAGATATAAAGCATTGAGTTTTTCCTCTAAGTCAAAAGAAAAAGGAATACAAAATATTCCCTACTGAAGCTTTATGTCATGAACTATATTGTTATGATGACATTAGCAACATGCAGAAAAGCTACCAAAATATTATAAAGTTGGCTATACTTTTGGTGGGCCATAAGTACTTTTCAAACAAATCTCCAAGGTCAATTTTCCCTTCTTTGCTTTTGCCTCTGCCTTTGTAACCTCTCTTGATTTCTCTTTCTTAATGTCTCCTATTCACAAATAAGGAATGAAGCACATGGATTTAATAACCAAGTCAGTGATTCATGTGTACTTTGATCTAATCAGAAAGCGTAGTGGCAGGCCCAAGAACTCATTTTGGTTGTATATCATTTTAACAGAGTTGACACACATGTCCTTTAGAGGGAAAATAATAAAAATTTAAAAAGCAAAAGCCAGCACAGACCTGCCAGCTGCAATGATTGGTTACACAGAAGAGATCCATGGAATTCTGAGGCCATTTGGGTTTTGTTAAGTTTGCTGAAATAGCACCAACTATGATCTCTACCACTTTAAATGGTTTAATGACTTTTGGATAAGTCTTCAGAATTAAATGGTTAAATCACCAAATGCTTCATAAAATCATTATGCAAACAATTTTCTGGCTAATTAACATGAACAGAAGCACACAGCTGCTAAGATATATAATTGCTGTTTCATCAGTGCTGCCTATTGTATTTACATAATTCCTTTACTGATCTTGGCGTGGTTTGGTGGGAGGGCACTAACATAACATCTCATGACATGAACAAGTTAAAGGCATAGCTCCTGACCCAGCTGGTAGATAACAATAGCGACTTTGATTTTTTTGAGGGAATGAATAAGGGCCTTCAAATCAATGTACACTTGTATGGTATATATAAGACTTAAACAGGTATATTTAAATTAAGTTTGGGCAGAGATAAATATTTTCCCTATTAGGTACATAATACGCATATAAAGAAGTAAATATATCATCATTGCACAGTCCGCAGACTGAGCACCCTCATGTAAGCAGCACCCACAGCAAGGAACAGAATATTACCAGGACCCCAAAAGCCTCCCTTATCCCTTCTTTTTGTTTCTGTTCCCTCCAAGGGTAGTTACTGTCCTAACCTCTATCAGCAGAGACTAATTTTATCAGTTTTGTGCTAAATTTTAATGAAATCATACAGTGTGTGCTCTTTTGTGTAGCCGATTTTGTTCACCATGTTTGTAAGATTCATCTATACTGTAATTTGCTTATTCTTATTGTTGTATAGCATCCCATTGAGTAAATATGCTACCCCAATTTATCTATCATTTTACTATTGATGGTGTTTGGATAGTTTCCAGTTTGGTGATATTATGAATAAAGCTGCTGTGAATGGTGTTGTCCATATCTGTTGGTGAACATATGAGCACATTTCACTCAGATCTCTAGGAAGGGGATTGCTGTGTTGTGGGGTGTGCATATCTTCAGCTGTATTAGATACTACCAAACACTTTTCCTGAAAGGTTGTACCAACTTGCACCCTATCAGCACTAGAGGAAAGCTGGGATAAATGTTTTGAAGAGTTCTAACTGATGCAGGCTAAATTTTAAAGGGCAGTGTAGAGTAAGGAGAAGAGTGGACAGTAGGTCTAATGGAAAGGACCCCAACAATATGACTTAGTGAATAAAGGATAGGGTCAGAGATAGCAGCATAATGGAGGGAGCCGTCATAATTCGAGATCATTTAGTGGGTAGGAGAAGCCTCCTTGGATGTTTATCGCCCACTCTGTGTTCCTCTCCAGCTCTGATGCATGCACCCACAGCATGCATCCCAGAGAATCACCCCAGGTGGATTCTTTCTTTTTTCTTTAGTCCAAGTGGAGCATGCTCAAGCGCTGCCCAGGTCTGAGGTAGCACTTTGGAGCCCTGGTGATGCCCTGCTTCTTAATATATGGCTGCCCTTGCTGGGGCATACAAATTCTTATAGCCTCTTACTGGTGTCTAGCAGCTCTGAGGCAAGGGTACTGTAGACTAAATGTTTGTGTCCCCCAAAATTCATACATTGAAATCCTAAGCCTACCATGTGACGGCATAAGGAGGTAAGGCCTTTGGTAGATAATTGGTGGAGTCCTCATGAATGGGATTAGTGCCCTTATACAAGAGACCCCAGAGAGCTCTCTGTCTCCTCTACTGCATGAGGACACAGTAAGGAGACGGCCATCTACAGATCAGGAAATAGGCCCTCACCGGAACTCGACTGCACTAGAATCTGACTTAGAATACCAGCCTCCAGACTGTGAGAAATAAATTTCTGTTGCTTAAAAGCCACCCAGCATATGGTACTTTGTTATAGGAGCCCAAAATGACTAAGTTGCAGAGGAATGGAGAATGTAAGAGCAGGCAAAGAGAAAGAGAGAATAAAATGAAAACCTGCATTGAATCCAGCTAGCTGGTTATAAAATTTTAAGCAAATCACTAAAATTTTCTCCATGGTTTTGGCTTCCTCAGTTGCAAAAAATGAGGGCAAAAATACTTAACTCACTAGGTTTACTTGATAATTAAATGAATTAAAAGAATGTATATGGAAATGCTCTGCAAACTTTAAAAAGCAAACACTGTTTATCTTTTCAGCAGGGTATTTTTATTAATAGTCAAATTGTCACCTTGAAGTACAAATGTATCTCTAAGAAGTGATATTCATTTCATTTTTGTATTCAAATTATAGCATCTGCATTAATAGACTAAGAAATAGCCATCAGTAATGTTAACAGGAGTAACAGGTAGGATGTCTGAAATCATGACTTTTCCCTAGGATTACCCAGGATTCATTTATTCACCCATCCAGATGTCCATCCATACCCTATGTCCATTAATTAATTAACTTAGCAAATATATTTTTTGAATACTTTTTGTTGGTTTTAGAGCAATTCTCGGCAGAAGTTCTTAAGAGGATTCAAAGATAGACTTCAAGTGATCTCTGAACCTCCTGATCTTGTACGGAGGGGAATGTATGGGTGACTTCAGCTATCAGATTCTCACAGGACTCTGCAAAACCCCTTCTTTAAAAAAAAGGTTAAGAGGCACTGCTTAGGAATGTGTGGAATAAAAGAATATAAAAAGTTTATAAGATAATTTGGGATTGTCCATGTAGAAAACTGCAAATTAAACTGACAGCAGACTCCATATTAGCAACGACAGATGCCACGAGATGACAAAATATTATCTTCAAAATGCTTAGGGAAAATGGGTATTAGCTAAGAATAATATACCACACTAGATTACTCTTCAAAGGTGGGGTGAAATAAAGAGGCATTTTTAGAGAAACAAAGGTTGAGAGAATTTATCAACTTGAGGACTTCACCAAAGAACTCATAATATATATACTTCTGGAAAAAGGAAGTTTAATCCCAAAATACAAAGTGGGGTGCAAGAAGGAATAATGATGAACAAAGAAATTTGTAAACATGTTTGTAACTCTAAGAAGCACTGTTTGTTTTAAAGAGGATCAGTTAAGGGGTTATGTAAATAGCAAGTAACTAAAATGCTAGATGACAACAGCAGGAACAAAGGGATTAAGAGAGACTAAAATTACAAAGTCCAAATTCATTTAATTATTTGGGAGGAAGATAGACTTAGGTTTACTTTAGACTTTAAGCAAGTGTGCTTTCCAAAATTTAAGAGTAACCCTCAAAGAATAGGGGGAAATGTAGGACTTCTTTTACGTGAGAAAAAAAGATTAAAAAACACTTGATTGTTCTACTTCTTCACAGCAAAAGAAAATATCAACAGAGTAAACAGACAACCTACAGAATGGGAGAAAATATTTGCTAACTATGCATCTGATGTAGGTCTAATATCCAGCATCTATAAGGAACTTAAACAAATTTACAAGAAAAAAAATACACAACCCCATTAAAAAGTGGGCAAAGGACGTGAACAGACACTTTTCAAAAGAAGACATACATGTGGCCAACCAGAAGAAATGAAATGAAATATGAAGAAAAAAGCTTAATATCACTGATCATTAGAGAAATGCAAATCAAAACCGTAATGAGATACCGTCTCACACCAGTCAGAATGGCTATTACTAAAAGTCAAAAAATAACAGATGCTGTCAAGGTTGTGGAGAAAAAAGAACACTTATATGCTATTGTTGGGAGTGTAAATTAGTTCAATCATTGCGGAAAGCAGTATGGTGAGTCCTAAAAGAGCTAAACACAGAACTACCATTTGACCCAGCAATCCCATTACTGAGTAAAATCCCAAAGGAATATGATTGTTCTATCATAAAGACACATGCATGCAAATGTTCACTGCAGCACTATTCACAATAGCAAAGACATGGAATCAACATAAGTGTCCATTAGTGGCAGATTGGATAAAGAAAATGTGGCACATATATACTATGGAATATTGTGCAGTCATAAAAGAGAACAAGATCATGTCCTTTGCAGGAACATGGATGGAACTGAGGTCATTATCCATAGCAAACTAACACAGAAACAGAAAACCAAACACTGCATGTTCTCACTTATAAGTGGAGCTGAATGATGAGAACACATGGACACATTAGCAGGAGCAACACACTGAGGCCTGTCGGGGGCAGGGAGTGGGGAGGGAGAGGACCAGAAAAAATAACTGTTGGGTACTAGGCTTAGTACCAGGATGATGAAATAATCTGTACAACAAACCCTGGTGACAGGAGTGGGCCTATATAACAAACCTGCACATGTGCCCCTGAACCTAAAATAAAAGTTTTTAAAAAAGGAAGAACACTAGATTGCTCTAATAAGGAGCAGGAAAAAGAAAAATAAGCTAAGAAAAGGCATAATAAACACAAAAAACATATAGTAGAAAAAGTGTAGATATATCAGTAATCTCAGTAAATGTGAACAGATTAAACTAGTGTGTTCAAAAATGGGGACCCTCAGATTATTTTTAGAAAATAAAATTCATCTATGTGTAGTTTTTAAGAGGGATACCTAAAACATGATAATGCTTAATGGTTGAAAGGTATGGAAAAAGACAAAACAGATAAAGACTAACATTGCAAGGAAAGCAATATTAAGGCATAAAAGTTTAATTTGGAATAAAGAAGGTCATGATTCAACGACTAAAGATTAATTCACAGGGTATCAATAGCAGTGCTGAGTCTGTATGTTCCTAACAAAATAGACTCCTAGCTTATCAAATAAATTGGACAAATCCACCTTAATAGAAGATATTTTTGCATGCCTCTTTCAGAACCTGATCAAATATTGATAAGGATATAGACATTTTAAACACCATAATTAACAAGCCAGATTAAAGAGACCTATATGGGAATATGTATTCCTGAAATAGAGAATTTACATTACTTTCAAGCACACATAGAAAACAATGACCACATATCAGACCACAAAAGAAGTCCCAAGAAATTCTAAAGAATCAATAACACAACCACATTTTCTTTCTACAATGCAATAATATTAGACATCACAGACAAACTACTGAAAACCAATGACAAAGAAAAAAGAATCAACACAGCCAGAGAAAAAAGACACATTAAATACAGGGACAATAATTAGAATAACTGTTGACGTCAAATGCAATGAAAGCCAGGAGACAATGGAATGACAGCTTTTAAAAGCTCATCATCTAGACCAAACGTGGTGGCTCACGCCTGTAATCCCAGCACTTTGGAAGGCCAAGGTGGGTGGATCACTTGAGGTCAGGAGTTTGAGATCAGCCTGGCTGACATGGTGAAACCCTGTCTCTACTAAAAATACAGAAAAATTAGCCAGGCGTGGTGGCATGTGCCTATAGTCCCAGCTACTCAGGAGGCTGAGGCAAGGAAATCTCTTGAACCCGGGAGGCAGAGGCTGTAGTGAGCCAAGATTGTGCCACTGCACTCCAGCCTGGGTGACAGAGTAAGACTCTGTCTCAAAAAACAAACAAACAAACAAAAATCTCATCATTTAGAATGTTATATCCAGTGAAATATTTGTAAATATTAAAGCAAAATAAAGACATTCTCAAGCAGACAAAATCTGAGAATATTTGCACCAGGAGAATTGACTACAAAAAAATGCTAAAGATTTTACATTTTAAAAAAGTTTAAATCTAAAAATGCTAAAAGTTCTTCAAAGGGGAAATGATATCAGTTGGAAATTCAGATCTATGGGAAAGAAGGAGGAGCACTGGAAGTGGTAAATATGTGGGTAATTATAAAATACTATTTTTTCTAAGTTTGTTAGTTAAAACAAACGATATATTATGGAGGGTTATAACATAAGTAGTAGTAAAATATGTGTGACAACAATAGCACAAAAAAAGGGCCAAGGTATAAATAGAATTGTACTGTGTTGCAAGGTACTTACATTATCCATGAAGTAGTGCAATATTAATTCAATATAGACTGTGATAGGCTAATATTAATTCCTAGGAAAAGATACAAATAGGTATAGATAAGAAGCCAACAAAGAAAAGAGAATGAAATGCTAAAAATTATTTGATTCACACACACACACACACACACACACACACACACACACACAAGACGAACAAAGAGGACCAATAAAAAACAGATAGAAAGATGATAGACTTAAACCCAGTCATATTGATAATTAGATGAAATGTGAATGAATTAACTATTCCAATTAATAGGCAGAGATTGTCAGACTGGAAAAAAAAGCAATAACAACAACTAAAACCCAACTATATGCTATTTACAGGAGAGATACTTTAAGTATAAAGACAGAAGTTGAAACTTAAGGCTTGAAAAATACGTACCATGCATGCACTAAATGTAAGAAAGCCAGTAAAACCAAATTAATATCAGACAAAATTGACTTCAGGACAAAGAGTATTACGAGAGATAAGGAAGTCCAATTCATAATGATAGAACCAATTCATCCAGAGACCTAACAATCTTAGATATGCATGCATTTGCTATTTAAAGTGTATATAATATTGAGTTAATTGGCAAAGTTGTTCCCTGCTTTTTTTTGTGGAAGAGCTCCTATCCTTCCTGCTGCTGTTATATACTCAGGAATGCTGTGATGATGGAGATGGTTTAAATGATGTTTATAAGGTATTTAATTGTATATGCAATGTAGCTAAATGGTATGTTTCTTCCTGCCATGAGTCTATATTTGGATTTCAGGTGATAATTGTTTGTTTCTTTTTAAATTTGAAAATTAAAATGTTACTGTTTTTATGACTGTGATCCCTAGTTCATGGACCGTATTTAGAGATCTCCTTTGCAGGTTTCTCTAGTCAAGAGTTGTTGTCAGTGGCGTGTGAACCAGAGCAACTTTATCTTAAATAGGAGCTGGGTAAAATGAGGCTGAAACCTACTGGGCTGCATTCCCAGACAGTGAAGGCATTCTAAGTCACAGGATGAGATAGGAGGTCAGCAAAAAATGCAGGTCATAAAGACCTTGCCAATAAAACAGGTTGCAGTAAAGGCGCCGGCCAAAACCCACCAAAACCAAAATGGTGACGAGAGTGACCTCTGGTTGTCCTCACTGCTACACTCCCACCAACGCCATGACAGTTTACAAATGCCATGGCAACGTCAGGAAGTTACCCTATATGGTCTGAGGAGGGGAGGCATGAATAATCCACTCCTTGTTTAGCATATCATCAAGAAGTAACCATAAAAATGGGCAACCAGCAGCCCTCAGGACTGCTCTATGGAGTAGCCATTCTTTTATTTGTTTACTGTCTTAATAAATTTGCCCTGAATTCTTTCTTACGCGAGATCCAAGAACCCTCTCTTGGGTCTGGATCAGGACCCCTTTCCTGTAACATCGTGACATTAGAAAAAGGCTGGGTCAACAACCCAGTACAGTCTATGTCGTGGGGTCAACAACACAGTACATACAGTCTATGTCGTGGCCATAATGTACCCTGTGGTGGGGCTATCACTTTGATATTTCTTTCTACACATTATACTACAGTTGGTCCATGCGTTGCTAAAATCCTGACATTAAAGCAAAGAGAGCAATCGGTAAGCAATTTTGATGCTCTACCATGATAACAATCACACCTGAAAACACATTGAGTCATCCGTTATTAAACATTTCCCGAAGTGTATGCTATGAAGTTTAATTTGCCATGGAGTTGTTTGGAAAAAAGAATTAAATGCAAACTATAGAAAGACTGTCATATTTACCCAACAAAATGAAAAAGGAGACCTTTAGGAAAGGAAAAGGAGAATTAGAGATTCTTTGAATTCAAAAGAATCCCTGTCAGTCATCTCAACCAGCAATTTCCAAATTTAATGAATACACAACTCGTCTGCAAAGGTTTTTAAAGTGCAGATACCTGGGTCACATTCCCAGAGATTAAA
This sequence comes from Homo sapiens, assembly GCF_000001405.40. Lineage (NCBI taxonomy): Eukaryota > Metazoa > Chordata > Mammalia > Primates > Hominidae > Homo > Homo sapiens. Next base: position 91,366,134 of record NC_000007.14, read on the forward strand.
ATTAATGGTTCATATTATGACCCAGGAATCTAAATTTTTAAACAACCTCTCTAAGATTATGATGCAAATAGACCTCAGACTACACTTTTAGAAACAGTAATCTAGTTTCAACATATCATACATGACAGGTGGCTTCCAGAAAGTTTATCCTTATTCTGAGCCAAGTCTGCCTTTGCCTTCTGTATGTTCAGGCTCTTCCTTCAGAAGCTACACAGAATAGCTCAAATATCTCTCCTATTATAACAGCCCTTCATATTATTTGACATGGTAATCTGGCCTCCTTAACAAACCCCTCTTTTTCTCTCCAGGCTAAATACTCCCAGTTACTTTGACATTTTCTCAAATAGTATGATATTTATAAACATCACCCACCATTTGCTGTGTGTGTCTAAAAATGCAATATGAGAGCTGAAAAACATATTTCAATTTATCTTCACCATCAAAAAATACAATGAGGGCCATTACCTCTCCTTGTTTGCCTTTATGCTTTTAAACAGGTAGTGTACGTCCTCTAACTTTGTCTTTTCTTTAAAGATGTTTTGGTTATCGTAGGCCCTTCACATTTCTATAAAAATGTATGAGCAATTTCAAGTTGTCCAAAAGAGTCTGCTCGGATTTCGGTTGTATTGCCTTGAATCTGTACATCAATTTAGGTAAAATTAGTATTTCAATAATATTTATTCCTATAGTTCATGAAAAGGGTATATCTCTCAATTTATTTGGATCTTCCTGAATTTTTTTCTGCCATGTTTCATGGGGTTTATCCCCCAGTGGTTCATGTCTTGATGTTGTTGAAAATTTTAAAAGGAAAATTTAATTGTTCATTGCTAGTATTTTGAAATATAATTAATTTTTATATGTTGTGTCTTGTAACTATGCTAAACTCGCTTATTGGTTCTATTAGCTTTTTAGCAGATTCCATAAGATTTTCTATTTAGATTATAATGTCATCTGCAAATAAAGACAGTGTTACTTCTTTTCCAATATGGATGCCATTTATTGTTTTCTTGTCTTATTTCACTGATAAGAACTTTTGATACAATGCTGAATAGAGTAGGGAGAGTGGACATCCATGCCACCTTTTCCTAGTCTTAGAGGGAAAACATTCAGACTTTCACCATTAGGTGTGACGTTAGTGTTAGTTGTAGTTTTTTGTAGATCCACTTTATAAAGTTGAAAAAGTTCCCATCGATTCTTTCTTGGCTGAGAGACTTGCTTGTTTTTCTTTTTATTTATTTGTTTTTAAAATTGGGAACAGAGTAGGGACTGGCACACTTTTTCTATAAACGGACAAACAGTACACATTTTAGGCTTTCTGGGACATACATTGTCTCTGCCATTTCCTCCTCCTCCTCCTCCTCTTCTTCTCCTCCTCCTCCTTCTTCTTCTTCCTCTCCTTTTTCTTCTTTCTTCTTCTTCTTCCTCCTCCTTCTTTTTCTTTTTTCTTTTTCATACAACTGTTTAAAAATATAGAAAGACATTCTTAGCTTGTGGGCCACAGAACTGTAGTTTGCTAACTCCTGACCTAGACGTTTGTTATACCTACAATTTCACAGTTAACACTAAGGACAGTAGTATCAAATTGCTAAGCCTCCACCTCCTCAGTTTTGGGATACCAGAGGAATAGAATGAACTGACAACCTAATTTTAGTCCTTAAATATATTACTTTTTGTTAAAGTATTCACATGAAATGATCATAATCTTATCTATATTGACTCATTAACATTGACAGATAAGACTAATGGAAGAGGATATAGGTATTATAAACATAATTGATAATTAGAATGCCTTTTGCTCGTCTACAAAATTTCTAGTCATTAGAGTAACACATTCTGTCCCCTGTTGGTCTGGATGGACCAGCCACGAACACTCTCAGTTCTTTCAGTTCCTCTACCCCCTGCAAATCTGGATGTTAAAACACTCATCTGTACTCACAAACCAACTAAAGGAGACTTGCTTTTCTACATCAATTTACTTGCGTAGTTAGAATAGAAAAATCCAAAAGAACAAAATACTTACATTTTCCGCTATGCTTTCATATTTTAAAAAATATTTTCAGCAGGACTAGTTTGAGCTCTGAAAACGTCTTTACCAGAACAGGGAAGTTTTGAAAATAGTTTCCACCATCATTTGCTTGTTTGTTTGTTTGTTTGTTTGTTTTGTGCTTTTGTTCCTTTTGGTATGCAGCCCTGTGAATTTCAAAACATGTAGATATATGTAATTACCACCATAAAAAGCACACATGCCTCACACCCCAAAATCTCCTCCATGCTGTCATTCTACAGTCACAACTTCCCCCTCCTCCAGCCCCTAGCAACCACTGATCTGTTCTCCATTACTATAGTTTTGTCATGTAAATGGGATTATAGAATAAATAACCTTTTGAGATGGCTTCTTTTACTCAGCATAGTGTCTTTGAGATTCACCCAACTTGTTGAACGTATCAACAGTCTATTCCTTCTTATTGCTGAGTAGTATTTCATTGTAGGAATGTACCACAATTTGTTTAACCATTCACCTGTTAAGCAACAGAACATTTAGATGGTTTTACTGGTAAAGCTACTATGAACTTTCATATTCAGCTTTTTGTGGAAACATAAATTTTTATTTCTCTGGGATGAACATTCAGGAGTGGGAGAGCTGGATCACTAGTAAGCATATGTTAACTTTATAGGAAACTGCCAAACCACTTTCCAAAGTAGTTATATCACTTTGCATTTATGCCAGCAATGTATGGGAGTTTTAGTTGCTCTATATCCTGGTCAGCACTTGGTATTATTAGTATTTTTATTTTAGTTATTCTAGTAGGTATGTAGCAGTATTGAATCATGGTTTTAATTTGCATTTCCCTAATAGCTAATAATGTTGAATATCTTTTCATGTGCTTATTTGCCATACTTATATCCTCTTTGGTGAAGTGTCTGTTCAAGCCCTTTGCCCATTTGTAAATGTTGTTGTCGTCTTTTTATTGAGTTTTGAGAGTTCTTTATATATACTGATACAAGACCTTTGTAAGATATGTAATTTGTAGTATTTCCTCCTAGTCTGTGGCTTATTTTTTCATTCTTTTGACCATGTCCTTAACAGAGCAAAAATTTTTAATTTTGATGAAGACTAATATATCCAGTTTTTATTTTATGGATGGTATTTTTGGTGTCATTTGGGCTCATCATCTAACCCCAGGTCATAAAGATTTTCTCTTATGTTTTCTTCTTAAAGTTTTGTAGTTTCATGTTTTATATTTAGAGCTAGGCTCTATTTTGAGTTAATCTTTGCATAAAGTGTGAAATTTAGGTCAAATTCATGTTTTTACATAAAAAGATAAATTGTTCCAAAACCATTGATTGAAAAGAGTATTCTTTCTTCATTGAATGGTTTTTGTCAACTGCCTTTGTCAGAGATCAAATGGCCATGTTTGTATAAGTATATTTATGGACTCTATTTTGTTCTGATCCACTTGTTATCTCTTCACCAATTCCATTCCACTGTTTTGATTACTGTAACTTTATAGTAAGTCCTAAAAATTTTACTTATACGTAAAGAACTCCAACATTATTCTTTTTTCAAAATTATTTTAGTTTTTCTAATTTCTTTTCTCCCATATAAATTTTAGCGCCAACTTGTTTATATCTACAAAAAAAATTGCTGGGATTTTGATTGGTATTGCTTAAAACTATAGCTCACTTTGGGAGAATTGGCATCTTTATTATGTTAAGTCTTCCAAACAATGAACACTGTATGTCTCTCCATTTATTTAGATCTTCTTTGATTTCTTTCATTAGCATTTTGTAATTGAACATGTAGCAAATATAGCATGTTAGTTATGGTTATTATACAGTTACAGTTGCTAGATTTATAACTATTTCATTTTTAGAACGATTTTAAATGGTATATATTTTTCAATTTTAGTTTCCAATTTTCATTGCTTCTATATATAGAAATATATTGATACATGTATATTGACCTTTTATTCCCACTCTCTTTATAGAATCCATTAACAAATACTGAATAGTTTCTCATGTTACTCACTCTCACCAGAGAAAGCAGAGTATCAGACCCCTGAGGCTAGGACATAGCATAGAAACAGGACAGGAAGGAAGAATGGTGCATGTGGAACAACCTAGGCTTTAGGTAAAATCAGACAGCTCTAGGACCCTAGCTTGTCTTCTCAAATGTGTGACTTTGGGCAATCTTGTGTAGGACTGGCATACTGTAAGTTCTCAGCAAGCAATAGCTTTCCTTGATGAAGAGAAGACGGAAAAGCCTAGAGCTGTCATTTTCAGATTTTTTTTTTTTCCTTTTTAAGCATTGGAGCGTCTTCATTTTTTTTTTTTTTTTTTTTTTTTGAGACGGAGTTTCACTCTTGTTGCCCAGGCTGGAGTGCAATGGCACAATCTCGGCTCACCGCAACCTCCGCCTCCTGGGTTCAGGAGATTCTCTTGCCTCAGCCTCCTGAGTAGCTGGGATTACAGGCATACACCACCATGCCCAGATAATTTTGTATTTTTAGTAGAGACGGGATTTCTCCATGTTGGTCAGCCTGTATGTCAAACCCATAAAAATGGAACTGCTCTACCAGAGTGGTAGTATCCTGGCTGTATTTGTGTGAGTCTACTTCTGGACCTTACCCTATCTCTTTAGCAATTCCCACTGTTCCCTAGAATATCAGGGAGCACTGTTTGAGAAAAAAAAATTGTTTGCAGTATTGATATAGGAAACCCTGTAAAGGTGGCCAGACTCCAAAGGGTCAGAGCAGAGCAGTATGTGTAGCCTTGCTACTCAAAGTATAGTTCCTGAACCATCAGCATCACCTGCATCCCAGGCTCATCTCAGACATACTGAATGAGAATCTGCATTCCTGTTGTAATTGTCCAGCCAATCTGTGATCTGTGCACACCTTAGGGTTTCAGAAGCTCTGGTACAATGTGAGGAGTAGAGAGAAAGCACACAATAGAGTCATCACAAAATGTGAGGCATACCAAGAGAGTGCAACTAAATTTTGCCAAGGCTGCACTCCATTAATCTTCTTTAGAAATTTAATAATTTGTATGCTATTATTAGCATTTCTCAGATGTCTTCAGGGAGTATGAGTTTATTAAAAGGAAAACACATTTTACTTATCTTTTCACTTTGACCCTTCAGACCCATTTTTGGATTTCTAAATTATCTTTTTATTATGTCAACAACTTCTACCCTCATGAGGATTCGTGGCTTGTAATTATTTTGGTTAAGAAAAACAAACTTTCCTGTCACAAACAGAAAATCCATAATAATCTGACTCTATAATGTGAGTTGTTAATGAAATATTAGCTATTTGAGTAAAATGGTACTACACAGCAATTATGAAACAAGAGAGAGAACACCCAGGCAAGAATCTCTACTTCTTTTCCACAGAAGTGGCTCTGCAGCTTTTCATCTAACACTGGTGTTCTTTTCGTAAATGATTGATTTTTCCACATCTGAATACTGATAAATCTATAATCAAGCTCTGATGTTAATATTGTGCCAGGATGAAAAACAGAATAATAATGACACAGCAGGGTTACAACATTGAAAGAGAAATTGGGAATTCAGCATATTGAAAAGGGGATTTATTATCTATTTCTTTTGTGATCTGACCTGGAGTCCAGAAATTGCAGTATCCTTCCAGTCCCTTCATCTATAAAGTTTGGATGAGTTATGATTTTCAAACTATTCTATAGCTATGGAACCCTTTGTGCAAAGGAAATTATAAATGGCAGCTCTATGTATGAAATAAATGAAAAAGGGACAGCAAGCTGATGTGAACCAGGTTTGAAGCTCATGGGCAAGTTGCTCAGGTGTTGTTGAGTTCTGAAAATGGGGCAGTGCTTGGAAATCAGTGGATTGAAGACAGCTGGTATTTACCTAAATGATTTTATATTTATTCTTCATTTTAAAAAAATACCAATTACAAAGATGAGGGGAATCTCTGTTAAAGCAAGCGGGCCTGGCTGTCACTAGGTTAATATCAAGTATATCAAATGCCATCGGTTCTGTCTGAGCAAGACATTTGCCATTCTTCCTCTCCTTGCAGTTCCCACAGCCACCGTCCTAGCTCAGGCAAATAACAACTTCTGCTGGAAAACTAGAACAGCCTCCCAAATAGCCTCCCTCTCCACCTCCAGTTCTTTGGAAGACAAAGCCAAGGTTCATACATACCAAACAGGTAGGACATCCTGCAGTTTGCTCATGGCTTTGTTATAAAGGCCCACTACCATGGAGAACAGAATTCAAAATCCCTTGCCTGCCATGAAGAGCTCTCCTCTATTTCGTCTCTAATCAGCTTTCTCTTTATCATTGCTCCCTTTGGCAAGCACTGTAATCTAGTCAACGGTAGCTATTCTCTCTTTCTAATCTGCAACCTACCCAGTGTCTTTCTCTCACTACTCCCTTTGTCTGTTACATCTTATCTTTCCTCTATATTGTCTAAATAATACCCACCTTTCAAAGACTCAGTTAAAATGCCACCTCCTCCCTAAAGTCCTTCCTGAGTTTCTCTCTCCTTCCAAAGTTCTCCCTATCCCTGCTCCTCAAGCTAGTAATCGCTCTATTACTATATATATAGATCCCACTCTGAGCACGTATTCAGTTCCATTTTGATTATAACTCTATACATCTAGCTCATTTTATATTATTATTGTTTTCATTGCCTCTCATAGTGGCTCCTTAGAAAATGCATCATATCTTATTCAATTCTGGATATCTCATGTTGTGCAGCATATGCCAGATACTTAGCAGATATTTGGAGAAAAATTATAGTCTGTATTTTACAATATGATAATTGCCTCCCTGAGAAAATCTGTTACAAAAACAATTGTTTCAATAGGAAAAAGGGGTTACAGCTATTAAATGTAAGTCCATAACAAAATTATTTTTAACATGAATTTCAAGAATGAGGTTTTGAAATAACTCTACATATATGTTGTTACTGTAAGCAGATGTGTATTGAGTAAGCATAACTCTCTCAAACAACTTGTTGAAATGCATTCTTCTCTTGCTTTTAACTCATTCATCAGGAGCTTCTTGATCTCCTTTATTACCCTTGATTCTGAATTTGGGCTTTTGCCGACAACACAGTTCCTAACTACTCACAGTGAACCAAATATAGGGAGGGAAACTGAAAGACCAGGATGGAAAAGAGAAGTCAGTTACCCAAAATAATTATGAGTTTCTTTGCTTTGCACAGGAAATTTAAATTATGATATCATCATCCCCCACAGGAAGTATTGAGAAAGAGAGAAATTTATCCCCCGCCAACCCCATTTCCATTGGCATTCTGACCTCTCTTCCCTTGGGTATTGTTGGGGGCCTCTCTCTTTACTCATCTAATTCCCCCCTCCCAGTTGGAGAAAGAGTGGGCTGACTGGTCAAGGCTTATGTAGTCCATGGGTTCTGGTTTTAGCTGTGAGCCATCTGGGTACCACAGCTGTTGAGCTCCTTTCCACTCCCAGGCCCACAGCTAATTGGGTAAATGGATTTGGAGCCTGTTTCTCAGATGCAGTCAACCTGTAAGGGAGATACTATGGCTTGGGTTCAGGAGCGTATTAGAAAGATTTCATGTTGGCCTCAGTTCCAAGCTGTGTTCTCTAATCCAGACGTTAGTAGACTCTGCATTTTGAGGGATGTGGGTATTTTTTCTACCCATAGCAAAGTCTATACTTCTTCCCTTTGGCCTGTTATCTTTATACCTATTCTCTATCAGTCAGAACATGGAAGGGAGGAGAGGTGAATCTTAGGCCCTCCAGCCTCTGACACAAATACTCCCTTGCATTTGTGAAACATTTCATAATTTATAAAGCATGTTTACTTCTAGTAGCTCACTTGATTTTCACAACCCTGAGAACTACCTTAAGATCTTCCTAGCCTTGCCCATGACATTTTCAGTGGCAGAAGATCCAAGTCACCAACACCAGGAAAATGTTCTTTTTATCCATCCTGAAATTGGGCCTTGGCAGTGACTTGAAGATTCCTTCTCTCCTGTTTCCTGTGAGCTACGGCTGGGAATTTTCTTTAGCAACACCCTCAAGCAGAGCTTCCCTATACATTGGGGGACAAAGCCGCATAAATAGAGTAAGATGCCCACGAAATGCACGTGAGATGAAGTGACAGGAAAAAGAAGTGTAACTTGTAGGTGATTAGCTTGGAAATCCAGCAGCTAGGGCAGAAATGCTGGAAAAGAAAGAGGATTTGAAAAAGCAAGTCCTTGTTCCCTGGTTCGTCTGACTTCCAGGTGATCAGGAGAATCTAATTTTAAAATCTGTAATAAAGTATAGTATACACTGGTAGTAAGGAAGGAAGAGTTGAGGCTCTTGGAGAACTGGAAGTCTATTTGAAGAAGCTGATGATACCTATTGACACAGACACTGGAAAGCAGTTAAATATTAATGAACCTTAACCCATGTATGCCTAGTGTTCCATTATTGGAATGCTAAGCTTGTGGGAGTTATTTATATCCTTCTGCTCAAGGTCATTGCCAAGGTCTGATTTTTCACACAAAAAAAATTTGAGACCTCTGGCATAAATGGGTTAATTCAAATAGGAATAAAACTATCTCCTATTTTCTTACTCCTCCCCCAAGCTAATGCATACTGCTGAGGCTACCCAAGACAGATAGATACAAAGGCAGCTTGAGCCAGTTTCCCATTTATTTTCTAAAGGCAAGGAGGCCCCTTCTGAAATTGTTGCTTGGCAACCTTGAATTCAAATCTTCACCATTGGAGGCCACTCATGTAATCCGCAGACAAGACTCCAAAGTCTTGACTCATGTGATCAGTAGGTATCATCATCTTCTTCAAATAGTCTTCCAGTTCTCCAGGTGCCTCAACTCTTCCTCACTACCAGAGTATACTGCAGTTTATTACAGATTTTAAAGCACATCAGTGAATACATGCCTTTTAAAGCTGGGCTCTTGGGCTCTGACTGCTGTCCTTGTGGTGGGCTCCACTTGGCATGTTTTCCCTCTGTCTTTCCAGGCTAGCATTTACCTGCGTGGTTTTCTTGGGTTTCTCCTGTGTGGATTTCTCACATAACACCTTAAGGAAGAAGAAAAGAAAATGAACACTTATTGAGCATATATAATTTTTCAGGTAGGATGCCAAGTAATTTAAAAAGTTATCACATTTATCCTTACCCCTTATAGTAAGTCAAGGAAGTCAAGGCATTACATGGCATCTCACATTTATAAAATGGTCTTTCTTTATAATTCATTTAAATTATTACTTCATTTCATCTTCACAGTTGTTCTGTTGTGAGAAGGGCATGATTCACATTTCAGATCATGTGAAAAAACTGAGATCCAAAGAGGCTGATCAATACAAAGAGAGTTTTGAAAGAGCTAACACTTGAGCCCAGATTAGTATCCATTCTAGGAAGCTCTGAAAGGCCTACTTCCATGTAAGACCCACTCTGAAGGCATGCGAAGAATGTAGCCTTCAGAATCATCCAGATGTGGCAATTCAAGTCCTGGCTCTGCCATGTCCTAGCTCTGTGGCCTTGGTCAAGTCTTTTAACCTCATACCGCTCTGGTTACTTTATCTTAACTGGTTACTTAAATAATTCCTATCTCATAAAATTGCTGCATGATTTAAATGAGATACATTTTGCCATGTGCCTGGAGCTTAATAGTTTTTAAAAAACAAATGCTCATTTCCTTTTCTATTCATCTTCTAGAGCAGGTAATCATAAATGGAGGCATAGACAGGTGAAAGGTCCTGGATCAGAATCTGGGATTATATAGTCAGCAATGTGAGTACATGTTTATTAAAAGGGGGAACACCTGTTAAAAGTTGCAAGATGCTCTTCCAGGATGTATGAATCTCAAAATATGTAATTAACCATTATATTGAGCATTTTCCTCATGCGAGGCACCATGTTGGGTGCTGAAGGGGATATAAAAACATGGTCCTACCTTCAGAGAGTGATCTTTGGTCTGCCATGAATGTCTATTCTTTTTCCAAAGACAACTGTAGAAGGAAGTACAGATTCTTAGATTCTAGGCTACTCTCATGTCTCTAAGCAAGTATTCCATCCTTGTGTGGTTTCTCAAGGAGTTTTACTGCAACAACAGGGTCAAAGCAATAAAAGATGAAGTTTAAAAGTTAAAAGAGACCTTTATAATCTTCCATTAATAGTACCCCTGGCAATCTCTCAGAAGCAGGGTTTGCTGGGTCTCTCTCAGCTTTTGTCTTCTAGTCTAGAGGTCAGCCAGGCCTGCTTGTTCTAACATAGTTTTTTAAATTAGTGGGTCATCAAGTCAATTTAGTAGGTCTTGGCCAGCATTTTTTAAATAAAAAAGACCAGAACAAATTAGAAAAAAAATCAAAATGCCTTGTATTTTATCCTCAGTAAATGTGATTTTTTTCCATGAAACAGCCTGTATAGGATATTTTTTACCACAGGTAACCAAAAATGTTTGAAAAACATGTTCTAAAAAACAAAGTCTTACAAATTATAACTGCCAGGAGTGTTTGTGGAATAAGTGGCAGGTTTCAGTCTTTAGGTTTAAATCTAGCACTTTGGAAGCTGTTTCATTCTAGGCATTGTTAGTAAAATTTATGTAGCTGACATTAGATAAAATGGTCTTCCCTTCTGTTGGCTACATGAACCAATCAGGTAGATTTCCTCCTGATGTCATATTCATCTCTACCACCACCACAACCACCACGGTCTCCTCCTACTCCCACAGGAGAATCTCTCTGGCAGGGCCCCTTGATCTAGTCCCTTACAGGCTGATGGATCCTTGCTCTTATTCTCTGCATCTCCTGCAAATGGATACATGATCAGTCCATCACCAGAAATAACTTAATCTAACTCATAACTGCTCAGAAATCCATATAGAGTTCAAAAGATAGGGCAGATTTTGTTGCCATTCTCATTCTCCACAAGCCACCTTCTGCTGTGTTTCTATGTTTCTGCCTTGTATGGATGCCTGGGAACACCTTCTTTCCTGGGATTCCCTCCTCTTCTTGGATAATTCAGTTTCATTCTGCCACTATGCCTTATACTCTAACCAGCCAACCCCACAAGCTGTCACCATTCAGATCCAAATCAACAATTTTTTTTTTAACTTGGATCTTCTCATGGTTCAGAGTAGAATTGTCTTAAAACTAAAACCTTTCTCTGACTGATCCTGCTCACTCCTCTAGACATAACTCTAATACGTTGTTATTTTTAAAAGGGACAAAAGACATGAAGTGGACAGAGCACACCTGTCTTATCTCATTAGACTGGGGATGTGTTCTCTGCATCACAGGAGGTCCCCACATTGGAAAGTCTGTGAGCTGACATTGAAATTTCAAAAGAACCTATGCTTTTAACCTACTGAATAATGTTTGAACCAAAAGATTCTTAAAACATAGATACATATTAGTTCCCTCCCAATGTCCTATAGTTCTATAGTTGTTCAGATAAGGAACTGTTGGTGATGACTAGAATGACAACAGAAGGCTTTGTGGAGTAGACGAGAACTGAACCTGAATAGGTGGGCAGAAGCAATGTAAATAGGACTTTGTATGCAATTAGGACAAATAAAGAAAGCAGAAAGGAATCAGGAAGCCCTGCATGAATGAATGGACCAGCCTGGTGGGATGGAGAGATGGATTGGAACTCGGTAGTGAGGTAGCATGGAAATGCAGATTAAGACCAGATCCTCAAGGAAATACTTGAGTGCCAGGAAAAGAAGGGAAGCCCTGGTTTTTTAGCAAATGAAAGTCTTGATTTTGAGCCAAGCTTTCTGAGCAAACCAAGGCAAATGAAGCCTTGGTATTTGAGCCTTGGATTTAGAGAGATTAACATTCTAGTTTGAGGAGCAGGATTTGGTACAAAGAGACATCCAGCAAAGACAGACCATAGGAAGAGCCACTACAGTAATCCAGAGTTGAGGTAAACGAGCACACCAACCAGAGTGATGCAGTGGGAACTGAAAGGGAAAAATAAATATGAAGGCTTTTAAGAGACAGCGCACCCTCAACTAGGGGCAATCTGATCAGCCGCATTGTATTTATGTGCTGTGTCTTGAACCAGTTAATTTGCCCTTCAGATGTGTCTTTCCTGAATATGCAAATTCTCATTAAGATACATGCCATATGCCTGCTTTGAAGCTAAGTCAGACCCCACCTAACGCTGGCCTTTACCTCTTTTTTCTCATTGGGTAATCAGCTCACTGAAGCAGATGTTACTTCCCAACTCCAGAGATGCCAACAGCCTCAGAAAGAAATGGATTATAGAACTGGGGTCTGCACTCAGCATGATCCAAATATGGAAATCAAACTGAGGCCTTCTTAGGCTCTGTGCTTGGCAATAAAAATGAAAAAGGGCTTAATGTTGGGCCTCAAAAGACACTGTGGTTACCAGGGCTTAGTGGGCACATTTACTTGCCCACAGAAGGTCTTGCCAATTAACACTAATGGTGTGCTTTCAATTTACCTTCACGGATTAATTTGACAAATATTTATTGGCTGCGTACCAGGCATCAAACAAGGCAGTGGGGATAAAAAGATGCAAAGGGCACAGTTCTTGACTTTGATAGAGTTTCCTGCTGAGTGGGGGAAGACAGACCTATAAACAAGTAAATAATATTACACTGGAGTGCTCTGCCCTCTGCTTGTCCTCTGAGCACCCAAAATTGTAATAATCTGATGCTGTAGAGAGAGAGAGTTTGGGATTAAGGTCTTCACACTGCATACTTTTCAATAATCACTTAGAAAGTCAAGAAGCCACATATAAATAAATACCTTACACTAAATCTTTTTTTGAATAGAAGCAAAAATGAAAACTGGCCAGGTGCAGTGGCTCATGCCTGTAATCCCAGCACTTTGGGAGGCTGAGGCAGGTGGATCACCTGAGGTCAGGAGGTTGAGACCAGCCTGGCCAACATGGTGAAACCCCATCTTTACTAAAAATACAAAAATTAGCCAGCCATGGTGGTGTGCACCTGTAGTCCCAGCTACTTGGGAGGCTGAGGTAGGAGAATCCATTGAGCCCAGGGGGCAGAGGTTGCAGTGAGCTGAGATCGAGCCACTGCACTCCAGCCTGGGCAACAGAGCAAGACTCTGTCTCAGAAAAAAAAAGAAAAAGAAAGAAAGAAAAGAAAGAAAGAAAACTTGCAATCAGCAAGTCCTCACTAAAATCTGGAAGGTTTCCCCAGCATGATTTTGCCTAGGGTCTTTATTTAACTGGTGTGGTTACACTGTCTAATGTTCCTTATTTTTCAGAAGCATTGAACTTCACGATGTGGAGGCCCCTATTCTCAGACCCTAGAGTGAGTCAGACTGCCCACGCTTAGTGGTGGAGAATTCCAACAGTCAGCAATAGGTACAGTGGGAACTGGAAAGAAGATAGCCTGAACTGTTAGTGAAATCCTTATGCAGGAGTTGTGAAAGTATAGTCTAGTGGGGTTTTGGCTGGGAAGTTTAGGAGAAATGAATAGCTTGTTTGTGAATATTTAATCTGCTCTGTGAATTATAATCATTTCTTTACAGTCAGAATCCTGTCCCTCAATAGGTATTTCTTCCCAGGGACCACAACAGAAGTACATCTTAGGAAAAGGTCAACCCAGGATCACCAAGTAAAGCACAGATTTTGTTGTTAGTCATTTAATTTATGCTCATCTGTAACGAACTGTTTGTCTTTGCTAAGAATTAAAACCATATATCATTACGAGTCTTTGCTTTTGTTTTACAGTTTTTTTATTTTTTCAGTTAAAATGAGGTGGTTTCTAGGGATGAAGGATATGCAAGGTTGAGATTGGAGAGGGCTAACAAAATGGATGTGGACTGGAAGTAAATGCTGTAATTATATTGGCTTTAAGGATTATTTTAAACCTTAGGAGGAAAGGAATGTATTGAGAACTTTGTTTGTTTGTTTGTTTGTTTGTTTTAATAGAAACTGTAGATAGCATGTCTCTAAATAGTTTCAGGTTAGTTTCCTTGAAAAGTATACTGCCTCGTTTCCTTCCTCATATCCTTGTTAGGTTTTGCTTAGTAATAATGTGAGGGGCCAAAAAAGCTTTTAAAGCTGATTTCCTTCACTTTGTAATTCCTTGCCAAGAACTAGAGTTCTGATTGTCCATGCCCTCTTCAGTCTCCTGGCTATTTATGAAAATATAAAATGAAACAAAGTGCACATGCCCCCTCCCCCCAACACACACACACACACACACACACACACACACACAGCATGCGAGAGCCTAGTGCAAGAGAGCACCACAGAAAAATATGTTCACATTAATTTAATTGCACTAAAACTGGAAGTATTCAGAGGAATAATAAATCCTATTAGATTATTTTCTTGTCCTCAAAGAGAGGTGCCTGCCAATCAACAGCCCTTTACAGAGAGTTAAGTCATACCTTGCAACTGGGCCTGCTAGAGACAGGACCTGGATCTCAAGCACCAGCCAAAATCTGTCCATGGAGGCTGGAAATGCTGAGGTGGAATCACAGGACTTTTGTGTTCCGTGGTTTTCAAGTGAACGTAAATAATTCAAACATAAATAATTCAACAGCTGTGTTTCACTCCAGTGGAGTCCCCCAAATATTCACCCATTCCACAACTCATTTAAAGGAGTACACACCCAAGTAATTAGTGAATTACCCATTTCAGCTTGTGTAGCCAGGTGCCAAGAGGTGGTCTTATGTAGATGTCAGGCGATTACTTAACATGTTGAGTTGAGGCAAATCTACAGTTTCTCTTCTTGCTGATCTTATGACTTTTTCTCTGTTAATCAAAAGATCCCAGAAAGTTGTATGAATCACCAAGGCACTGGAAAACATCAGTACAACACATGTTGAGTCCAAGGTGCCCAAGGTCTAAATTATTTTCTAGTAATGGTGTTTCCACCTAGCTTAACATATTAAAGCATAACTTACCAGCCTCCCAATAAGTCTAATCTGTCTCTTCCTGGGAGGATGAGAGAGAGAGAGAGAGCAGGAGAGAGCAAGAGAGAGTGAAGTCAAGAGAAAGAGAGAGAGAACCATTCTCTTTATTCAAATCCAAAGGGCTTCATTTACCATCTATTAGAAGAATTGACTTTCATATTCCTTGGAGTTCTACCCAAGTCAACCAGAGGGAAGGTTAAAGACTCACTCATTTAGGCTGGGTGCAGTGGCTCACACCTGTAACCCCAGCACTTTGGGAGGCAGAGGCAGGAGAATCGCTTAAGGCCAGGAGTTCAAGACCAGCCTGGCCAACATGGTGAAACCCCGTCTCTACTAAAATACAAAAATTAGTTGGATGTGGTGGTGCACACCTGTAGTTCCAGCTACTCTGGAGCCTGAGGCATGAGAATTGCTTGAACCCAGGAGGCTGAGGTTGCAGTGAGCCAAGATCGCACCACCGCACTACAGCCTGGGTGACGGAGCAAGACTCTGTCTCAAAAAATCAAACAAACAAAAACAACTCATTCAATAAATATTGTGGGGGTACCTACAACATTTCAGCCCTTACAAATTGTTAGTGGAAAAAGACAAATATAGCACTTGGCTTCATAGTCTAGACTTCCACAAATCTGCATTGTTCGCCCAGTAGAAGGGCTAGATTCAAATTATGCACAAGGAATTGAAACAAAATGAGGTATGCACTAAAAAGGTGACCAGGGAAGCAAAGGGTCTGGGGATGCCACATGAAGAACATTTGAAGGAAATTGGGAAGTTTAGGAACGTTGTAGATATTATTCTCTGTGGTTCAAGAGGGTATATCCAAGACAAAAAGGTGGTGGATGTCAGTTCAATATAGAAATGGTATAACATCTACAGCCATCCCAGAACAGAATAAGCTGCTTTGAAAGGTGGCAAGAGCTCCATTCCTGTGTTCAGGTAGCCGCCATTTCAGACATCACTACTCAGTGGTCTTGTGGAGAGATTTTTATTTTTCAAGTCTCACTCTCTCATCTAGGCTAGAGTGCAGTGGCACAATGATAGCTCACTGTAACCTTGAACTCCTGGGCTCAAGCCATCTTCCCATCTCGGCCTCCCAAAGGGCTGGGATTATAGGCATAAGCCACTGCAACTAGTCAATGTGGAGACATCTTTTCATTAGGCAAATGTTTTTGTATCAGATGACGTCTAGTGAACCTTCCAATTCTGTGATTCTACAGTTCTGTACACCTGATGGCTAGTGACCACAGAAGCTACCAACTCCATTAAGCAATTCATTCTTCAGCCTGAGCATCCTAAATCCAGTCAAGCAGAGGACTGGAGAGACTCTATTCCAGGTAGAACAATGCAATATAGCAATAGAAACTGCTCTCTCTTCTTACCTTCCTCTTACCACAGATTCACTCTTAAAGATCTTCTCTCTGGAGAGATGGTCACTGACCAACAGTTTTATGGAAGGGGTTTTCAAAGTTGAATAGTAATTTGTTCAAAGATACATAGCTTTTGGTGGCAGAGCCCAAACAATAAGTTCCTCTGTTTGAGTTCAGTTCCTTGTCTATGACAGACAGAACGTAAATGGTAGACTTTGAATCATGTTCTGAAGAGCAAAACGACGGGAATATTTTACTGTGTCTGAGTCACATGCTGAGCCTTCGACATGGATTCATGTAGTCCAACTTCCAGTACCTATTTAATTCTAGAATGTTCCAGCTGCAGTTTTTGGAGTTGCCTAGCTGAAAGATTCTGAACAGAAAAATCCTAGACTTCTTTCCCTACATGTGCAACTCTTCTTTTTCCTCCTTTCTTCCAACTCAAACTTTGAGGTTCCATAACTATTTACATAATCAGACACTTTGTTTCAGAAACAGCACAACTAATGTCTTCATGAAGTAATACCTTGCAAATGCTCAAAACCTCAAAACATTGTTCAAACCTCTATTCGCACTCTCTCTTTTTCATGAAAAGAACAATTAAAGAGATTTTAGGGGGAGGATCTGGCACATAACACCCTTAACCACCTTTCAGGGTGTTTTCTTTGAAGAATATGATTACAGCTGTTCAAACTTTAAATTATTTACATTGAGCAAAAGCTTTGATTTTTAAAAGTCATATGACTTTATATAAACTAAAAAATGGCAAAGGATCAAAACTTGGCATTTTTCACAGACACATATTGCCCATGGGCTGTAGCCCCTGAAGGGTGCTCGCTGGGGCCTTGGATTGGTGGGAAATGATAAACGAAAACTGAAGAATGAGAATTTTGCCTATTGAGTCATAGTGGGTTGCAGCTGAGTTTGAAAACAGCAGGTCATCATCAGAAAGGTTTATGTGAAATCTAATGAATCAGAAAGAGAAAGCGAGGGGAAATAGTTTCTTTTCATACGGGGCCAGATTCTCATCTGATGTAAGTCTTGGAGAATTAGCCGACATATGGAAATTATCCCCATGTGGTCATATGGGATAGTAGTATGAGGAATCGTTAAAGGAACAGGAATATTTAGCTTTGCAAAGAGAAGATCTGGAAAGAGGGACAGATCCCTCTTTTCAAATATTTGGAAGGTTAGCATGTGGAGAAGGGAGTATTGTGTGTTGCTCTCAAGGGCAACACAGGGTCAATGAATAGACATTGGAAAGACAGGCTGTGGTTTAATATTCTCTTGTCTCCCAGTAGGGCCTCAGAGCATGGCTGTTTCCTCACAGCAAGATAGGCTTCTGTGGCAGGACAGGAAACTGTTTGTGGAGCCTCCCACTGGCAACTGGGATGGGAGTTGAGGAGACTGACCTAGCTCTTGGACTGACAGTAGAGTTTCAGCCTACCAGGCATGGCTTGACTCCAAAGGCAACGTCCATATGCAGTTTAGGCAAACAGGCAGCAAGGAGGAATGGAAGGCACCCAGGCTTTAGAGTTAGGCAGGTCTAAGTTGAAACCCTGGCCCTGTCATTTATTGTCTGTGTAAACTTGGGTAAGTTGCTTGGCTTCTCTGAGCTGCAGTTTCCTGATCTGTACAATGGGGATAACCTCACCTGTCTTAATGGACATCTGTTGTTTCTGTCTACTCAGCATTTCCTCTTCCTGCTTTAGTAGAAGCATCTTAATTTCTCCCAAGTCAAATAGAGCCTCAGTGTCAATCAAGATGACTTATCTACCATGGACAGTCAAGCTTTTCCTCCCTAGGATTTTAATCTTAAGCAGAGTGACCCAAGGATGAAAAGTAGTTGAAGTTTATTCCTTCTGAGGATGGCATTATAAAGAGGTGTCCATCAATTTCACCAGTTCCTGTGGCCTGAATTTCCTGAGTTTCGAAGTTGCTGCCTCCTTCTTGGGGCCTAGTTGTTCAGCTTCTTTTATTCTATGAGCCTCCTCATTTTCTTCTGATAGATTGTGTTTTTGCTTAAGCTAGCTGAATCAATTTCTGTGGTTTGCAAAAACAAAATAACTGTATCTATATTCCTACTTTAATAGGGTCACTGGGAGGATTAAATGAGAAAACATACATAATCTTCTGATATAGCCCCAATGTCTGGCACATAATGTGTGGTCTTTAATGGTAGCTTTTTTGACTATTGGGTACCGTGGGCCCAAGATGAGGGGAGAACAGTTCTAACAGGTGGATACATCATCTGGGATATCTATTCTCAAATATTAGGCCCCAGCAACTATCTGGTGTAAAGAACTTGTTAACCACTAAAGTTGGCCTGACCATGAGATTAGGTGGAACTTCCTAGCTCTGGAAGTAATCAAGCTTAGATTCAAGGCCCTCATCAGAAGGCCATAGAGAGGCTCTCATATTGAGACTGAGGCCTTTATGGTCTCTTCCAACTCTCTGTGATTCCAGGTAATGGATACTCCAACTGCAGTAAGCTAGTGTGCAGGGATGGGAGCCTCAGGTCACCCTAGCAGCCAGGAAACACTTTTAAATCCTGATTTTACTTGATCCCTTGTCATTTGGCATTGTTAATCATCTGTTCTTCCTAGCTTTCCTGTGCTACTCCTCCTTGCTGATTTTCCTCCTATCTCGTTGACAGTGCCTTTTCATGTGATGTTCCCTCTGCTCTTAATGCCTTTCTTTACTTCAACCATCAGGCTAACTCCTATTTGTCTTTCAAGATTGAGCTTAAGGCCTCGGTCTATCCTGAAGCCTTCCATCTCACCCTCGTCACACTAGCCTCCCTTCCTCCTCCTCTCCCCAGTGTGCTTCAGTACCCTCTGTTCCAGTAGTTAGCACACCAGGTTTTCATAGCTAATTCCATGCCCCCCACCCATCTTACCCATAGGAAAAAGACCTTACACCATACTTTTGGGTCTTATTTGGTGTGTGTTTGTGTGTGTGTATGTGTGTATGTTGGATGTCATTTTTCTTTTTGTTTTAAACAGGCTCTCATTTTGTTACCCAAGCTGGTGGCATGATCTTGGCTCACTATAGCCTTGACATCCCAGGCTCAAGCAATTTATGGAGAGATGTGCTTTCACCATGTTGCCCAGTCTGGTCTTGAACTCCTGACCTCAAGTAATACACCCTCCTTGGCCTCCCAAAGTGCTGGGATTACAGGTGTGTGCCACCATGCCCAGCACCAGTTATTCTTATAGTTGGAAACCCAATTAATGCAAATGTACCCAAATGGGGCAGATTGAAAACTTTTTAACGATTCCAACTTACCTGACTTTACTGGCAAGGAACACAGTCAGGACCTAGATAGTGATTCAACCTGAGAGGCTAGTGAGCAGACAGATGAACCAGATTGACTGAATATTTCAAGCTGGCACCTTAGTTTCCTGCCCTAGGTATCTCCATCTTTAGATAATTTTCAACGTGTTTTCCCCAGAATCAGAGATTACAGGATAGTTCATGTAAAGTACATTTGAACGTGCATATCCTGGTCTTACACAAACTGTCCCAACTCAAAACTTTTGCCACTTGAGCCCAAGGAGAACAGAACATATTATGTAATTATTTTGCCTTCATTAGTTAAGGGATTTGTAACATGATTAGTTGTTTTCATCTCTGTAGTCCATAATTTTATGCCTAACTTTAAAACAAAGCCAAAAGCAAAACTCCCACTAGCATGGCTTTATTCAGTCCGAGTTTGTTTTCTTGGTCATTTGTGATCCTCCCTACTGATGAAGAATGTGATAGTTTCTCACCATAATGTGTACCAAAACCAGAAACATTTAGAAGACTTGTAATTACTCTTACTAGTTAAATTAATCTTAGTTCTTACATTAGAGAAAAATGTGCCTCTCCTTATCCTCTGAATTATGAGCTCCCAGGATAAGGGCTGTGGTATAGGGAGAGGTTGGGACATTAGTGTCTCTCTCCTGTCATCCCAAGCTTCAGTCTTACCCATGCCTCAGAGAAGGAGCAGGGTGAAGCAGGCACTGGCCTGTCCACCAGGGCACATTCAGATTGTCAGAAGGAAGGTTTTCCTGCCTGAGCACACACCCTGAGTGCCCACCCTCAGCAATAGTACTGGGCATGGGCCCATCAAGGAAAAAGGAGAAGAGTGTTCATGTTTCTTCCATAAAACAGGCCTGCTCTGGGTTTCTGGGAACTGCAGGATTTCATCTCTGTCCCACAAGTCATGACACCTGCAGCAGCCAAGGAGCTGTTTGCCAGAAGGAAGCCAGGCTGTTTTGCTAGGATGAGAGAAGACTTGGAGATAGCTTATAAAATGGAAAGACACATGAGAGTTGTCTTCAAAAGAGATTAGGCTAATTCTCCATGGTCACATGAGGCAGAACTCCAGGGTAGATCTATTTCCACTCAATGTGGTGGATATCTTTCTATCCAACAGAGCTGTTCAAAGAGGAAAAGGGCTGTCTTGGAAGGGACTGTGCTCTCTCTCCCTGAAAAGCTTCAGCCAGACACTGGGAGCCCACCTCATGGAGAAGTAGAGGGGGGACCGTAGAAACCTGGGGAGTGACTGGGCTACAAGACCATGGAGATTCCTTTCTTCCTCAAAAATGTAAGAAACCACAGTCTTGGAGCCTGTCAGAGAAGAAGAATAAATTATCTTTTTCTTAAAATATGTTTGTGGGATCTTCATGAGCGTGTTAGGGAACATCAGAGTGATTTTGATCATTAACCAAAGAGAGCCCACTAAAAGAAAAACATACACATTGCCATAGTAAGCTGGCAGGAGTCTGAGATACAATCCCAGATTCACAGTGCATTCGACACACACTAGACAGCATCTAGAACTATTTTTATCAGGTATTCTGATTTGCCTGCTATGCACACAGCACTATTGTAGGTATTGGAAGAGTTACAAGATGTTTATGGCCCAAAGAAAGTGTAATGTATATGGAGAAAGACATTTTTACTAACCCAAAACTTAAAATCAACATTGAGAAAATTGTGAACATATCCAAATATGAAAGAAAAGGGAGCAATCAAAGAGGATCTCAGCTGTAACTTAAAAGGTTAGGCTTCCCTGGGTCCCTTTCATACCTGCATTTAAGTGTCCTACGGGTGTGGGCCTATAATGTGACAACCCACATCCCCTTCTTGTTCCTCCCCTGGGCCTGATCAGGGTTTGAGGTAGGGTGAAATGACGAAGATCTCTCTTCTTGGTGGAGGATTTTGCTTTCACACAACAATATTTTAGTTGATTATAGTAGCTCATGAAAATACTTGACTTCACTCCACTGATCTCTTTCTTCTTATGCCCATATTGCTTTATTAATACTTGGCCTCCACTTCCCCACAGACTGGCACAGAGGGCAATCATGGGACAGGCAGCGAAAGTGCCTGGAGGAAGACAGAAAACAGTTTCTACTCCCCACACCCATAGGATGTGCCTCTACTTCCCACTGTCCAGGTGATGTTAAGCCTCACAATGCCAGATGAAGCCAGGGAAAGTGTCCAGGCCCAGTGGTCTTCTATCTGACTGTGCTAAACACATGGACATGCACATTATGAGTACACACACACACACATGCACACACACTTTTACATTAATGTTTGAGAAAAATAATACTTTGTTAAATCCAGTCACATTTCAACCAAATACCAGAGGACACATTTCCAAAGCAGAAGTTGCTGCTTGATTTTGTAGACTTTTAGATCAGATGTAGAAAAACACCAAGACTACAGGGCTTATATTCCAGAGAGGGTCATGAGAAGGAAGGAAGGTGTAAGCCGGGAAGAATGCTTGACAAACAATTTCAATGGAGCTTTGTATTTTCAAAGAAGTTTTAAATCATGAAGCAGCCCACCCAGCTATCCTGAAAAAATAGGTCAGCACAATATTTTCACAGGTGAGGAAACTGAGATACAGTGTTCAGTGGCTCACCCAACATGTATGAGTAGGGTAGAAACACAATTTATGAATTTCCATCTGGAGACTCAGTCAGCTAGGCTGTCTTATTCCCAGAAAGAGAAAATACAAGCATTTAGCAAATTTTATATTTTTATATGCTAACTATGCTAAAGCACCACTGCTGTAGACCAAGAAATCTCGAGGTGATAGCATACCAAAGGGTAGGGTTTGAAGCTCATGATTCTTCTCCAACCTCGTTTCCTGTTCAAATGCTCTTTTGTTGGGATATAGTGGCCGAAGCTGTTGCTGGAGAATCAGGAGGACTGGATTCTAGGATTAAGCTGTATGACTTCTCTTTTTTTTTTTTTTCTTTGAGATGGAGTCTCGCTCTGTCACCCAGACTGGAGTGCAGTGGTGCAATCTCGGCTCACTGCAACCTCCGCCTCCCGGGTTCACGCCATTCTCCTGCCTCAGCCTCCCGAGTAGCTGGGACCACAGTTGCCCGCCACCATACCTGGCTAATTTTATTTTTGTATTTTTAGTAGAGACAGGGAAGCTGTATGACTTTTCAAGAGTCATTTAAAATTTCTTAGACTTGCTTTTTCATCCTCAAAAGGAAGGTAATACTTTTGAAAGTTATTTGAAAAATGGAAAAAATAAAAATAAAAAAGTTAAATTGCCCATCATTCCACTGCACTTTTTGAAGCATATATGTATACATAAAAAGAAGTGGCACTGGGGCAGGCACAGTGGCTCACACCTGTAATCCTAGCACTTTGGAAGGCTAAGACAGGAGGATCACTTGAGGCCAGGAGTTCGAGATCAACCTGGCCAACATGGTGAAACCCCATCTCTACTAAAAATAAAAAAAATTAGCCAGGTGTGGTGGCTCAAATTTGTAGTCCCAGCTACTTGGGAGGCTGAGGCACAAGAATTGCTTGAACCTGGGAGGTGGAGGTTGCAGTGAGTCAAGATAGTGCCATGGTACTGCAGCCTGGGTGACAGAGAGAGGTTCTGACTCAAATAAATAAATTAATTAATTAATTAAATTAAATAAAAATAAGAAGTGGTACTTCCCCCTTTCTAGCACAACAATACCATCCCAAAGCTTGATTCATATCTTTCTAGGCTCATATAAATTCACAATTATATAAATATGCAAAATTTCTATTTTTGTGATTTTTTATTTATTTTTTATTTTTTTTAAATTTATTATTATTATACTTTAAGTTTTAGGGTACATGTGCACAATGTGCAGGTTAGTTACATATGTATACATGTGCCATGCTGCTGCGCTGCACCCACTAACTCGTCGTCTAGCATTAGGTATATCTCCCAATGCTATCCCTCCCCCCTCCCCCCACCCCACAACAGTCCCCAGAGTGTGATGTTCCCCTTCCTGTGTCCATGTGTTCTCATTGTTCAATTCCCACCTATGAGTGAGAATATGCGGTGTTTGGTTTTTTGTTCTTGCGATAGTTTACTGAGAATGATGATTTCCAATTTCATCCATGTCCCTACAAAGGACATGAACTCATCATTTTTTATGGCTGCATAGTATTCCGTGGTGTATATGTGCCACATTTTCTTAATCCAGTCTATCATTGTTGGACGTTTGGGTTGGTTCCAAGTCTTTGCTATTGTGAATAATGCCGCAATAAACATACGTGTGCATGTGTCTTTATAGCAGCATGATTTATAGTCCTTTGAGTATATACCCAGTAATGGGATGGCTGGGTCAAATGGTATTTCTAGTTCTAGATCCCTGAGGAATCACCACGCTGACTTCCACAATGGTTGAACTAGTTTACAGTCCCACCAACAGTGTAAAAGTGTTCCTATTTCCCCACATCCTCTCCAGCACCTGTTGTTTCCTGACTTTTTAATGATTGCCATTCTAACTGGTGTGAGATGGTATCTCATTGTGGTTTTGATTTGCATTTCTCTGATGGCCAGTGATGGTGAGCATTTTTTCATGTGTTTTTTGGCTGCAAAAATGTCTTCCTTTGAGAAGTGTCTGTTCATATCCTTCGTCCACTTGTTGATGGGGTTGTTTTTTTCTTGTAAATTTCTTTGAGTTCATTGTAGATTCTGGATATTAGCCCTTTGTCAGATGAGTAGGTTGCAAAAATTTTCTCCCATTTTGTAGGTTGCCTGTTCACTCTGACGGTAGTTTCTTTTGCTGTGCAGAAGCTGTTTAGTTTAATTAGATCCCTTTTGGCTTTTGTTGCCATTGCTTTTGGTGTTTTAGAAATGAAGTCCTTGCCCATGCCTATGTCCTGAATGGTAATGCCTAGGTTTTCTTCTAGGGTTTTTATGGCTTTAGGTCTAACGTTTAAGTCTTTAATCCATCTTGAATTGATTTTTGTATAAGGTGTAAGGAAGGGATCCAGTTTCAGCTTTCTACATATGGCTAGCCAGTTTTCCCAGCACCATTTATTAAATAAGGAATCCTTTCCCCATTGCTTGTTTTTCTCAGGTTTGTCAAAGATCAGATAGTTGTAGATATGTGGCGTTATTTCTGAGGGCTCTGTTCTGTTCCATTGATCTATATCTCTGTTTTGGTACCAGTACCATGCTGTTTTGGTTACTGTAGCCTTGTAGTATAGTTTGAAGTCAGGTAGTGTGATGCCTCCAGCTTTGTTTTTTTGGCTTAGGATTGACTTGGTGATGCGGGCTCTTTTTTGGTTCCATATGAACTTTAAAGTAGTTTTTTCCAATTCTGTGAAGAAAGTCATTGGTAGCTTGATGGGGATGGCATTGAATCTGTAAATTACCTTGGGCAGTATGGCCATTTTCACGATATTGATTCTTCCTACCCATAAGAATGGAATGTTCTTCCATTTGTTTGTATCCTCTTTTATTTCCTTGAGCAGTGGTTTGTAGTTCTCCTTGAAGAGGTCCTTCACATCCTTTGTAAGGTGGATTCCTAGGTATTTTATTCTCTTTGAAGCAATTGTGAATGGGAGTTCACTCATGATTTGGCTCTCTGTTTGTCTGTTATTGGTGTATAAGAATGCTTGTGATTTTTGTACATTGATTTTGTATCCTGAGACTTTGCTGAAGTTGCTCATCAGCTTAAGGAGATTTTGGGCTGAGACAATAGGGTTTTCTAGATATACAATCATGTCGTCTGCAAACAGGGACAATTTGACTTCCTCTTTTCCTAATTGAATACCCTTTATTTCCTTCTCCTGCCTAATTGCCCTGGCCAGACTTCCAACACTATGTTGAACAGGAGTGGTGAGAGTGGGCATCCCTGTCTTGAGCCAGTTTTCAAAGGGAATGCTTCCAGTTTTTGCCCATTCAGTATGATATTGGCTGTGGGTTTGTCATAGATAGCTCTTATTATTTTGAAATGCATCCCATCAATACCTAATTTATTGAGAGTTTTCAGCATGAAGCGCTGTTGAATTTTGTCAAAGGCCTTTTCTGCATCTATTGAGATAATCATGTGGTTTTTGTCTTTGGTTCTGTTTATATGCTGGATTACATTTATTGATTTGTGTATATTGAACCAGTCTTGCATCCGAGGGATGAAGCCCACTTGATCATGGTGGATAAGCTTTTCGATGTGCTGCTGGATTCAGTTTGCCAGTATTTTATTGAGGATTTTTGCATCAATGTTCATCAAGGATATTGGTCTAAAATTCTCTTTTTTTGTTGTGTCTCTGCCTGGCTTTGATATCAGGATGATGCTGGCCTCATAAAATGAGTTAGGGAGGATTCCCTCTTTTTCTATTGATTGGAATAGTTTCAGAAGGAATGGTACCAGTTTCTCCTTGTACCTCTGGTAGAATTCGGCTGTGAATCCATCTTGTCCTGGACTCTTTTTGGTTTGTAAGCTATTGATTATTGCCACAATTTCAGCTCCTGTTATTGGTCTATTCAGTGATTCAACTTCTTCCTGGTGTAGTCTTGGGAGAGTGTATGTGTCAAGGAATTTATCCATTTCTTCTAGATTTTCTAGTTTATTTGCATAGAGGTGTTTGTAGTATTCTCTGATGGTAGTTTGTATTTCTGTGGGATCGGTGGTGATATCCCCTTTATCATTTTTTATTGCGTCTATTTGATTCTTCTCTCTTTTTTTCCTTATTAGTCTTTCTAGCGGTTTATCAATTTTGTTGATCCTTTCAAAAAACCAGCTCCTGGATTCATTAATTTTTTGAAGGGTTTTTTGTGTCTCTATTTCCTTCATTTCTGCTCTGATTTTAGTTATTTCTTGCCTTCTGCTAGCTTTTGAATGTGTTTGCTCTTGCTTTTCTAGTACTTTTAATTGTGATGTTAGGGTGTCAATTTTGGATCTTTCCTGCTTTCTCTTGTGGGCATTTAGTGCTATAAATTTCCCTCTACACACTGCTTTGAATGTGTCCCAGAGATTCTGGTATGTTGTGTCTTTGTTCTCATTGGTTTCAAAGAACATCTTTATTTCTGCCTTCATTTCGTTATGTACCCAGTAGTCATTCAGGAGCAGGTTGTTCAGTTTCCATGTAGTTGAGCGGTTTTGAGTGAGATTCTTAATCCTGAGTTCTAGTTTGATTGCACTGTGGTCTTAGAGATAGTTTGTTATAATTTCTGTTCTTTTACATTTGCTGAGGAGAGCTTTACTTCCAAGTATGTGGTCAGTTTTGGAATAGGTGTGGTGTGGTGCTGAAAAGAATGTGTATTCTGTTGATTTGGGGTGGAGAGTTCTGTAGATGTCTATTAGGTCCACTTGGTGCAGAGCTGAGTTCAATTCCTGGGTATCCTTGTTGACTTTCTGTCTCGTTGATCTGTCTAATGTTGACAGTGGGGTGTTAAAGTCTCCCATTATTAATGTGTGGGAGTCTAAGTCTCTTTGTAGGTCACTCAGGACTTGCTTTATGAATCTGGGTGCTCCTTTATTGGGTGCATATATATTTAGGATAGTTAACTCTTCTTGTTGAATTGATCCCTTTACCATTATGTAATGGCCTTCTTTATCTCTTTTGATCTTTGTTGGTTTAAAGTCTGTTTTATCCGAGACTAGGATTGCAACCCCTGCCTTTTTTTTTTTTTTCCGTTTGCTTGGTAGATCTTCTTCCATCCTTTTATTTTGAACCTATATGTGTCTCTGCCCGTGAGATGGGTTTCCTGAATACAGCACAGTGATGGGTCTTGACTCTTTATCCAATTTGCCAGTCTGTGTCTTTTAATTGGAGCATTTAGTCCATTTACATTTAAAGTTAATATTGTTATGTGTGAATTTGATCCTGTCATTATGAGGTTAGCTGGTGATTTTGCTCATTAGTTGATGCAGTTTCTTCCTAGTCTCGATAGTCTTTACATTTTGGCATGATTTTGCAGCGGCTGGTACCAGTTGTTCCTTTCCATGTTTAGTGCTTCCTTCAGGAGCTCTTTTAGGGCAGGCCTGGTGGTGACAAAATCTCTCATCATTTGCTTGTCTGTAAAGTATTTTATTTCTCCTTCACTTATGAAGCTTAGTTTGGCTGGATATGAAATTCTGGGTTGAAAATTCTTTTCTTTCAGAATGTTGAATATTGGCCCCCACTCTCTTCTGGCTTGTAGAGTTTCTGCCAAGAGATCCGCTGGTAGTCTGATGGGCTTCCGTTTGTGGGTAACCTGACCTTTGTCTCTGGCTGCCCTTAACACTTTTTCCTTCATTTCAGCTTTGGTGAATCTGACAATTATGTGTCTTGGAGTTGCTCTTCTCGAGGAGTATCTTTGCGGCATTCTCTGTATTTCCTGAATCTGAATGTTGGCCTGCCTTGCTAGATTGGGGAAGTTCTCCTGGATAATATCCTGCAGAGTGTTTTCCAGCTTGGTTCCATTCTGCCCGTCACTTTCAGGTACAACAATCAGACGTAGATTTGGTCTTTTCACATAGTCCCATATTTCTTGGAGGCTTTGCTAATTTCTTTTTATTCTTTTTTCTCTAAACTTCCCTTCTCGCTTCATTTCATTCATTTCATCTTCCATTGCTGATACCCTTTCTTCCAGTTGATCACATCGGCTCCTGAGGC
Source organism: Homo sapiens (assembly GCF_000001405.40). Classification (NCBI taxonomy): domain Eukaryota; kingdom Metazoa; phylum Chordata; class Mammalia; order Primates; family Hominidae; genus Homo; species Homo sapiens. Next base: position 91,394,288 of record NC_000007.14, read on the forward strand.
TTCTGCATTCTTCACGTAGTTCTCGAGCCTTGGTTTTCAGCTCCATCATCTCCTTTAAGCACTTCTCTGTATTGGTTATTCTAGTTATACATTCTTCTAAATTTTTTTCAGTTTTCAACTTCTCTGCCTTTGGTTTGAATGTCCTCCCATAGCTCGGAGTAATTTGATCGTCTGAAGCCTTCTTCTCTCAGCTCATCAAAGTCATTCTCCATCCAGCTTTGTTCCATTGCTGGTGAGGAACTGCGTTCCTTTGGAGGAGGAGAGGCGCTCTGCTTTTTAGAGTTTCCAGTTTTTCTGCTCTGTTTTTTCCCCATCGTTGTGGTTTTATCTGCTTTTGGTCTTTGATGATGGTGATGTACAGATGGGTTTTTGGTGTGGATGTCCTTTCTGTTTGTTAGTTTTCCTTCTAACAGATAGGACCCTCAGCTGCAGGTCTGTTGGAGTACCTGGCCCTGTGAGGTGTCAGTCTGCCCCTACTGGGGGGTGCGTCCCAGTTAGGCTGCTCAGGGGTCAGGGGTCAGGGACCCACTTGAGGAGGCAGTCTGCCCATTCTCAGATCTCCAGCTGCATGCTGGGAGAACCACTGCTCTCTTCAAAGCTGTCAGACAGGGACATTTAAGTCTTTAGAGGTTACTGCTGCCTTTTTGTTTGTCTGTGCCCTGCCCCCAGAGGTGGAGCCTACAGAGGCAGGCAGGCCTCCTTGAGCTGTGGTGGGCTCCACCCAGTTTGAGCTTCCTGGCTGCTTTGTTTACCTAAGTAAGCCTGGGCAATGGCGGGCGCCCCTCCCCCAGCCTCGCTGCCGCCTTGCAGTTTGATCTCAGACTGCTGTGCTAGCAATCAGCGAGACTCCGTGGGCATAGGACCCTCTGAGCCAGGTGTAGGGTATAATCTCCTGGTGTGCCGTTTTCTTAAGCCCGTCAGAGAAGCGCAGTATTTGTGTGGGAGTGACCCGATTTTCCAGGTGCCGTCTGTCACCCCTTTCTTTGACTAGGAAAGGGAACTCCCTGACCCCTTGTGCTTCCCGAGTGAGGCAATGCCTCGCCCTGCTTCGGCTTGCGCAGGGTGTGCGCACCCACTGACCTGTGCCCACTGTCTGGCACTCCCTAGTGAGATGAACCTGGTATGTCAGATGGAAATGCAGAAATCACCCGTCTTCTGCGTCGCTCACGATGGGAGCTGTAGACCGGAGCTGTTCCTATTTGGCCATCTTGGCTCCTCCCCCTCATTTTTGTGATTTTTTTAAATAAAAAATGGAATCACACTGTACGTGTTGTTCTGAAACTGCTTTTTTTTTAAAAAAAAATTAACAATATGGAATTATTCCACTTCACCCTGATCCTGTTTTGGTGTTTGCAAAATATTCTATTGCATGGATGATACCTAATTTGTCTAGCAATCTTTTTTAATGGGCTTTTGTAAGGTCCAAAGAAGACAGTACATGAGACAGTGCTTCGTGAAACCACAAGTCATAGTTTTTGAATATAGTGCATTATTTTGACTGTCAAACAAAAATTTATAACATAACTACACTGGTTTTAGCTTCTAAGCTCTAAATGTAAACACTCTTGATGTACAAAGGGAGAAGTAATATGCTGCCTGCAATGCAGAATCACCATCACCATCGTCATCTGGAAATCTGATTTATTGCAGGGGTTTAAAATGAACGATTGATAATCGAATGTACAGTGAAACATGTAATAGGTCGTTGCTGGGAGGTGAATCCATTTTTATTCAATGGGTAGCCCCTATTTATTCAGCTACCTTATATTCTAAAATAAATTTTTAAATTCCCACACCTTGCCCTTGTAAGTACAAATGAATTGAAGGCTAAAACTATAAAGTGAAGTGTGTGGAAAAAAAAGGTGTACTGATGTCATCTGATACAAAGAGTAAAATGAGCTTTTTTGTTTTGTTTGTTTTGTATGTATGTCTCTATTATGCTTGTGTTATTTTATTTTAAATTATCCCTGAACTAGAAGTGGAGCATTAGCAGGTCTTTTGTCAAGAGACAGAAATTGTAATTTTTATTAAGAAAACAGAAATGGAATTTCTAACCTGATATGCTATTTACAAATTAAAATAAAATTTTCATCAATAAGCCTGCTTATAAGGGGAATATGTGGGTCTTAATTTTCCGAGTACACTAAGAATGATTAATTGGACAATTCTCTTCATTATGTCTATGTAAACATAAGAGGTGGTATACAACAGAATTTGCCTTACTACAGTGACTTAGGGAAAGTGGTGACAGCTAATGGAACCTTCTCCTAAAGACAGGGTTGAGATATACAGTTTATAATCTGCTTAATAAACAATGTAGTCCTCTTTCTTGTCTAAGGACTGAAGGACAGAGGGAAGACAGCCTCTGCTACTACCCACCACTCTGTAAAAGTTCCAAATTGTAGGCTGTGGGTTAGATCTCTGGGAACATGCCCTTCAGTGGAAGGAGAATCACAACTGCTGCAGCAGAGTTTAGACCACTGCCAGCCAACCTATGGACACATGGCAGCCATCCATTGATGGTGATCGTGGTTCTCAGCCTTCATTCCTCCATATCACACGATAGATGTTGTTCACAATCTCAGGTTGTGAATACAGACATACACAGGCTGTAGGTGCTATCCCTGGCACATTCTCTTTGCCTACTAGTCAAGAAAACATGTCAGAATGCAATGGAAATGAAGGTTACATTAATATAGGGATAGTTTGTAATCTCTTCTGATGTGCAAAAACTTTGGCATTTTGTGCACACCCAATCATGACCCACCAATGTGTCCCAGTGCAATAACTCAGGACCACTGGACAAGGTAACTGTTTAGATCTCTGGACATATTACATCTCTGACTCTATGAAAGATACACAGATCCCAGCCACAACTAGGAAGTAATTCCTCATAGAATTTTGATTAACTAGAGTGATTTTGTACAGAAACATCCAGAAGGCTGGCTCAGAACTGGGCCTTCTCTCCCACACATGAAACACAACATTTCCTAACAGGTGGCCTAGAGAAAACTTCCCTCTGCTCCCCCACCCTGTCCACAAATTCCAAAAGACTTACTTGCTTCTGGCTGAAACTGCGTTTACATAAGATGGTTACAGAAAATAGGTGGAAACTCAGTTCTGCAGCATGTAAAAGTGCATCCATGGAAAAGTCGACAGAGGAGAGGATCCAAAAAGCCAACAAGAACAAGAATCAAATAACTGAATACCAACTGTCCCTTTTCTGGTCATTCTCATTTTCTTTGGTTCTAGGTCACTGAATAAAAGTTTTTCATGATAGTCTCTTCTCTCTAATTAAACTTATCCAGAGACAGTGCTAAAAATGTGCCTCTGGAAAGCACATTTATGGTGTTATCCTCACCCTGGGAGAAGGGAAGAATGGAGTTCTTTGCATTGAACTCTCTCCTGACCCCACAAATATCTTTTCACAATTGGTGGACATTTATACCCCTCTTGTTGACTTTTGTCTCTGTTGTCCTGTTGAACGCTGATCTCATTGCACTTAAACGTTCACCCATGCAAGGGAAATGTCACTAAATGCTGCTGCTTGCTGAGCTGTTGATTTTGCATTGGATAGAGCACTGTGATAATGGCCCACTGAGCTAATCTTCACAGGAAAGAAAGTTACACTCATGTGGTTACTCTCCCTCTGTAAAGCAGATCTGTATTTAGTCTTCTGTTTCTGAAACTTGAAGGCACATGTCATAAAAATGTTCTGCATATAAATGAAATAATGTAAAGCAATTATGATGCTTGTTAAGAATGCAATGATTATGAAATGTGGAGTGTTAATGAATAAAATATATTTTAACTTGTTCAAAATGATTTGCCTCTTTTCTGAATTCAATGTGTGCAACAAAAATAAGAAAAGATGCTATATTGAAGTAGTGCGTAAAGGCCAGAAACCTTAACACCACAGAGTCGAAAGCCAAAACCCAAAAAGTCAAGTTCACTGTTATCTATTCATATTCGCTGTCGATATGGTTCAAATTATTGGGTTAATTGACAGATCTCCACTTTACTTCAGGCTGTATAGATGGAGCTTTGTCAAAATTAGATGCTTCATAAATGGCTCTTTTGATGTTATCTTTGAATTCATCTCCTTACCAAAGAAGGGCTATTAAAGCAGCTTCTACAGTGTCAACAATGTTTCCAACCAAAGTAAAATAGCTAAATGCTTAATGGGCCCAATTCTCTGCAGAAGCGTCTGTTCACCAACCCCCTGAGGCAAAGCTGCTGAGAATAAGGATGTAGCAACCTCTAGCACTACAGGAGCCACAGATAGGCATGGGGTAGAGACAGGCGAGGGAGTAGATGGAGCTTTTTCCCATCTCCCTTCAGGGCACTCTGCAGTGACAATGGAACTATGAATAATCAACTTCATTCATGACCTTAGAGCACTCAACCTGTCAGGGCAACCCATGCTCTTCCTCCTTTACACCTCCATTCTCTCCAACCTCCAAACCACCTCTCCCATTTGGCCCCTGTCTTTGCAACCTATTGGCAAAGAACATTGACATATCACCCAGGAATCCTTCATCTTCCGGCCGCCATGCTTACAAACCATTGTCCATCTACAGGCATCTTCCTTCTGCTAGCTAAGGTAAACCCCTCCATCTGGACTTTGCAGCCCATCCCTTCATGACTTCTCAGGGGCTTTATACCACTGTCAAATGCAACCTCCCTTTTCTCTTCTATATTCAACTGAGTCCTATAAATTGTAGTCTTCTCTCTGACATTAAATACTGAAAATGTCATTCCAACAGAGTAGGCTTGTTTTAATATATGTATGTCCCAAACATTGCATGGGATATATTTATACTGAAAAAGTATTTGCTGTTTATCTGATATTCAAATTAAATTGGGCATCCTGTATCTTTATTTGCTAAATATGGCAACCACACACTAGAGAGATCTTTCTTGACAACCCACTGCAGAAAATAGTACTATTTTCTGCAACAGTTTCTATCACCTTTATTTGTCTTCATACATGATCAACACTGGGCATAGCATACATTTATATGTTTGCATACTGTCTGTGTCTCTCCACCTCCCACTATAATGTAGGGCCCATGGGAGCAGGAGCTTTCAAAATTCTCTGTCACATCTCCACTGCCTAAAACAGGGTGTAGCATGACATTAAGGTTTAATTAATATTTTTGAATAAATCCTGAGTTTCTCTTATTTTAAAATAATTGTCACTTAACACCACAACCTCTCTAGCTCTACTCCTTTATTTCTCCCTCCCACTTCAGAATCAGATTTTTTTAAGAGTTCTTACCATTCACTGTCACTATGACTTCATCTCTCAATTCCGTCTCTCCTTACTCCATTCTGGCTCTGCTTTTATCATTCCACCAAAACAGCTCTGGATAAGGTCACCAATTACCTCCTTTTGTTAAATCACTTGGACTTTTTTTAACCCCCATCTAATCTCTCAAGATGTGATGTTATAAACCACTTCCCACTTCATGAAATAAACCCCCTGTTTCACTGGCAATGCACTCTCCTGGTTTTCCTCTTAACTCTATAATCACTCCCTTGTTAATTTGTCCTTCTCTACCTGGCCATTAACATTTGGAGTTAGGCCAGGCTTGGTGGCTCACATCTGTAATACCAGTACCAGGAGTATGAGATCAGCCTGGGTAACATAGTGAGACCCCTATATCCACAAAAAAATTCTTAAAAATAGCCAGGTATGGTGGCATGCACCTGTAGTCCTAGCTATACCAGAGGCTAAATCAGGAGGATTGCTTGAGCCCAGGAGTTTGAGGCTACAGTGAGCTATGATCATATCACTGCACTCCAGCCTGGGTGACAGAGCAAGACCATGTATTTTAAAAAAAAGAAACAAAAACAACACTTAGAGTTAGTTGAGGCCTATTCTTTCTTCATTCTATGTTCTCTCCCTGGGGTAATATCATCTATGCCCATGGCTTCAATGACCATTTATTTGCTGATGATTCCCAAAATTTGTTTATCCAGCCCAAAGATTTTGGAGTCATCGGCAAATAAACTCAATTGTCTAAGACTGAATTTAAGACATCCTCTGCTCACCCTAACCCCGGTTGTCTTCTGTTGTTTCACATCTCATTGAATGACACCTTCATGCATCTAAAGGCACAAACCAGAAAACTAATGGTCATCCTGGGCACCTGTAAATCTCATTTCCCAAATAGTTCTTGAATCTATTCATTTCTCTGTATCTCCATAGTCACCTAGTACAAAAAAGTGTTACCTCTCACTAGACACTACAATAGCTTCTTAACTAAAAAAGCTATATTCATTGACTCAGATCTCCTTCCAATCTGTTCTCTACATTTAGAGGTAATGTGATTATTTTTCCCCTGTTGAAAATTCTTCATTGGTTTCTTAGGGGCCCCCAATCTCTCTTTTCAGTTTTACCCCTGCTACTGTCTTGATCTCTCAGCTGCAGCAACACTGGCCAGGAATTGGTTTCTTAAATGCAACCATACAACTATATTGAGAGGGCTAGATGAGAAACTAATTATGAAATAATGAGGCTCAAATAGTGAGGTAGTGAGAAATAACACTGCATATGAAAATCAGCCATCTGGCCAGGCGTGGTGGCTCACGCCTGTAATCCCAGCACTTTGGGAGTCTGAGGCAGGTGGATCCCGAGGTCAAGAGATGGAGACCATCCTGGCCAACATGGTGAAACCCCGTCTCTACTAAAAATACAAAAATTACGCGGGCATGGTGGCGGGCGCCTGTAGTCCCAGCTACTCAGGAGGCTGAGACAGGAGAATCACTTGAACCTGGGAGGTGGAGGTTGCAGTGAGCTGAGAGACTCTGTCTTGAAAAAAGAAAGAAAGAAAGACAAAGAAGAAAGAAAGAAAGAAAAAGAAAGAAAGGAAAGAAAGAAAGAAAGAAAATCAGCCAAGAAAGAAAGAAAGAAAAAGAAAATCAGCCAAGAAAGAAAAGGAAGAAGAAAGAAAGAAAGAAAGAAAGAGAGAAAGAAAGAAAGAAAGAAAGAAAGAAAGAAAGAAAGAAAGAAAGAAAGAAAGAAAGAAAGAAAGAATCAGCCATCTGTCATCTGCCAAAACCATCATATAAAATTTAGGGTCAAACGGTCCTTCACATATCATCTCGTCTAATTCTCTCCCCACAAATAAGAAAATGAGGGCCCAGAGAGAAGAGACCGACCAAAGTTGCACAGCTATTTAGTGGCAGAGCTAGGAATAAGCCTTCAAACTCAATAATCAATAACTTTGTCAATGAAAAAATTTTTAAATTTTTTTTAATTTTTAAAATTGTATTTCAATAGTTTTTGGGGAACATGGAAAAGTGGTTGCACGGAAAAGTTCTTAAGTGGTGATTTCTGAGATTTTGGTGCACCCATCACCCGAGCAACATACACTGTACCCAATGTGTAGTTTTTATCCCTCACCCCGCTCCAAGCCTTCCCCCAGAGTCCCCAAAGTCCATTATATCATTCTTATGCCTTTGCGTCCTCATAGCTTAGTTCCTGCTTACAGGTGAGTACATACGATGTTTGTTTTTTTCCATTCCTGAGTTACTTCACCTAGAATAATGGTCTCCAACTCCATCTGAGTTGCTGCAAATGCCATTATTTCATTCCTTTTTATGGCTGAGTAGTATTCCATGGTGTATATACCACATTTTCTTTACTTGTTGGTTGATGGGCATTTAGACTGGTTCCATATTTTTGCAATTGTGAATTTTGCTGCTATAAACATGCTTGTGCAAGTGTCCTTTTTCATGTAATGACTTCTTTTCTCTGGGTAGATATCCAGTAGTGGGATTTCTGGATCAAACAGTAGTTCTACTTTGAGTTCTTTTTAAAATATCCATACTGTTTTCCACAGTGGTTGTACTAGTTTACATTCCCACCAGCAGTGTAAAAGTGTTGCCTTTGCACCACATCCATGTCAACATCTGTTTTTTTTTTAATTTTTTTTATTATGGCCATTCTTGCAGGAGTAAGGTGGTATCACATTGTGGTTTTTATATGCATTTCCCTGATAGTGATGTTGAGCATCTTTTCATGTTTGTTGGCCATTTGTATATCTTCTTTTAAGAATTGTCTATTGATGTCCTTTGCCCACTTTTTGATGGGATTATTTGTTTTTTCCTTGCTGACTTGCTTCAGTTCCTTGTAGATTCTGGATATTAGTCCTTTGTCAAATGCATAATTTGTGAAGATTTTCTCCTTCCCTGTGGGTTGTCTGTTTACTCTGCTGATTATTTCTTTTGCTGTGCATAAGCTTTATAGTTTAGTTAAGTCCCATCTATTGATATTTGTTTTTGTGGCATTTGCTTTTGGGTTTTCTTCTCATGAACTCTTTGCCTAAGCCAATTCAACAAGAGTTTTACTGATGTTATCTTCTAAAATTTTTATGGTTTCAGGTTTTAGACTTAAGTCTTTTATTTATCTTGAGTTGATTTTTGTATAAGGTGAGAAATGAGGAGCCAGCTTCATTCTTCTACATGTGGCTTGCCACTTATTCCAGCACTATTTATTGAATAGGGTGTCCTTTCCCCCACTTTATGTTTTTGTTTGCTTTGTTGAAGATCAGTTGGCTATGAGTATTTGGCTGTATTTCTGGGTTCTTTATTCTGTTCCATTGGTCTAAATGCCTATTTTTATACCAGTATCATGCTGTTTTGGTAACTGTAGCCTTGTAGTATAGTTTGAAGTCAGGTAATGTGATGCCTACAGAGATTGTTTTGTTTTGTTTTTTTGCTTAGTCTTGCTTTGGCTATGCAGACTCTTTTTTTGGTTCCATATGAATTTTAGGATTGTTTTTTCTAGTTCTATGAAGAATGTTGATGGTACTTTGATGGGAATTGCATTAAATTTGTAGATTGTTTTTGGTAGTATGGTCATTTTCACAATGTTAATTCTACCCATCCACGAGCATGGGGTATGTTTCCATTTGTTTGTGTCATCCATAATTTCTTTCAGCAGTGTTTTGTAGTTTTCTTTGTAGAGATCTTTCACCTCCTATTTAGATACTTTCTTAAGTCTTTTTTACTTTTTGCAGTTACAAAAGGAATTTAGTTCTTTATTTGATTCTCAGCTTAGTCATTGTTGGTGTATAGCAGTGCTACTAATTTGTGTACATTGATTTTGTATCCTGAAACTTTACTGAATTCATTTATCAGTTCTAGGAGCTTTTTAGATGAGTCTTTAGGGTATTCTAGGTATACGATCATATCATCAATCAACAGTGACAGTTTGACTTCCTGTTTACCTATATGGATGCCCTTTATTTCTTTCTCTTGTCTGATTGCTCTGGTTAGGACTTCCGGTACTATGTTGAATAGAAGTGGTGAAAGTGGGCACCCTTGTCTTGCTCCAGTTTTCAAGGGGAATGATTTCAACTTTTGACCAGGTTGAAAAAGCCTACTATAGACAGGTGCCAGCATGTGGATGGGGCCAGTATTGGGGCCTTGTTTGGACAATTGATCAGCATATAAGCAAACAACAGGGTTTAGAACAAACCAAATAAAAGTCCACCTTCTGAGTCTGACACATAAGCTACCTGGGATTTTCACAAGGACCTTCTTCCTTCTTCCTTCTTCCATGAGTACTAAAAATAATCAACTGGGTGTCCACTGAAAGTTACAAAATGAGGGAAATAGACTTAAGCACTACTATTTCCTCACAATTAGGCAAAAGTATCATCAGAAAGATCCTAGTCCATTTCCTTTTAAAGGAAATCCGAAACTATAGAGCACAATTCATACCTTGAAACCAAAGTTGTCATTCAACTACCAGGGGAAGCTTCTGGAGGACTCTTCTATTGAGATCAAGGGAGGCTGAGTAAATACCCTGTGTATGCTTATCACTATGGGCACTGAAGTGTAAATGAGTATGAAAGTTGCCTTTTGGTGTCAAAAGACCTTACAAGATTCTTTTCCAAATGGGATTGGAATTATTAGTAAATTTGTTGAGCTGAAAGGCACTGTTTATCAGCTGTAAGTATTTTTAATTGGTTTCCAGGGAACACCTGTGTTAGGGTTATAAGCATCAAAGGTGATAAACAACCTAATTATCCTCCCAGAACCATTAGGAAAAAGTATCACTGTTGGTGAGCTTTCTTTGATGCCTTCTTTTGAAAGGCCATCCTGCTACTATTGTGGGGCTATTTGTAGTTTATCTCCTGGAGCTTTCATGCTCCCTTCATACATAGAAAAGGCTGTTAGAAGTAGATTAATGAAATTAATAACATTTGCACCACTAGTCAAGTGTATCTTAAGCTACCATTGGACATAGCACCTCCTTGGAGAAGTAGCAAGTTAGAGATAATCAGAAAACCACAGAAGAATTTTAAGAGATAGGGGCAAAAAACATATGAGAAGGTATAAAGGCCTTGGTACAGCACCTATTTCTTTATCATGGTGGTTTCTGAGAAAAGAGAGTTGCCAATCCAGGAGGCTGTTTCAGGGAGAGAAGGAGAGAATTTTGGATTCTAGATTCTGTTTATTTTCAATAATTTTCTTTAAAAATTATTTTTTCATGAAGATAATTTGGTACATGAAGGCAGACTATGATAGCAGTGTTAACAGACCAGACTGTACTCCAAATACCTTTCTTATGATTGCACCTTTTGAGAATGATTTTTTTTTTCTTTCTAGAATCCTTTATTCCAATACAGTGTCCTTGGGAGGGTTTTAAAAAGTCACTGCTATAACAGAGAACAATAACCTTTCTACAGAAGACAAGGAACAATCAGGATACAAGATTTGAATAGAGGCCAGAGATGGACTTTTCCTAATTCAGTTTAGCTCAGGACTAACACTGAGTTACTTAGAATTTTGATCTTACCACCCTCTCTTATTCTCTATCATATGGAATAATTTACTGGCTCACACTTTCACTAGTTGAAATGTCTTTTTACCTGGCAGAAAAGAATTAAAAATTATGTTTTGAACTCCTCAAGAAGAGGTGCTATAGAGATTCAGGGGAATTCACTATAATCATTTTTAAGTACTTTGTGTTTTAAAAACTGCTGACTGTGATGAAAATCACAGAGCTGGAAAAGGACCAAAGGAAGCCATTCCTGTCTCACTTCATGAATGAGGAAACTGAGGCCCATCTGTGACATGAAGCGATGAGCTCAGGGCTCTTGCAAACTACCCCATAGCCTTCTCACTTGATTCTGCTGAGGGAAATCGTGCACCATGGTTGAGACTAGGATCATGTTAAATCACTGTCTCCACATGATATCTTTGGTATTGGATAGAATTAAAGGGAAGCACAGTGGCCACCATCCTTTCAGACCTGCCTGAAATTGGCAATCTACCAACTAGGCCAAACATTAATTTCCCCAAACCATTGTGAAGCATGAAATGTGATATCACAATAAAAATGTCAGTTAGACATTAAAATCAGAACTTAAAAAAATACCTAACTTAATTACTTTGGATTTAAACAGAGAATAGAGCAACTGAATACTCCATTGGCGTGACTTGATCCAAAAGGGGTAGGACCTTGTTTTAGCACCAGTGGGTCTGTTAGCATGGGGCTCCGAGCTTGTGTCAGGGCTTGTCTCCCTTCACATTTATCTATACCATCATCAATTACCCCTTCTCCTTCTCCCTTGTCCAACTGGTAAGCTTTAAGTTCTTTCTGAATGTTGGTGGGAATTTTTTATTGAAAAACAAATGGTCCAACCATATCCTTTTATATAACACAAGCTTTAAAAAAGGAGAGTGTATATGTGTTTCAATCTTATAATTTCATAGTTGATTTGTGGTATCTTTTGGCTCCAGGAAGGCATTTTAAGAATCCTAGTTATCCAGTAACAGGCTCTGAAATTGAGGCAATAATTAATAGCCTACCAGCCAAAAAAAATCCATGACCAGACAGATTCACAGCCGAATTCTACCAGAGGTACAAGGAGTAGCTGGTACCATTCCTTCTGAAACTATTCCAATCAATAGAAAAAGCTTCATCCATGTCCCTACAAAGGACATGAACTCATCCTTTTTATGGCTGCATATTCCAATCAATAGAAAAAGAGGGAATCCTCCATAACTCATTTTTTGAGGCCAGCATCATCCTGATACCAAAGCCTGGCAGAGACACAACAAAAAAAGAGACTTTTAGACCAATATCCCTGATGAACATCGATGCAAAAATCCTCAATAAAATACTGGCAAACCGAATCCAGCAGCACATCAAAAAGCTTATCCACCATGATCATGATAGATTTACCGTCTGGTAAATTCTGTCTGTCAGTGTTCGTGATGGTTGTTTTCAAACTCACAGGATTATGGTAGCTTGATACAACCACCTTGAGAAGAATAAATAATGGTTTTTTTAGTGAGTAAATCTCATATTTAAGAATTCTGCATCTCCAAAATACCACCCCCAAGTTTTCCTCGAGCCTTTTTTCTACCCTAAATACAACAAAGAGATAGAACACAAGTTCACCAGTAACCATGGCTCTCTGTGACAACGACTTTGCAGATTCCCTTAAGGGAGCACTTTCATTCCTAGAATATTTGCCCTGATTTACTTATGTAGTTGTTTTATAAAATAATCATACCCATGATTATTAAAATGACTAAAATTAATAGAAGGATTGTTATCCCAGCATCTTTCTTCTCAGCCAGTCCAGGGTTAGGGCTTCAGGTTCAGATCAAACCTCAATACTTGTAGAAGGCAAAGCTGCAATCCAAGTAATTTCTGTCTCAGAAGATTTTATTTCTTTTTTGTGGGGGAGATTTTTCATCTCCACTTCTTACTTCTCAGCTACCCCCTAATCATTTTATGTCCCAGATTAGCCCAGAGCAACCTCATTGTATAATACCATCTGACCAGTGTCTGACCTTCCTAAGGAGTTCGTCTCACTAATGTCATCCTACCTCCTTTACTGAAACTATAACTTGCCAGATCATCAACATTCTTAGCCAAATTGTGTATCCCATATCCATTTCCTTAAGATCTTGTAGATAGTCAGTAAGAGACTTAGTAAACCAATACACAGTAAGGTTACAGGGGCAATATCTTATAGCTCTTAAGAGTATGTGATTTAAAGTCAAACTGTAGTAACTGGAACTTTGTAAGGGCTCAATAAAGCAGAGCTATTATTATTGGATTGTTATTGTTATCAATAACAACAGCAGCAGCAGCTATACTGCTAGTATACTGACCGTCTTCTCCAAGTAGTATTGTTTTTCTAGAGGCTTTCAATGATTTTTCCCTTTAAAGGGAGGATTGTGAAGTTTCTGTTTCTAGCTTCGCATTAAGGGTACGGTCTTGTTGAGATTTTTTTCAATCCTTCTAATACCTCTCCTGTCCTGTACGGAAGGCTAGGCCTGCTCATGTTTATTGGGGTCTCCAGCCTGGATCAGTTACAAGCTGCAGGAAGGGCTGGAACATCATATGGCAGATAAAGACCTGGCTAAGCCAGGTAGCCTAGAGTGTGGCCACTTCAAGTCTCCTTACTTCCTCTTTTCTCAAGAGCCCTAAGCTCCAAAGCTGAGATTCATTAGGCATCCTTAAGCTCCATGTAGGATGAGCAGACAAGAAAAGTAAGGAGTTTCCTTTCTCTAACCCCAGGAATTTTGATATTCCACATGACAGAGTTTTCAAAAAAAGAAGAATCCTTTCTAATGTGTGTGTGTGTGTGTGTGTATGTGTGAGCAAGTGTTGGACAAATGTACACCACCCCCTCTTAATCCACAAGAGCTAGCACAGGAATTAGCATCTGAGCCACTTACAAGTGGAACTAGCCTAGTGGTGATAAAATTCCAGAGGGAGCCATTGTTCCCCACTGGTTAAGATTGATTGTGGGCCTTTCCCGTTTCTGGTGTAGTAACTAGAGCATCCTCATCTACAAGGATGCTAACACTAAGCCATGTTCCAAGAACTAATGCTTTGCTGACTTTGGCTACTACATTGCACTGGCTCTAAAATAGAACATATTTCTCAAGTGAGCTAATGCCTATTTACCACTTTGTTGTAATGTGTAATTATCATAAATGACACTTAATTGTTTAATTACTAGACCAAAGAGTAGATAAGAACTTGCTGCAAGGAAGCTATAAGACCAATCCTCTCTCTATATAAAAGGTATATATATTATATATGCATATGCACCATACATGTTCATACATATCTACAAGTATTTTTATTTGAGTGTTTATGTATAAATCCATACTTGCACATATTTTCAACATCCCAGATTGTCATGGGTTTGATTCAGTGGTCATACAAATGGACTGAAGGAGAGATGCAGCCAAAATAAAGAAATGGTTTGGTTGGCTCAAAATGTGAACTCCCTTTAAACAAGGCTGCTTTAGTAACAGTGTTACTACAGCGTGTTACTAAAGACCACTCTGTTGAGCAACATTGATCTTGTCCTCTTGTTGCTCTCCTCTTTGAGAAAGTAATTCGCAATGTGGGGAGAACCTAAAGTGATTGGATTGCATATAGTGCCAATTCCATGTGGAGAGAGGGTGGGCTAATCGGAATAAAGTTTCTTAGCTAGAGTCTAGTACTTACACAAAAGACAGGCTGATCCTTTGAGGAAACTTAAATCCCCTCTGTGACTTGTGACACATAGTTCCTGCGGGTCTTAAAGGAATGCTGACCTCCCTTTTCACATGAAGAAAAGATATATAAGACCTGAGAATTTCAAAGCAATTCCAGGAATGTGCTATTCTTATAACCAAATCACAACAAACACTGTTCCTTGTGGACCCTTTCCCAAATACAGTCACTGTAGGCTTCAAGCAGTCATTCCAGCTTACAGTGGCTAATAGTAACAGCTCCTTTTGATTAAGCACTTACTACATTCCAGGTGTTAGGCTAAGTGTTTTACCTGTATGCATTCTACTTATTTCTCGCAGTTACATGCTACTCTTATCTGCATTTTACAGGCTTGGAGAGGGTAAGTCACAAGCTCATTGTCACACAAGTAGTAAATGGCAGAAGCAGAATTTGGACCCAGGCAGTCAGACTCCTGATCCCATCACTTTAACCACCAACCTATACCAGTACACCTTGCATTGGTTTGGAACTCTTAGTAAAGGTTTCAAAAACTCAGAATAGATTAGGGAAAATACAACAGTTTCCATGAATGTTGAGTGTTCTCAGTGGCTGAAGAAAAATATCTACCAAGAAAGTGAAAACAGCAACAGAGGTTCTGGTGAAACCAGTGGCTCATTGTGACTTAATCCTTAGGAACAAGCCAAGACTCCTGTTTCCCCCTGCCTGGTGCTGACTGCTGCAGTAGAAGCAGCGGCGCAGTGCAGGTTAATTGTTGGGTAAGTGTGTTTAGCAGCTTCCACTCCTGGGGCTCATTAACCACAAAGGCGACAAACATCACAGAAATGGTATAAGTCACCTAGAGAAAAACTGGCTAGCAACACCAGGCTCATGCTCCCAAGCCCAGAGGTACATTACATGTTTCCTTCAGAGGAATCTTTTAGTGTTGTCACAAAACTATCAGAGCTGTTAGAAAAAAAAGACAGTTGAATCTTTATATTTCCTTAGCTGCCTGGTACCATCATGTGTGTACTACATATTTTGAAAAGAGGCTTGAGATGTCATGAAACCCACAAAGTATTTTATAATTATTATTTTGTATAAAGTCCTCCCTAATTGTCCTCCTAATGTCTGAGATGACTCTACTCGTTTGAAAATTGCTTAATTTGCCAAAGGACATTTTATAAGACATAGGCCTGCAAAGCTAGTCTTACCTCTGAGGAAAGAGAGAAGAATGCACTCTTACATGTTTTGAGGAAAGGGGATTTTTGTGTATTCCTTCAACAAAGTTATTTGGAGCAGCTGTTGTGTCTAAGTAACTACTGGGAGGCTAAGGAAATTAGAGGAATAGATGGTATGGTCCTTTTCTTGAAGAAGGCCAGAGTCATATCTGCAATAATCAGAACAGGACTGGCTGCCATATAGATATGTTTGATGCACGTCACCATCTTGCGTGGGCCATCCTCAATCGTTACCCCCACTGAAGTCCCTTCTGCCCTCAAAAGAAACAAGCAAACACAAACAAATAATTTGAGGAGAAAAAAAATCAAAGATAGAATACCACAGAAAACATTTAAAGTTCAACTTATTTTAGAGCCCAAGATTCCAGACTCATTTTGATGTATGGATCATCTTATGGTAGCTTGTTGATGAAAGTGAAAGTCATGAAAATCAGAATTTCTAGAAGGAGAGAAAAGATAAATTAGCTGCATGGTGCATACTTTTTGAGTAAATCTATTAGATTATATCTCCAGATCTGCTGCTTACCTGCTATAGTAACTATATTTTGCAGCCACTGTGAGTTTTCATTTTCTTCATATGGGTCTAACAGTACCTGCTCTGCCCGCCTGGGAAGGTTTATATGAAAATAAAATGAGATATAAAATATAACATACTCCATAAATGAATTATTTTTGGAGGGAATACTGGGTGAGAGGATGAGGCTTTAGCCTTCAGTTAATTTTTCTTTAGCAGTTCATTTGTTTGTTCAGGTAATATAGAAATAGAGAGTAATGCCAAGTGATTTCTTACCTCAGAAGCTGGAAAGATCTTTATCAAACCCCTGACATGCATCACTTAGGATCCTTTCTGTACTACCTGCTTCTAACTCCAGCCACTGCTGTGGTGACAGTTGTGCACAGGTTCTGATAAAATTCACCCTGACAGTGATGTACTAAATGCCCTGACTTTGCATCTTACTCCAAAAACTTCTATGGTAATACAGAAGTTTAGAGCACCACAGGACTCTGTTAGGTACCCATGCAAATACCTGAACGTGCAAGGGAGTTAGCATCCCCATGAGATGAAAATTTGACCCATGGGAGGCAGGAGCCCGTGGATTAATTTATTTTCCCTTTCTCCCGCTAGAGAGACTGCCCTGAGAAGCAGTTATAGGTCTTCTCAGAGGATGGTCTTGCAACATCAAGCAGTAAGTTGAGCTTAGCAACAACTAGCTTGATCAGCATTCTTGCATTTTCTTTCACTCTTTGCTGCTTTTGTAATCCGTATTCCTCATTCTGGGTTATATGCCCTAATAAGGTAGTACAATGTAAATCTTTGGTTCAGGCTCTGCTTTCTGGGGAGGCAAGACTAAGACAATTAATGCCGAATGACTTCAGAAAGCAGCTCCTCAGGAAGGTATTTTGTACCTGGGTTATAAAGGTCCCATTGCTGGGGAGGTGTAGTAGGGATAATACTAGCATGTAGTAGCATTATAACTAAGACTTTCACCCGTGGTTAATTGGGTTGAGGTGCAGGTGGCAAATGGAGGGGCCATCATGGTTAAAAGCATGGATAAAATGATAATTATAGAAAGGAGATGACTGCTGTTAACTACACTGGAAGTCTTGGAAAATTTTTTAAAAAAGACCCAGAGAAGTCGACAGTCAAGTCAAGCCATGCTATGAAAGTCAGAGATCCTCTATGGCAGCTGCAATGGAAACTGTCATCTCATCGGAAGCCGATCGAAATCCAGAAAGACACAATCCTAAATGCCATAATCCTGAACGTTGAAATCCTGTAAGAGCAAAATCTCAAAAACATAATTCTGGAAAAAATAATTAAAAATTCTTTAAAAGATATGTATTTGCATTGTTGAAAGGAGATTTATTTGAGAGACATATAAAAACATTACAGAACATTTCATAGATTATTTCACACAATAGAATAGAATAGAATAGGTAAAAATAACAAATATTTTTGTAAGCACAAACACTCAGCTATACTAATGTTACATAGGTGTAACAGTTATAAGCAGATGAACCATATTCATTAAGAACTAGGTCAAAAAGGGAAATGTATGAACACATATCACTATGATCAGTAAGTGCGTGCAACCAGATTTATATCTGCAGTCATCTGAAATACTGTGACAGATAATCTAAATCTTTTGATGAGATCAATCAAAAACCACAGTGGGTCACCCACTGCATATGCAGTCACCCGAAGAGCTGAGATCTTGAGAAATTTTATTTTTCACAAGCATAGATACGCTAAAAGGGTATCTCTTCATTTATTGAGGAAGTTTCGATGTTTTTATGTAGACCTACAATGCTTTCACACAAAGTCAGCATTGTGATAAGGCACTTTCATTTTTTTGTGTCAAAAACGCATAAAATGAATTAGAACTCTAAAGTCTCTACACAATTTATATCTCCAGTATTGAAAATGATGAGAAAATGAAATATGTAGCATAGAGAATGGTAAAAAAAAAATGCTGATTGTAAAAAAAATGCTGACAATTTAAACTAGTTTAAAAAAACTAAAAAGAAAAGAAAAGAAAAAAAGACTCCCCCCAAACCAGAAAATTCTGATATATAAAAAAGTGCATTACAGGGAAATCTGGCTTTCAGGACTTCAACATTCAGAATTTTAATGTTTTGGGATTGTAATTTTTAAGATTTTAGATGTTTAGATTATGGGCAATTGCACAGAGGTAGTCCATAAGAGCTGACAAACTTTTATGATCAGGAACTATATTTTGAATTCTTGCATCATGATGAATAGCTGCTTTGTTTCCCTTTTTTTTTTTTTAGGGCAGTATTCTCCTTGGAGAAATGTTCACATTCTTTTTCTACATGGACCTGCTATTTTTGAAATTCTTCTATATGATTAGCTGTACATCAACATGAACGTTCCCTGTTAAATTTTCCCATCTTCTGTGCCATTATTCTATGCTGTTTTGGGTACTCAAAATTCCATTCTGAATACACTCATATTCAGACCGCAAATTCGGTGAAAGAACTGGTGATCAAACAGCAACACTGTTGCATAAGTGTCTTCTTATCCTACCATGAACATAATTATTTTTGAACCAGTTAGTAACTTCCCTAGCTTCTTCAGGCAAATGTGACTTTTATTAAAAGCTCCTGGAAAGTCATAGATGAAAGGAATGTCAATGCAGGAAAGTGATGCACTTTGGAGCTGAAGTTTTCGTTGTTGCCATATCATGTGGCCAATCACTTGTGTGAATTTTTCCCCAAATGCAAATAAAGACACAAAAGGTAATAGTTCTGCCTAACATGATGCAACTAACATGATGTAACTATCCTGCATACAACCAAAAATGCTCTAATCCCTTCCCTAGAATCTGGCTTTCAGGACTTCAACATTCAGAATTTTAATGTTTTGGGATTGTAATTTTTAAGATTTTAGATGTTAGGGATTTTGATCTTTAGGGATTTCAAAATTTGAGATTATGACATTTATTTCAAGATTGTGTCTTTTGGGATTATGATCCCGATCCATTTCATGGAACCACAGAGAAGACCATGCTAAAAATCAAGCCCAGGATTTAACTGTAAAAGTACACAACCACAAAGGAGAGTGAATGCACAGGTTCAACAGATCTCCTATATCAAAGTCAGGACCTCAATAAGAAAAGAGTGGATGGGAAAATTTGGGTGAACCAGCTGGTAATCTTGAACTACCAGATTCCTGTAAACCCTCCTCCTAGGGCCCTTCTTGGAGGAGAGCAGTGGCTGCCTGCCTGGAGACTGTTCAAGGACTCCCCTCTAAAGCAGGTGCCTCATAAGATAATTGTCTCTTTGAGATCTGCCTCCAGTATTCCTCATTCCCTCTAGACTGTTGACCAAGGAGAAATCTCAGCCTAGCCTAAGCACCATTTCCGGAGGAAATAGCTTGCCTGCCAAAAGAACTGCAGAAACTAGTTCAAATGATCTGGTAAGAGTAGAGGGCTTTATACGTGGAACTGGAGCTGGAGGGTCTTGGACTGGGGTGAGGAAATCAGAATATGAGGCTGGACAGAGGAAAGTTTACTAACATGGAGGCACCTAGCCATGCTCAGAATTTGATGCCCTATAAAGATCCCCTGGAGCTCATCCTAATTGTCTGTTGAGATGTGTCTTAAGACTTGGTAAAGAGAATGTTTACATCAACTGCTATGGTAGAAAATCACCTTCCCATCACCCTTTTTCCAGACCTAAATCAGCTCATAGATCCAGATTTCAGTGATTGATGTGGAAGCCAGGATCCCTTGAGGAAGGACGGTTCCATGCCACCACCAGTATATATAGTACATCTTCCTTTGATTCTTTCCCCAAATGTACTTGCAGCAGGGTAACTTTGCACTGTTGGAAGGGGAAAACCCAGACTTTTCAAAGGCTGTTAGGTAAGGAGTTGGGGCTGAATGATACCAAATGAACTGAAATACTATCAAAGATCTCTGGTTAGAGTGGGAGCCCATCTGGACACAATGAGAACGGAATTTTGGGCCAAGTTTGCTTCACAGTGTGTTAGTGTTCACAGATCTGTCCTGAGGTTATTGCCCACATCCTGAGTGTGTGTAACTGAGTTAAATATATTTATCAGGTGATAGAGCCCTCACACTTGTTCCCAGATTTGTAGTATAAGGGATATTATGAGGGAAGGGCCAAGTAGAAGTCCCTGAAACTGCCTCTATCCCCATCTAAGACCATATATCAGAAGCAACACTGCATGCCAGGAGGAATTGCAGAGATTAGTGACACAATCAAACACTTGAAGAATACAAGGGTGATGGTTTCCATCATATCCCTGGTTCAATTTTTTCTGCATGCTCATTTATGGGCATACCTAGCCCTGGAAAATCCTGAGAGCTCATGGTGGATGATGGTGAATTATCATAAACATAACCAGATGTTAACGCCAATGGTATCTGCTGTGCCAGATGTGCTATCTTTACTGCAAGTGGATTAGCAGGCCTCTGGTACTAGGTATGTGATGATCTGGCAGATGTGTCTTTCTCAATGCTCATAAGGAGGAAGGATCAAAACAGCTTACATTCACGTTGTAGAAACAACAACTCATTTGCAAAATTTGTGTTTTCTGTCCCCACACTCTAAGGTCCTGGTTTCCACTGCAGGGCTGAGAAGGGGAAGAGTCTTTTCCGAAACCAGGTGCACAGAAAGGGCTCCACCAAATTCGAAGCTTCAACTACCACATTTAGGCTCCTTGCGCTAGTGGACCAGAAGGCAAAGAAATGAATTACTATATTGGCAATGGTAATCAACCCTGACTAATATGGGGAGCTAGAGCTGCTGCTATACAATGCAGACAGGCAGGAGTATGTCCCGTATCAATGAGATGCACTTAATGGCAGCTCTTTTGATTACACATACTCATATCGGCTCCTCCTCCTTCCCTGCTTCATTCTGGTTGTCCCTCCCTGCATCTCCCTGAAATTGCACCCCCTAACAAAATAGTAATACAAAATCCTTTGCCTTGGGCTCCACTTTCAGGAAAACCCAGGCTCAGGCTGCTGTAACACTCATAGGTTCAAACGTACCTGTTGCACTTAGAGAACACATATACCAGACATTTTACATATTTCATTTCACTTAACCTTCACATCAATCTTGAGAGGTAAAATAATTATTTCTGTTTTACAGATAAGGAGACAGGATCAGCTAAGTCCAAGGACTTTCCAGAGGACCACCAGTTTATGTGTAGTACAGCCAGGTTTTGAATCAGGAAATGTCCAACTCCAAAGCTCAGTCTCTGTCCTCTATATCTCATGGCTTAGGTCAGCAATAATAAAAATGAATGCTCAGAAAGAAGACAATTCCTCCTCTTATGTCACTCTGACATAATCCCCTTTGCATTATTAGTGGTTGGTGTTCACTTCAAGATTTTGTTTTTCTTTTTAATTTAGTACACACTGTATTGTTTAACAGGTAAGTACTGTAGGAAAGTTGAAGGGAACAATAGATTATTTTCCAGGAACCTACTTAGGGTTCTATCATTCTGAAATGGGTGATAGAGGAAATTGGAGTATCCTCCTTTTTAAAAATCAGGATTTAAGAAGTAAATACGAAGATAAAGTACAAAGTCAACTCATTAAAATATTTTCTGTTTCAGAAAATAATTTGTTTTAAAATAAATTCAACACAATAAGCGGCATGAAAGAAGAAAAATGCAAAACCTTGTTATATAATTTCAAGTTTGATTATGTCACCAAATAAACTAAATGGCAATAGAGTAGAAAGAAATATAATCCAGAAAGGAAGTGAGAAAGGTTAAAGAAGTCAACAGTAATTAAATGGTGACCGAAGCCAAATGGAAATAGATCTGTATTAGCTGAAGGCCATTCCTGTCTTTTAGAATGTTATGCATCAGTGAAGAGAGAAAAGAAAGGTTTCTGCTATTTTGACATAAAAATATGTCATTTCTGAGTCAAGGTTGCTAATTCAAGAAAGCAGTAAATTCTCAGTACACACATTTTAATAATCCACACCTGCTGGCAGGTATTGAAATAGATAAGATCCTGTAATAAGTCTCCGTGGGGCTATAAGTCATAAGAACTTCATTTGTTACTGGCTGTTTACCCTTGTGAAAGCTTAAGGCAGATTGACTCAATCCAATGCAAATAGAGGTGAAAGTGACAGCTCTAGCTATTAGCTGATATAGCCTCTGATGGATGGTCATCTGTCCCCAGGGATGTATCTGCTCAATAGGGACTCAGCTGACAGCAGGAGGCTGAAAAAACTTGTGCTCTACTTACAATTCTGTCATGGTGTTGCTTCTGGATATTAGGGCTTTCTGATTTAACGTATCTAATAGGAAACAAAGCTGAGTGATGTTTATAATTTGTATTATGAATGCTAACATTACAGTCAATCATTATTATAAATTATGAAGACAGTGACTACCATTAATTCAGTGCCTACTTTATTCTGGGTCTTTAAAATTGCCGTACTTACAACACTGCAAGGTAAGTGTTATTATTCTCACTTTCTACATAAGGAAAGCTCAGAAGAAATAAGCAACTTGCCTAAGACAAAGGCTGAGATAATTAAGTTAACCTACATTCCTCTCTGTTTTGTCCATTATACAACGTGGCTGCTGATTCTCTTCCAGGAGTCTAGATAAGCATGGGCAGACTTCAGTAAAAATCTTACATGTTATGGAAGACATATTACCGAGTGGAGTTAATAGGCATGCTTGGAGTGGTGAATAAACAAGATTTAGGTCATTGCCATAGAGCATGGCTGAATCAACAATAACAGCAACAAAAATAAGAGTTGATTCACTGTGATATGTGGGCCACAATCTTTATGAATTGATGGAAAAAATGCACGGTCAATCCTAGAAGGCCACTCATTCATTGAACATACATTTGTTGAGTATGTTCTAGGTCCTAGAGTTGTGCCAGGTGCTGGAGTTGAGGAAAGTAAGAAAAAGTTAATACAGTTCTCAATGACATAGCTAGAAGGAGTTCTGATAGTAGTAGTACTCATCAAATCAGAATGTCGTTGTGCTTATGGTAACTCCTCTAATTTTTAGCAGTCAGTCCAAAACAGATGGTGGGATAGGGCAAGTATTTTAACCTGAATAAAGTTTCTAGATCAACATTTTGATTCTCAAGGTAATTCTTGGCTGAAAGCACCTGGAAGTCTAGGTTCTCTTTATAGACTGTCATAGAACAAACACCGTGGCAGAAACTGCAGTTTATCACCAAGCCTATCTCCTCTTCTTTCTGGGCACATGATTAGAACACATTTCCGAACCTCCCTTACAGTTGGATGTGGACAAATGACTGAGTTTTTGCCAGTAGGAAGTCAGTGAACATAATGGGCACCATGTCTTCCCCTGGTCCATGGACATTCTCCATGGAGCTTATCTCCATGTTTCTTCCCTGGTCTCCATCTTAATGCAGATGAGCCTAGTGACCCTAAAACCACATGTTAAAGATATCAGAGCCATACATAGAAAGAACCTGTGATGCTGAGTGGCGACTTGGAAGGCCACCCTTCTTGGAATCCCACATTGAACAATTATATGAGGAAGAAATCAAGTTAAGACACTGAAATTTTGGGAGTTACTACAGCAGTTAGCATTACTTTAATACAAATACTAACATATGTATTTGACAATATTTATTTGGGCACTATTACATATTTAATTTCCTCTTACTTAATTCTAAATCAACAAGCAGATAATATGATTCTATTATTACATATAGGTCCCCTAATTTCAATAGTCAGTAATGCATGAGATATTTCACATCACATTTCTGAGATTTTCTCTCTCTCTCTTTTTTTTTTTTAGGGGATCAGTAAAGATCTTTTTTTTATATATATACTTTAAGTTCTAGGGTACATGTACACAACGTGCAGGTTTGTTACATATGTATACATGTGCCATGTTGGTGTGCTGCACCCATTAACTCGTCATTTAACATTAGGTATATCTCCTAATGCTATCCCTCCCCCCTCCCCCTGTCCCACAACAGGCTCCGGTGTGTGATGTCCCCCTTCCTGCGTCCATGTGTTCTCATTGTTCAATTCCCACCTATGAGTGAGAACATGCAGTGTTTGGTTTTTTGTCCTTGCGATAGTTTGCTGAGAATGATGGTTTCCAGCTTCATCCATGTTCCTACAAAGGACTCACTGCTGAGTTGTTGTTTCTTTGGACATTTATGTTGTTCTCCACTAGGTTTAGATGGCAAGCAAATAAGTTAATCAACATTTGGGTATTTTAAAACATGACAGAAAAATATTAGGTTGACAACTTAAAGTTGATGGCTAATGAAAGAGAAATTCTGTGGCCTGGGAAAAGGCTTTCAAGTATTTTGTTTTGACTGCCTCAAACTAATGAAAGGAAAGAACACCAGCATCCTGGAGAAACATGGTAGGGACTAGCCTGCAGGAGCAGAATGTGAGATCCCTTGACTGAATTCTGAGCATCTCAAAGGAAATGACGCTGTTTCCTCAATTCGTTTAAAGATTTGACACAAAGAAAGCTAAGCCAAGTTGCCAGGTAAGCCAAGTCACCAAGTGAAGAGCAAGACCTCCTCGCCCCTTCCAAATTGAAGGCAGCCAGGTGTGGCAAAAAGAGCATGGACTTTGGCATCAAACCCTTCTTTGAATTTTCACTCTTCCACTTGCTGCAGTTTCTTTTAACCACCTTGAATTTCAGTTTTCTCACCAGTAAACAGGGAGTGATAATATCCACCTCTCGAAAACCCTGTGAGGGTTAGAGACAAACTTTTCGAAGTGCTAATGAATAAACTATCTCTAAGTATGGTAATTAGTATGAGATTTATTATTAATTCCTTGTCCTATGTTTGTAAAAAGCACATAAAGAAAGCTTGAACCATTTGCACCAAGGTACAATATAAAACAACTAAACATATAAGCTACTGATTTTACAGTTTCCTTTTCTCATTTGTGCCATAGCAAAATGTAGTTCATTTTATTCTGTGTCATTCAATAATTATGGCAAAATCATGGCAACCATTGCTAATAATCTCTTAGAAATGCTATTCAACAAATAGTTCTCAAGTGGCTTCAAGACTCAACACTTTGTGCTGGTTTCTAAATATGATGAATCCTGCATTTTATTTGGTTCTCAAGGGTTATTTGTAACCCTCTATTGTCAGCAAGATAAGGATTACCCTCTCTCAGGAGAACAGAGACTTTTTCTTTTTAACCTTTTAAAGAACTACTTCTAGGACCATTGAGAGATAAAGACATTTGTTGCTATACCACTATAACCTTATTCAACTCTCAGTATCCCAGAGTGATGAATAGCACACAGAGTAAATGAGCATCTTGTAAAATACTTAGAAGCAATAAGTGGAAGTTAATTTGTGTAATGTGTATATTTAATTATTTGAAATTTTAGAATAACACTAAACCAATTATTGTAAGAAGTAGCAAAGAATAAAGAAGGGGCAAATTAATGAAAGAAGGGGACAAATAATTAACTTTATTTTTGCTTGTCATGAAGTGAATATATTCTAATATTCCCATGACCTGAAGCTTACCACAGACAGTATGTTTGGTTTGGGCATAGTGTAATTTTAGAATGTAAGATTTCTTGTATTGTGGTAATTTTAGAATGCAAGCTTTCTCAAGGCTGGGACTGTCCAGTCTTGCAGATGCTTTAAGCTCTCATTAATCAAGGCTTATTCTTTGATTATCCCAATACTTGTGCCATGCCAACCTTGTGGTGGACTATCACCATGATTATCATTAATCCTTATTACCAAAAGGATCAGGTTAGACATCCTTTTCATCCCCCACCTGCCCGAATTCCATCCTTGACCTGCTGAAGAAAAACAATGAAGATAGGAAGCTCTAGTAGGCAGGTTTGTAATACCCAGGCAATATATCATATTAGCAGTAATAGAAACTCCTGTCTTGCCTCTCCCACAAACTACTTGGAAAGGCATTTCTGCTGTACATCTCTTTGGAGAGCAGTGGTGATCTAAAGAAATGCTTCCTCTTGAAAGAACCCTTTTTATTCACAGTGGAATACTCTTGAATTTTGCAGATCATCAAACATACAAAAAAAGGTTTTTTTTTTTAATAGTTGAGGAAATAAGCCTAAAGAAAATGTGTACCTAATCCTATTAGCTGACTTAATATAGAATTATTAAAAGCCTTGATATACAGGATTTAACACAATCTTTCTAGCAGGGTGTGATGTAATCTGTTTTTGTTCCTCAGCTAGCAGATGGCTTACCTTTAAGTAATTTCCAATATGTTAAGAGATCAAAAGCCATCCTCTTGCCACCGAGGCAGTAATCGTTCTTCTCCGCTGGGGGTTGCTTGGTCCTGTAGTAAGGATATGCAAAGGCTCCTGGCATTTCCAAAGATAGAAGGGCGACATTTCTTCAGACTTTGAAGTTAATAATCCTTCAGAAGTTGAAAACTGAGGGATTTTTCAAAACTCTTTTAATGTTCTATATGCCATGTGTGAAAGTAAATATCTGTAAGAAATCACTGAGGGTTGGTGCGATGCTTGGAGGAGTGCTCTGCAACCTCGCGTGTCATGGACTGGCACAATCTCTTATTGCTCAAGTGTGGAGAGATTATGCTCCCATCGAGTAATGTTCTTTGGAGGACGTGATTTCCGCATTGACTGTTTGAGAAGGAGGCTGGAAATTCATCGAATTTTACATTTCAATGGGCCATTGTTGAGCTCACACTACTGCAGTACCGACAGGCCTAGCCTTGCAATCAAGACATGACTCTTCCTAAGCTTGGAAGCTTTCATCTGCATCCTCCAGCATTTGTCTAG
The DNA here is from genome assembly GCF_000001405.40 of Homo sapiens. Classification (NCBI taxonomy): domain Eukaryota; kingdom Metazoa; phylum Chordata; class Mammalia; order Primates; family Hominidae; genus Homo; species Homo sapiens. The sequence goes on from NC_000007.14 coordinate 91,421,301, forward strand.
TTGTTGGAAATGATCTATTGGTGAAGAATGTGGTAAATTTGCATTGGGGATTCTATTTGATTTTCTCCATGACAGAAAAAAAAAGTTTTTTATTTTAACAGTTTAATATGCTCCTGATAGATCCAGAGCACAAAGCATTTTGCAAAAATCAAATTCAGATTTTCATGACATGCTGAGTCATAGAACCCTGCTGAATTTTGAGTTCAGACAAGCCTAAGTGTCTCAGGGTTTGTTACCACCTTTGCTCAAGGCTCTTGCTTTTGATACAGAGAGGTTTCATTTTATTTCCCGGACCAGTTATTTTCAGACTACTTAAAATAAGAGAAAACTCTCAGTAGGAGAAGATATTCCTAGGCATACAGGAGGCCTAAGTTTGGCTCTTCCCCTTAGAGATAAAACAGACTGTTTAAACGTATGTAGTAGGCTGCTCTGCTATTACCCCCTCTTCCTTCTTACTGTTTTGGTTTACACATTTGATAGTTGGGAATTTGCCAGGCAACATCTAGTAGTAAATGAACATTTAGTAGTCATCAAAAGAGATACAAGGAGAAAATATGAAATAACTCCAGAGATGTGAAAAAGCCTGCAGGCACCAGGTTTCATTTGGAAAGGAGATATGGGTAAATGGCCTGCAGATAATCAAAAGGATGAAATGCAAACTTGAAATACCATAATATCATTTTACCCCTACACAGAAAACCATGCACGAATGGAGAGAACATATCTTCCCAAAATAGACTCGCTGACCTGTTTGGAGTTAGAAGTAATATTTGCTCTTTGTTCTAACCTGCAGCCTAAAAGGAACAGTAATATTCCTTTACAATCTCAGAAGATTCCACCTCTACTATTCTGCAATGTATTTTCCTGTTTACACTTTTCTATTACTTTTGGTCTCCTGAAATAATTGATCTAAGCAATAAAATAAAAACACTTCATATCAAAAGCAAGGGCTAGTAAGAGTTGGTTGTATGATTTATAAAGATTCTTACACAAATCCTCCAGTTGTACATTGAACTTATTCCCTTTTTTCCAGACTGGTCTCAACCCAACTCCTCCCCATTCTGTCTGGGATCTCTTTTCCTGTGCTTAAAAACCATGGTTATGTCTCTGTTTTCTTCTCTTCAGGATGAATGGATCCATAATTTCTTTAACTTATTAATTTTTGAGACAGGGGCTCACTCTGTCACCCAGCCTGGAGTGTAGGGGTGTGATCATAGCTCACTGCAGCCTCAAACTCCTGGGCTCAAGCAATCCTGCCTCAGCCTCCTGATTTTAGCTAGGACTACAGGCACGAGCCACCATGCCCAGATGATATTTTTATATTCTTAGCAGGGTCTCGCTATGTTGCCCAAGCTGGTTTCAAACTCCTAGCCTCAAATGATCCTCCATCTCAGCCTCCCAAAGTATCTTTAATTTATTGTTATTTAATGCCTCTTGTTTACTCATGGGTCATCTCTAGGTTCATTATATTCTAAGCTGTGAATGAGAATGTAGAATGTGGTAATTCAAGTAGAAGACTGAGACTATGGCAGGCCATGGGTTTGTTCTTTTTTAAGTCGTGTATATAAAAGATAGTTTGACTTTGAATGAAATGTCTAAAACCTAATTATAAATGCCCAAAGAGCCTAAGAAATTGGTAATTTTAGGAAGTCAGTGATTCAATTTGAATGTTGGCCTGTTAGCTTGGATAATAATTGCCCCATCTTCTGAGACTAAGGTAACATAGTCAATTGTCATTGGACTAGGTAAGTGAGATTAGGGGATGGGGTGGGAGGGCAGTAGTCATGGAAAATAAAAATCAAGGATACAAATGAAACTGGAGTTACTGCTCAACTGCTCAGCATTGACATAGTGTGGTTACAAAGTGTCAGGATCTGTAAAGTGCTCGCACCTGAATATGGCTGAACACTTAGAAAATAGTTGCTTAGTTCTTCTACACCCAAAAGAGAGGATTCAAGGCTTGAAGTTCCTGGGCTTCCTGTTGGGAGAACTGAGGATCAGGCTAAGTGGGAGGGTTCTGTCCCCTTTGCTTCCATGGCCTCCTTGCAACCAGAGCAGCTCTGCACACCCCCTCTCTTCATCTTCCACAGAAGTTACAATGAACAATAATTAGCCACTGCCTAATTATTCAGCTCCCCTCTTCCATGGGGGGTGTGTCTCACATCCTAGTTGCACCTGAACCACAATTAATCCATAAATCAGCTAATTTGACACTGGATAATGTCAAATTGATTGTATAAAATATTTGTTGGATAATTGGGCATCTAATTTTTAAACATGAGAGAATTTTAGATCATGCACCAATATGACACACAGCCCACAAAAAAACTGTGATGATTATTAGGGAGTTCTGGGTTCCTTGAAAGGAAAATACTGCATAAATCACAAGAACAGGTCTTTTCTCCTGGCTCCTTGGGACATAACAATATACCCTCTCAAGCAGGGTGAAAAGATATATCCTCTCTAAGTGAGATTACCCTGCAGAGTGCTGACAATCACCTGTCTCCTACCTCCACCTTCTCATATCACAGGCCAGGGAGTGGGTTAATTTTCTGCACCTTGAACTTAAGACTTTGAATTCCTATTCTCATCCCTTTGTTAACATTACAGGAAAAAATCCCTACCTGTAGTGAATGCAGAATCACAGTGCCAAGAAGGATTTTTGGAGCTCAATAAATTCATCTCTCTGCCTTTCTGCAGGACTGTGCCCCTTGCCACCAGATCTAGAGCTCCTGAGATTTTGAGGCAGTGTAGAATGAACACAGGATATCTATGCCTACAGCACACAGTCAAAAACTTAGCCCAGCAGTGAATGCACAGCACTTTCTGTATTCCTACTGTGCCCTGAGTAAAGACTTTTCACTTCATACATCATTCACAACTTGCTACAGGGATTTCACAAAGCCAGTACATACCCTTTACACAAAGAAAAGAAGAAAAAGAACAGACCTGGGAAAGAAAAGAAAAAAGGTGTGTCTGCCGAGTGTAGCATTATCAACAGGGAAATTAACAAGGCACAATGTAGTTGGGGACGTTAATCAAATAAACAAATGGAGTTTCTCATTCTGTTCACACATTTGAAGAAGAAGCCTAAAATATTTCAGAGTCAAACATGGTTAGACAGTTTCATTTCCTCCCTGGGCTCTGGTGCCATGAGGAGCAAGGCAAAAGATGAGGGAAATTGGAAGCTACTTTTCCCCTAGAGAGATCTGGTAAACAGATGCTGAGGTAGTCCCACCATCTGGCTTACAGAATCCTGGGGTCCCAGAGGAGGGTGCCACCTGGAGGTGCTGGAATACTGTTAGTGCTGGGTAGCAGCCCCTGTTGACTGAAGAGGGAGATCCTAAGCACACAGAGGAAGGAATGCCTTCAGTTGAGTCCTCGAATGTCCCAAGCCAGGATTTTTTTCCACAACAAGGTGGAGGGACAGCTTATTTCTTGCTAATCCTTGAGGGATTTACCTTTTTTCCAGAAATGATTCCTTCTGAGCCTTATCATTATTTTCTGAGTAATAAGCACTTCTACTAAACAGTAACTGTAATCTTCCTCCTCCTTCCACAATTCTGTATTATATTATATCATAGTTGGATTTCACAGTAGCTTGACGGGCAGATTTGCATAGAATAAATTAAGCCATAGAGAATTAGAAGAATTAATCAGAGATAGAGTCATTAGTTTCCAAGAAGTGAATTAATTCAGGAAAACCACTGGATATGTCACTTTCGTTGTCTTTTCCTCTTGAGAAATAAAAAATGTTTATTTTTGGAGATTGGCAGAAAAGATCTAGGATTGTAAGCCTGCTTTGATATTACTGAGTCACCTTAGACACCAATAGCTCACTCCATTCTCCTCTCCCCTCACACTCACCCCATCACATTTATGAAGAAATGAAGGGCAAGTTGTTTTCTTTGTCTTGTCTAGAAGCCCAAGAAGCCCATGTTCACTGATCCAGGATTGTCGTTCGAGTTCTAAAAACTAGGTGCTGAGTGTGCAGGGTTCTAGGACAGGTCACCTATTCTTAGCCTACCAGGCCCAGAAGCCCCTCCCATATGGCAATGCAACAGGCTTACAAAGAGCCTCGGATGACAGCTGATCTGGGTAACGTACATGGCCTGTATTTACTGGCCAAGTTCTGCCCCTTTCTTGACTATAGTTCCCCGATCCCTGTCTTTTCTGGCTCTTTTCCCTGGTCTCCCACATCTCCTGATTCCGAGCTTTGGGGCACCTAGTGAGGTCCCTCTTTCTGGATCACTAAATGTAACCCACAGCCTCCCTGATCCCAACTCTGAGCTTGACCCACTTCCCTGACTTCCCACACCCCACAGTTCTGAGCAGAATCCCTCCATTAGACCAGCCTTGGGGGATCCTGTCAGTTCTGATTCCATTTATCCAGAAAAGAAATTAGGTGTTTTTAGGTTTGCACTGAACAGCTGGGGGTTGAGTACAAACCTCTTACAGAACTCTGAGTCCAGCTTCTTTTCCCCACACAAGGGGTCAGTTTGTCCTGCAAAAGCAAACTGAGGACTAGAAGATCTTTGGGGAGAACTGAGTTCATTTATTCACTTCTTTATTTAGTCACTCATTAATTAAATAAATATTTGTTAAATTTCCACTATGTGCCAAGCATTATGTTGGACTTCAAATGCCAGTCCTCCTCATATTTGTACTTCTAGGGAGGATGTGGCTAATGCCTTGCTCATATAAATAACTTTAGAATAAAATCACCATGAAGTATTGCAGTTTTATGTGGCCAACCTGGAATCAAGATGTCTGTTGCCATGACCCAGATGCCAACAACATGTTGCTCCAAAGATCACCATGGCAGCCTGCTTATAGAAAATGTTATGTATAATCCTGGGTCAGAATGTATGGTTTCAGGATAGTATACAATTCCATTATCTCTCCCTTGTGGTTCTCCTAATGATTTTTCTGGGATCTGCCTGCTTCATGAGACCAACAGGACTGACCCATCCCTTCATCATTATTCAGCTTGTGGATTCTAATAGTCACCATGTGTTTGATTGGCTTATCTGCCTCTTGCCTAGAAATTTAGTCAAGAGGAAACCCGTGATCACAAGGTGACAGAAAAGACACTTAAATTATTTACTAAAAGTTGCTGGTTTTGGTTTTCTTCATTTTATGAAAAAAAAAATCAAGACATAGTTATGCCACTGGTAGTCTACAATAGGGCTCTATGCACATTAGGGCTCTATGCACTGTTTCCCTAAGAAGAAACAGAAGCATCACAGTAAAGAATAAAAATCTGTGAGAAGAGGAGAGTAATAGAGTGTATGCACATAAAAACGAGTTTTGAGTATCTCTGTCTGGTAGCTTGGGAAAGTAACAAACAGTGTAAGGTTTAGACATGAATAGGATTCTAATGGTTTCACCGTGGAAACTGTACAATGGACTATTTTCAATGGTACTGCAGGTAGAAACCGACTTAATGACATTTGCTCATAATGGCAATGTAGATTGCATAGTTTGAAAATTGAAGAGAGAAATACTTCAGATTAAAAAGAATTTATAGGGTTTTTATGGGTTGCTTCATTTGATCAGCCATCATTTGCTCAGAAGTCTTTAATAACTCTGTGGTATCTTCAATGAAAAGCTTTCCTCAACAAAGGTAGTGTTACTTTAAAAAGACAACTTTTTAATACTGCCCTGAATGATAAAGAGAACCTATTGAAAATAATTGAAGAACCATAGGCATGTTGCCTTCCTGTGATTGCTAGAGATTTGGAAGAATTTCTGCCCAAATTGGGCTGGATTTGTAAAGATGTCCATAATAGTGTTTGGATTCAGACCAGCTTTTGTTCAAAGCACTGAAACAGCATAAGGGGGGTGTGCAATAGAAGGGCATGATTAGGACAGTAGCTTTTTAACTTTGACAGCAAAGTGGTTCCCCAGAGTCACTGACTACATTTTCCCCACATATGTCAGTGGGGAAAATGCTGGATCATTGGAAAGTAAGCAGATGGCTGCCCAACTTTTTGTGAAATGAGAGGAGGGAAGTGCCACAAAAGCCCAGCAGTCTTCCATCAGTGCTCCTACCAGTGCTACCAATCTAGGTAGATTAACAGGCACATGTGTTTGAAATGTGGGCCATGTTTCATCATTTGTCTTAAAGAAATAGGGCTCTATTTGCCCTGTTTAGAATTGAGTTCACAGTTACAGGGAGCCCATCTGTTGCTCTGTGGGTCTTGTAAAACTTACTTTCCCAACTGAAATTGAATCACACAAATACTCATAAATTGTTAAATCTTCTTTAAGACAACACTAGAATATTCAGAGGCTGGCAAGGTGATTTTCCTCAGAGACAAATCAGAATAAGTTTAATAAAAGAATGTAGCCTCTGGAACCAGACTGCTCAAGTTCAAACCCTGGCTCCACCTCTTATTAGCTGTGGAAATTTACATATTTACTAATAATAAATTAGAATTTATTAAACCACTCTAAACCTTAGTTTCCTCATCGGTAAAAGAGGTTAATAATTGTGTTTACCTTATAGTTTTGTCGTGAGGATTAAATGGAATAATATACATTAAGTGCCTGACCTATAGTGAAAGCTTAGTAAATATTAGCTATAACTATTATTACCAATCATGTGTATCTAATAGCATTAATGCAAAAATAAACACTATCCAAACAGATCCTGTAACTGCAGAAAGAGGAGAGAAAACATAAGGTGGCTGGATACCCCCCAACTTCCCACCACCTTACACAAACAAAGGAAAGTTCTTGACTTATGAACTTAAAAAATAGGTAAATGACACTTTTAGTAACTAAAAAAAAGGCTGAAAATTTTTTCTAGTTATTAAAGAAAAGCTGAAGAATCTAACTCAAGAAGGTAGAAAATGGATCAGCAAAGGAAACTCAAAGAAATGGAAGGAAAGAAAAAAATAAAGATAAAAGCAGAAGTCAATGAAATAGAAAGCAGCATATAACAGAGAGAATAAACCAAGCCAATCATTGGTTCTTAGAAAAGACTAACCAAATTGATTAAACCTCTGGCAAGAGTAATCAAGAAAAAAAGAGAAAGAGAGAAGAAACAAATGACCAGTACAAGGAATGAAAAAAAGAATATTATATCACATCCTGAAGACACTAAATATAAAATGGGAAGATGTGATTAAAATTTTGCTTGTATTTGAAACTTTAGATGAAGTGAATAAATTTCACAAAAAGATAAAATCCAATATTCGTTATTTTAAAAACTCAGAAAACCAGAAATAGAAATAAAAACTTTGATAAAAATAGATGATATAGGTATTATAAAAACCATAGCAAATCATTATAATTACTGGTACAACACTGTAGCTTTTCCTTTGCAATCAGAAACAGATAATGGTAACTGTCCCTTTTTAACTAATTCTATTTAACATTGTGGTGAAGTCCTAGCCAGAGTAGTAAAGAATAAAAAAGTACTTTGTACTGTCTATAATAATATTATTAAGTTATTAAACACTGGAAAATTTATAAAATATAGAAGCGTCATCCAAAAATCAATCGTGTATGTGTATACACACACACATACACACACACACACACACACACACCCCAGCCACATAGTATAAACAATTTTAAAGATACTGCCTAAAATACCATCAAGCCAGGTTCAGTGGCTTATGCCTGTAATCTTAGCGACTCAAGAGGCTGAGGCGGGAGGATTGCTTAGGCCCAGGAGTTTGAGGCTTCAGTGAGCTATGATCATGCTACTGCACTCCAGCCTAGGTGACAGAGCAAGACCCCATCTCTATTTTAAAAAAAAAAAATTAAGAATATCAAGCACCTGGAATAAATCTAACAAAAGATATGCTCAATGGAAAAATTTATGAAATTTTATTAACAGGCATTAAAGAATACCTAAATAGTTATATCACATTAATGGATTCAGATCAATATTGTAAAGAGTCATCATCTCAATCAAAATTTTACTCTGGGTGTATATATGCATGTGTATGTGTGTATATGTAACTTGGCAAGTTTATTCTAAAATATGCATGGAAATGTGATGAGTCAATAGTAGCCTCCTGAAGAAGCACAACATGAATAGATATAATTAACAGCAAAGAATGCAGTAATTAATACAGAGTGATATTGACAAAAGTAGACAAATAGGCCAATGGGAAAAAAATGGAGAGCCTAGAAACAGAACCATGAATCAGCAGACACTTTATTTAAAGTGTCACAAATTCTCTTTTGTGGTAAATGCACAGAAGAGAAAGATGGCATGAAGAATAACGAGGAAGGACAGTCTATTAGTTGTGCTGGGCAGTTGGGTAACCACAGATATGAAATTGAACTCCTAACCTATGTCAAACAGAGAAATCAATTTCAGGTGGATTATAAATCCAAATGTAAAAGGCAAAACAATATAGAATTTTAAAATTACAATAAGTAAATATCTTTGTGACTTTAAGGTACGGGAGGAGTTACTAAATACTGCCAAAAATGTATAGCCATAAAGGAAAATATTGATAAATTTTACTCAAAAGATTAAAAATAAAAAAAACTTATGTCAGAAAATACTATACAGAATGAAAAGAGAAGTGATGGAGTGGGAGAAGATATTTGAAACATATTTTCTGATCAACAAAGAATACTCTTCAAGAATTTAAACACACATGAACACACATGTACAAACTCCTACAAAATAATAAGAAGACAGATACTTAGAAATATGGACAAGAGACTTGACCTGGAATTTTATAAAAGTGGAAATCCAAATGGCCAAGAAATGGATGAAAAGAGGCTCACACTTATTAGTAATCAGAGAAATTCAAATTATACTTACTATGTGATTCTACTACATACCCACCAGAACGGATAAAATACCAAGTTTTGGCAAGAATTTGGAGCAATTAAAAAAATCACATACACTGCTGGTGAGAATATAGATTGGTTCCACCACTTTAAAAATCTGGCAGTATCTACTAACACTTAACAAAAGCATACCTAATTACACAGATATTCCATCCCTGATATATGCCCAACAGAAAATGCATACATATATTCACATACAAGAAGGTTCACAGCAGCACTGTTTGATATAGCCTCACACTGGAAACTACTCAAATACCCATCAAGAGTAAAATGGACAAATTATGTAAATTCACGAAAGAGAATACTATATAGCTGTGAGCATTACGACTACTTGCAACAATATAAATAAACCTTATGAACACCATATTGAATGTAAGAATCCAGACACGACAGAGTTCTTATTGAATGAGCCAATTTATTTAAATTCAAAACAGGCAAAATTAGTCTGTGGTGTTAAAAGTCAAGCTAGCTGTTACTCTTAGGGAGCATGACAACACAAGGGAACCCTCTCTTTCTGGATCTGGGTGCTGATTAAAGGGATAAGTTGAGCTTATGAAAATTTACTGAACTATACATGTATATTTTATGTAATTTTCTATACATATATTTTTCTTCAACTAACTTCCTCCTATAAGATTCATGTAATAAAGATCAATAACTTTCCAATACAGCAGAAATAATGATTTGAATGTGTAATAGAAGAGAGGATCTTGTTTACAATATCAGAAAAAGTACAAAACACCTAGGAACATACCTATAAAATTTTTAAAAATATCTCTAGAAGCAAAATGTTTTCCGAATTTTTTTCTTTGAGATTAATATTTTTTCTTTTTAGTTGACACATAATACTTGTACATATTTCTGGGGTACAGAGTGTTAATTCAATACACATATACAATGTGTAATAATCAAATCAGGTATTAATTAGTGTATCCTCACCTTGAACATAAATAATTTCTCTGTGTTGGGAACATTCAAAATGCTCTCTTCTAGCTTTTTTAACATGTACAATAAATTATTGTTAACTATCTACCCTACAGTGCTATAGAGCAATAGAACTTATTCCTCCTCTCTAGCTGTAATTTTGCATTTGTGAACCAACCTATCCCTTTCTTCCATTCCCCTGACCTTCCCACACTCTAATAACTATAATTCTACTCTCTACTTCTAAGAGCTCTTTTTTTTAGTTCCCATATATGAGAATGTGCAGTATTTATCTTTCCATGCCTGATTTATTTCACTTAACATAATGTCCCCCAGGGTCATGCATGTTGCTGTGAATGACAGGATTTCATTCTTTTTTATGGGTGAATAGTATTCCACTGTGTATAATATACCAAATATTAATGAACATTTAGATTTATTCCATATCTTGGCTATTGTGAATAGTGCTGCAAAAAACATGGAAGTACTAATATATCTTTGATATACTGATTTCCTTACCTTTGGACCAATATCCAGTTAATAGGATTGTTATATCATATGGTAGTCCTAGTTTTAGATTTTTTTGAGAGAGCTTCATACTGTTTTCCATAATAGCTGTACTGATTTGCATTCCCATCAAAAGAGTGTAAGAGTTCCCATTTCTTCTTCCTGGTATTTATTTTTTAAATCCTTTTAATAATAGCCATTCTATTGGGGTGAACAGCCAACAGTGGTGCAATAATATCTTATTGTGGTTTTGACTTGCATTTTCATGATGATTAGTAATGCTGAGCATTTTTTCATATACTTGTTGGCTATTTGTATGTCTTTTTTTGAGAAATATCTATTCAGAGCCTTTGCCCATTTTCAAATCGTATAATTTGTGTGTGGTATTTTTTTGCTGTTGAGTTATTTGAGTTCCTTGTATATTTTTGATACTAGTCTTTTGTCAAATTAATAGTTTGCAAATATTTTCTCCCATTCAGCAGGTTGTCTCTTCACTTTGTGGATTGTTTTCTTTGCTGTGCAGAAGCTTTTTAGTTGGATAGAGTCCCATTTGTCTATTTTTTTTGTTGTTGCCTGTGCTTTTGTAGTCTTACCATAAAATCTTTGCCTTGATCAATGTCCTGAAGCATTTCTCCTATGCTTTCTTCTAGCAGTTTTTGAGTTTTAGGTCTTACATTTAAGTATTTAATCCCTTTTGAGTTAACTTTTGCATATCATGAAAGATAGGGTTCTAGCTTTATTCTTCTGCATATGGACATCTAGTTTTCCCAGCACCAATTATTGAACAGTCCTTGGGTTCCCAGGCAGTGTGGGTGGAGGGGTCGAGGTCACTGTTGGTGGTAGTGGTGGCTGGGGCATGGAGCTCTTAGGATATGGGGGGATGTCAGCAGGACCCCAGGAATGTGGAGATGCAGAGACTATTGAGTCCCAAGGTAGGATGTAGTCTGGCGGTAACTGTTCTCAAAATGGCCCCATGCTATAGCACCCTGGGTACTGGGGCAGAGGAACACAACGTGGATTTTCTTTCTCTCTCTCTCTCTTTCTTTTTTTTTAGACAGAGTCTCGCTCTGTCGCCCAGGCTGGAGTGCAGTGGCGTGATCTCAGCTCACTGCAAGCTCCGCCTCCCACGTTGACGCCATTCTCCTGCTTCAACTTCCCCAGTAGCTGGGACTACAGGCGCCTGCCACCACGCCCGGCTAATTTTTTGTATTTTTAGTAGAAACGGGGTTTCACCATGTTAGCCAGGTTGGTCTCGATCTCCTGACCTCGTGATCCACCCACCTCGGCCTCCCAAAGTGCTGGGATTACAGGCGTGAGCCACCACGCTCAGCCACAAGGTGGATTTCCTATCTAGAAAAACACAGCCACGTGGGCTCCAGGTAACTCCCCGGAGCTCAGGGAGTGTGAAGGCCGAAGGGCTCTCCTCTAGCTAAGATTGCAGGCATCTGTGGTGGGAATGTGGACTGCTGGGGATTTCTCACTCCCTTTTCCCCTACAATGAAGAGTCCCTCTTGGCTCTTAATTCATTCTGGCTGGCTGTTTCACTTTTCACTCTATGCTGCCATCTTGAGTTTCCATGTCTCAGAGGGTCTTTATCACTTCCTTGCTGAATTTCAGTGTTCTCCCTTAGATGATCTATTAAAGGTGTGATTATCTACTCACTGTTTTGGTCCTTCCTCGTGGGGGAAGTGAGTGCTGGGCACCTCTAGCCAGTCATCTTGACGACGTCTCTCCAAAAATTGAGTAGATGAAGATATATACAATGTTCATGAATGAGAAAAACTCCTCGTAGTTCAAGAGCCCAGTCATGGGCCTGCAGAAACTTGTCTGCAGGTGTGTTATGTGGTCCATCACATCATGAGAGAGTAATGCCAGCTCTAGGGCTCAGACTAGGTCATTCTCAGAAAATCCTCATATTCAGCAAAGTGTTGGAGGCCATGGTGGTAAAATATGGGTATTACCTGCATTCTGCTTGGTAAGTACAAAGGGAAAGTGAAATTCTCTGATCAACATCTGTGTCTTAAGGCTGTATAATTTCTACCTCACTAAGTTTTTAAAAAGAATCAAAGTGCATTATTGTCCAGAAATAGCTATCATTTTTGCAGAACCTAAGACAAGGTTATGCCCTGTTAGATATCAAGACAGATATAATGATAATTCCATACCGTTTTAACTCTTTAGTGGTTAAAACGGTATGGAATTATCCAAGGAATAGACAGATCAACAGAAAACAATGAAGGGTTAGGAAACAAATCCACATAAATGATGAGATAGCATATAACACTTCTCTTGGCAGGCCATTCATTAATTTATTTCATAATCGATTTAACTATATTTACTAATATAGGCACAAATTATAAGGTATCAGGCATACTGTTTCTATTCTTGCTTTATCCCCAAATTATAGGGTTGGAATAATGAGTTCAGTTGAAAGAAATACACTGATTGCCACACTGCCTTATTTAATGTGATGTTCACTCTGATGTCAATAAAATATCTATCTTTTCTCTGTATCCTAATGTTTCCATTGGCTTGTTCTATTTATAAAAATTAAATTCAACTATTATTACATAGGATTCCTAAGAAAGAAAATAGAAGTTCATCTTGTAACACTACACTCCCATAAAATTGGCAAAACCCAAAAGTCTGACAATAGCAAATGTAGGTGATGATGTGAAGCAATGACAACCTTCATACAGTCCATGTGGTAGTAAAAATCAGGGCAATTGCTTTGACATTACCTAGTTACATTAAATTTGTGTATAACCCATGGTCCAGCAATACCACTCCTAAGTATGTAGTCTCTTGCATGGGTGCCACAGGAAATATGTATAAGAATGTCTATAGCAACATTATTTCCAAAATGTGGACACTATTTACATTCCTATCAAGATCAGAAGGGATAAATAAGTTGTGGGACAGCATATAATGGAATATCACACAGCTATGAAAATAAAGGAACCTCAGCTACATGCAACTACATGATATCAAGTGATAGAAGCCAGACACACAAAAATATATACAGTGTTATTTAATTTATATAAAATTCAAAATTAAGCATAACTACATTCTAGTGTTTAGAAATACATAAGTAGGTGATTACAGTATAAGAAAAGGTAAGGGGTGATAACCATAAAAGGCAAGAGGTAACCTTTGAGGGAAAAAGGGGGATTGGGAAGAGAAGGAACACCTGGAAGCTTCTGGGGTGTTGATAATTGGTTTCTTGATCTGGTTCATAATCACACAGATGACACTTATTAAATACATCTTTAGATTTTTATCACTTTTTCTACATATGTGTTATATTTCACAATTCTTTAAACAGTTAAAGAAGTAAAGCATTTTGGATATTTTTTCTTAGGGCGCTGAGGGCATGTGTCTCTGGACCACAATTTCTCTTTATGTGTGGTTGAGCTTCCCCTGAGACCCAGAATTCCCGGTAATTCAGGCTTACTGCACGTACCACTCTATGTTAGGAAATAAACGACTCATAGTCGTGAAATGCTTCACATTTCTCATGAAGCTGAGGTAGCCCAGCATTCTCTACTTTAGAAATCTGGATGTATTTTTTCCTCATGGGTCTGTAATTGAGTCCGTAATTGACATTTGTACACTTTTAAGATAAATCTAGCCTGTCTTCAAGTATATTTTAGATCTAGTGAAATACAGAGTACTATAGATTAGATATTCTGAATATCATCTGTTTGTTATTTAGTAATGTGATATGCCTTGTGTACCCACTTTTGTATTTACCATTATTGCAAAATCAATCAAATGTGAGCAAAAGCAAAGGCAATTTGAATGACTCAAAATTGAAATTTGAGCTGCCAAATCAAGCAGTAAAACAATTTTTACCAGCTCTATTGATTGTTAGAAAGATAAGTTATAAACTTTATTTCAAGTAAATTTCTAAAAGATCTGGGAATGTGATTATTCCAAGGCAGATGGCGAAGACCTTTATTTCCACTGATTATTCACAGATGCAAATTATTATGCAACTGGAAGCATACTAAGATATTGCAAAGATGTTCTGACATTAGTCATCTGCTGCCTTTGTTACTTTGGTGTCAATTTTCTTATTCTTTCCAAAGGAAGATCCTTACAGTTTGTATTCTTTCACAGCTGGGAAATGATCAGTTGAGAATTATTCAAACACACCAATCTGTTAACCGTACTTCTTCCCAGATAATGCAATATTTTGCAGGGTGACAGGCAAAAAGTGGTCATTTTTTACTTCATATATTTTAGGGTTATTTGGTTTTGATTAAATGAGTATTTTATTACTGAATTATTTAAATTTTATATAAAATACTTAATATTAAAATTCATATTTACTTCATATTTAAATTTTATATTAAAAAAACAAAATAAAAATAAAATTCAAGTCAGGTGCAGTGGTGCATGCCTGTAGTCCCAGGTACTTGGGAGACTGAGGTGGGAGGATCCCTTAAGCCCAGGATTCAAGTCCAGTCTGGGCAACATAGCAAGACTCTGTCTCTTTAAAAAAAATTAAATTCATCAGTATAGTGTGCTGTCCCCACCTCATTCCCTTCTTTGCATAGCTGGCTCCATTTTACTCTTCACACATGAGATTAACAGTCATTTCTCTTTCTCTGAAGTAGGTTCTTCTTGTTATTCTCTCATGGTACCTTATTCTTCTACATTGTAGCATTTATCACACTTTATAATTACATGTTTATTTGTTTATTTTATTGTCTGCCTCATTAGATTCAATTCTCCGTCAGGGTAGGTGCAGTGTCTTTTTTATTCACCAATCTATAGCCCATGTCTAGCATACTACTAGGCATGTAGTAGTCACTCAAATATTTGGAAAAAGAAAGAAGAAAGAAAGAAAGAGAGAAAGAGAGAGAGAGAAGAGAAGAGAAAAAAGAAAAGAAAAGAAAAAAAATTACCAGATTGAAGCTATCAGATGAAAACTATGATGTTGTAATTCCAGGTACAAACCCATCCTTGCATTGTTTTTGCAAGACACTTGCTGGTAAATACTAAATGGCGCTCAACACTGAAAGTTCAGCATGATGGAATCCATCTGGCTGTCGAACAAACCCACTGAGTTAAAGCAGGTTTCACCTTAGGTCAGAGATGCTTTTCTCATCTCCTAACTCCATCATCTCATATACTAACACTCACCCCCTCCTCCCTCCTCCTAAAGGCAATGTAATAAGATAAATAGGCATTTTACAGACACGTAATCTCATGATAACAGATCCCTGTTATTTACACCAGCAAAGCCATTTCCACTGTGTTGGGACTTGCCCGAGCCCACCAGGGTCGGGTGGGGTTCTGCCAGTCCGTGATCTGTAAAGGTGTAGGGTTCATAGTACTCTAAGAACAGCTGTCCATGTTTGCTGGGGATCAGATTACAGGATCTCATTAACTCACTCTTCTTGCCTGCTTCAAACCTTTCGTAAGGACCAAGACCTATTATTTCAACTTGCCTCATATCAAGAGGGTTAAAGACTGAGGGTTTTGTTTTACTTGTTTCTGTTAAGTATCATTTGAGTGTATGCTAAGGAAAAGCAATAACAATACCATTTATTGTAAATGTCACTATAAAATATAAAATTGTTTTATGTCTGTGAGCAACTAGTTCTTGTTTGAAACTTCCTAGTTATTTAGTGAAGAATGATACAGTTTAAATTTTGGTTAATTTGCAATAGGCCATTAAATATGGAGAAATTAATACAACTCCTAGGAAGTTTTGTTATTTTATGTTGCTTTATTTTTTAAGTTTGATTTGGTAACTCAAGTCAAATTAAAAAAAAAAACTTAAAAAGGAAAGTGGCTTGGCTGTTAAAGACATGAATGTTTACTTGGGGTTCACTCAGCACAGTGGGCTTAGGTCACAGAGTGGGTTAGCATTTCCATTTTTCAAAGAATGAATTTCAAGACCCTTCTCTAAGGGTCTGCTGTGGACAAGTGAAGGGTTATTGGAGAATATTCCAAGAATGACAGTGGGAAAACATGTGTCAAGGTCTTGTGAAGATAAAACATGGAAGGTTCTAGAAATTAGAAGAATGCAATGTGAGGAAGAATAAAGTACAGAGGGAAGAGTAAATGTGGAAGAGGGACAAAATAAGTAGAAGCCTGATTATGCATTGCTTTGCAGAATGTGTTAAGGATACTGCTCTTTAACCCAAAAGTAAAGGAAGAGCCTTGGAATGGCTTTAACTATGCATGCAAGTGGAAAGTCAGGAATGTGGTCAGATTTTTTTTTTGAAAAGACAGATAGATTGGATGTGGAGACTTGTAAAGGTGAGGTTGGATCAATGCTATTGCAGTGATCCCTGGTGAGAAATCATGGTATTTTGGATTAGAATGTTGGCTGTGTAGATAAAAGAGAATAAAATGGAAAGAATTTAGACATATTTAAGACATAAAAAATCTATACTAATTATTAATGAATTGGGCATGTAGTGCAAGGGAGGAGGAAAGGTCAAGAATGACTTTCATATATCTCTTCAGCAACTGAGTATATGGTAATAGCATTTACTGAGAGTGACCGCACTGGAGAAAACTACACATGAAAGAAAAGATTATGAATTCAGGCTTACACATATTTAGTTTGAGGTCCTTATAGCCAAGGCAAGGTGTTGCAGAATATGTAGGTTTAGAGTTGAGAGGGGATGTCTATCATCAACATTGATAATTCAGGTTATGGCCATGGATGAGATGGCCTGGCAAGAGAGTACAAAGTGAGAAGAGGGGGCCTGGAACGTAGCACTAACAAACTCTGACATTTAGTGATGGGAGGAGGAGAACTGACAGAGACTGAATAAGAGCAGCTAGAGAGGTAGAAGGAAAACATGAAGAATGGGAAATGAAAGGGAGAGGGAAACCAAGAGAAAAGAGTCTTTCAAGATGGAGGGAGTGATCAATGGAGAAGGGGCAGGGGTGAACACTCCGAACATCAAATAGACAAGAACTGGAAATTCTTTGCTGGATTTAGAAACATCATGGTCACATGTAACTCTAGAAAGAGCCATTTTGTTAGAGTGAAGGAATGAAGTCCAAAGTGAAATGGGTCTTTAGAGGAGTTAGTGAAATGTGAGGAAATGGAGAAAGTGAATAGAGAGTTTGATAAATTTTATTGTGAAGAGAAAAGAGAGGCTAATGGATGAAAGGGAAAAAACATTAAATGGTGCTTCTTTCTTTATTAAACAAGAGAGACTAAAGGATATTTAAATATTGATGAGAATGATGCAGCTGAGAGGGACAGATTGAATAAAGAGGAAAGAAAAGGGTTCAATGGCTAGATTGGTGAAAGAGTCTGCTGCTGGTATCATCCTGTGTTAATTGCAGGCTCAGACACCCCACATCACACCCCACAACACACACATGCACTCTTCTTCCTGGCTATCATAAGACATCATGGAAAAGCGTCCCTCTGCTGCCAAGAATTGCCCCCAAGTTAGGCCTTCTGAACCAGAAGCGCCCACTTTGGCCAAGCCTCTTTCTGATCCTTCAAACTTTAGTGGTCTCTTGCTCCCTGAAAGCAGTCCATTCCAGCCCTCCAAATTTGCTTCACATTTGCCCCAAGACCACAGCCACAACAAATGCCTAGCCATGGACCTTGGGTGCCTTACTCTAGATAAAATCCACAGGCTCTTCACTTGAACAGGATGGGAAGTGACAGAAATACATACTCACAAAAGACCAGTACTATTCAATAGCCAGAAATATTTTTGTCATAGGAAGGGCAGATGACCAATCTCTTACTCCATCTTAAAGAACTCCCAACTTCAAGGACAACCTGCAATTGTAAGCCAGACGTCTAATCTTGATATTTCATCCCACATCAGGGCCCTCCCTGTATTTGCTTCATGAGTTTTTCAATTAAGATTCTCTCTGGCTAGTTTTCCTTTAAATTCAATATGGCTGTCACCTCCTACAAAAATTGAGGTCCATCTGTTTTATGTTTCTTTCTGGGCCTTTTAACCTAACTTACTTCTTTGGAGAAAAATTTGAAAGCTGAAAGTAGTAGACAAAGATTTGTTTGCAGGAAACAAGCGGTCAGCACAGATGTATGGTATAATTTCTACCAAAAGTTTAATATTACTTTAATGTGTATTCAGGGGAAAAGCTATAAATATAATGTTCACTCTAAATGGGGTCATAAAACAATAGAGTATTTTCATAGTTTTTTAATGCAGACATTGGTTTGAGGTAGTTTTACACTCTATGATTTCTGATTCTCATGTGATTACTATTGGGGTTTCATAATAAAAGGAAGAAAGGAAGGAAGACAGGGTGGGCAGCTGGGAGAGAGGGAGAAAAAAAGAAGAAAAGAGAAAGAAAGAAAGAAGCAAAGTAAGAGAAAGAAGAAAGGAAGAAAGAGAGAAAAAGAAAAAGGAAAAGAAGGAAGAAAGGAAGAGAGAAAAAGAAAGAAAAAGGGAAGGAAGGGAGGGAGGGAAGGAGGGAGGGAGGGAGGGACATGGTTTGGCTGAGTCCCCACCCAAAATTTCATCTTGAGTTGTAATCCCCATAATCCGCACATGTCAAGGGCAGGACTAGGTGGAGGTAATTGGCTCATGGGGAAGGATTCCCCCATGCTGTCCTCGTGATAGTGAGTCTCACAAGATCTGATGATTTTATAAGTGTCTGGCATTTTCCCTGCTTGCACTCACTCCATCCTGCCACCCTGTGAAGAAGGTGCCTACTTCTCCTTTGCCTTCTGCCATGATTGTAAGTTTCCTGAGGCCTCCCCAGCAATGCAGAACTGTGGTCAATTAAACCTCTATCCTTTATAAATTACCCAGTCTCAGGCATTTCTTCATAGCAGTGTGAGAATGGACTAATACAGTAAGTTGGTACCAGGAGTGAGGTGCTGCGCTAAGGATACCCAAAAATGTGGAAATGACTTTGGAACTGGGTAACAGGCAGAAGTTGAAACAGTTTGGAGAGCTCAGAAGAAGACAGGAAAATGTGGAAAAGTTTGGAATGTCCTAGAGACTTGTTGAATGGCTTTGACCAAAATGCTGAGAGTGATATGGACAATGAAGTCTAGACTGAGGTGGTCTCAGATAGAGATGAGAAAACTGTTGGGAACTGGAGCAAAGATGACTCTTGCTATGTTTTAGCAAAGACACTAGTGGCATTTTGCCCCTGCTGTAGAGATCTGTGGAACTTTGAACTTGAGAGAGTTTATTTAGGGCATCTGATAAAAGAAATTTCTAAGCAGCAAAGCATTAAGAGGAAGCAGAGCATAAAAGTTTGGAAAATTTGCAGCCTGACAGTGTGACAGAAAAGAGAAACCTATTTTCTTGGGGAGAAATTCAAGCCTGTGCAGAAATTTGCATAAGTAACAAGGAAAAGAATGTTAATCACCAAGGCAATGGGAAAAATATCTCCGGGCCATGTCAGAGACCTTCATGGCAGCCCCTCCCATCACAGGCCTAGAGGTTTGGGAGGGAAAAATGATTTAGTGGGCCAGGTCCAGGGCCCCTCCACTATGTGCAGCCTCAGGACATGGTGCCCTGTGTCCCAGCTACTTCAGCTTTAGCTGTGGCTAAAAGGGGCCATGGTACAGCTCAAGCCATTGCTTCAGAGGGTGTAAGCCCCAAGCTTTTGTGACTTCCACATGGTATTCAGCCTGTGGGTTCACAGAAGTCAAGAATTGAGGTTTGGGAACCTCTGCCTAGATTTCAGAGGATGTATGGAAATGCCTGGATGTCCAGGCAGGAGTTTGCTGCAGGGGCATAGCCCTCATGGAGAACCTCTGCTAGGGCAGTGCAGTAAGGAAACATGGGGTTGGAGCCCCCACACAGAGTCCCCTCTGGGGCACTACCTAGTGGAGCTGTGAGAAGAGGGTCACCATCCTCTGGACCCCAGAATGGTAGATCCACCGATAGCTTGCACCATGTGCATGGAAAACCTGCAGACACTCAATGCCAGCCCATGAAAGCAGCTAGGAGGGGAGGTGCACCCTGCAAAGCCACAGGAGAGGAGCTTCCCAAGGCCATGGGAGTCTACCTCTTGCATCAGCGTGCCCTGGATGTGAGACATGGAGTCAAAGGAGATCATTTTGGAACTTTAAGGTTTAATGACTTCCCTCATGGATTTTGGACTTGCATGGGGCCTGTAGCCCCCTTTTTGGCCAATTTCTCCCATTTGGAATGGACGTATTTACCCAATACCTTTACCCACATTGTATCTAGGAAGTAACTAACTTGCTTTCGATTTTACAGGCTCATAGTCAGAAGGGACTTGCCTTGTCTCAGGTAGGACTTTGGACTTGGACTTTTGGGTTAATGGTGGAATGAGCTAAGACTTTGAGGGACTGTTGGAAAGGCATGATTGTGTTTTGAAATGTGAGAACATGAGATTTGGGAGGGGCAGGGGTGGAATGATATGGTCTGGCTGCATCCCTACCCAGAATCTCATCTTGAATTGGAATCCCCATAATCCCCATAATCCCCACATGTCAAGGGCAGGACTAGGTGAAGGCAATTGGATCATGGGGGCAGGTTCTTCCATGCTATCCTCTTGATAGTGAGTGAGTCTTACAAGATCTGATGGTTTTATAAGCAGCTGGCATTTCATCCACTTGCACTGACTCCATCCTGCCACCTTGTGAAGAAGGTGCCTGCTTCTCCTTTGCCTTCTGCCATGATTGAAAGTTTCCTGAGGCCTCCCCAGCAATGCAGAACTGTGAGTTGATTACCTCTTTCCTTTATAAATTACCCAGTCTTGGGCACTTCTTTACAGCAGCATGAGAATGGACTAATGCAGGAACGAAGGAAGGAGGGAAGGAAGGAAGGAAAGAAGGAAGGAGAAAAAAGAAAGAAAGAAGAGAGAAAGAAAGAAAGAAGAAAGGAAGGAAAGAAAGAAGAAAGAAAGAAAGAAAGAAAGAAAGAAAGAAAGAAAGAAAGAAAGAAAGAAAGAGAGAGAGAAATCCTGTTCTATGATTTCTGATTCTTATGTGATTGCTATTGGGGTTTCATAATGGAAGAATAGAAGGAAAGAAGGAAGGAAGGAGAGAGGAAGAAAGGAAAGAAAGAGAAAAAAAGAAAGAAAGGAAGGAAAGAAAGAAAGAAGGGAAGGAAGGAAGGAGAGAGGAAGAAAGAAAAGAAAGAAGAAAGAAAGAAAAGAAAGAAAGGAGAGAGGAAGAAAGGAAAGAAAGAGAAAAAAGAAAAAAGAAAGAAATGAAGGAAGGAAGGAGAGAGGAAGAAAGGAAAGAAAGAGAAAAAAGAAAGAAAAGAGAAAGAAGAAAGAAAGAGAGAAAAAGAAAGAAAGAAAGGAAGGAAGGAAGATCTTGTTTTAGTTTTTTTCCCTAAGTTAACAAGCACATGGGTATTTGGTTCAAAAGTCCAGAATCTCGTGATATTTCCTTTGGTTCCGTCTCTGCCCATCTCATGATAAGAGGTAGCACAATATAGTGATAAGATCCTGGGCTTTAAAGACAGATAGATATGAGCTCAAATACCAGTTCCATTGTTGGCCATCTATGAGATCCTGGGAAATTTTCAAACTCTTTGAGCCTCTGTTTATTCATCCATAAAATGCTTAATAATGTAGACCTTGCTGGGTCATTGTAAGGATTATATAGAATTATATTTGCAAAGTTAATTATGAGTTAATAATTGAAGCCATTGATGCAAAATGGACTGAGATCCAACACACATATGCTGGTCTATCTCCTTCATGAGAGAAAAATCTAACTGGAATTAGAGCCATCTGTTGGAGTTGGAGCCTTTCATACTAAATGGACTCATTCATACTCAAGTTGTGACTCTCATAATGAAGGGGAACAAGTGCTTCATAACCTGATAATGTCAGTGTTATTATTTCCCATGAAATATGCTTTCTCCATATGAGACTAGACTATGAGGTCTTCAGGGTGGGTCAGGAGGGGGTGTGTGTGATGAGCGTGTAATGAATGCTTGCTTTGATGAATACACTTGCTTCTTTAAGGGCCAGAGGAAATTGGCCACAAGGCTTGCTGATGGGGCAATGAATCAAGGCATTTTCTATCTCTTCAACTCATAAATCCAGAGCATGCTTTTCCCCTTTGGGGTCTGCAAAGCCTGAGAAGCTTGAGTTCATGACATCAGAAATAACACAGGGTAGAAAACCCCAGTGAGGAGCAGAGTCCTGAATGGTGAGTTTGGGTACTGGATTGGGAAGTCGGGGAGAGGGTCTAGAAGAAGGATCTATTAGATGACAAGAGAGGACATTGAGGAGAGTAAAAGAGATTTGGTAAAAAGGAATAATTCTTCCTTCTGAAGGTCTAAGTCTGTAAACTGCCTCCATGCCTTTCCATGGTGGAGGGAGAGAGAAAATCTCATGTTCCCAGGTCATGTTGCTCAGTGAGGCCCTCCTTTTCTAAAAGGAATATGTGCACCTTCTTTGAATTCTGGTATTTATGTTTGCTCAGGGGAAGACTTGCAAGGCAAGAGTGCTTGGGAAAGAAAAGCCTATGACTTCTCACCCTGTAGGGAGTTCTCTGGCCATCCTACTGAACACTCATCCTCACACATTCTTGGTCACCACAGGAGGACCATGAGCCAGCTGTGGCTGAGAGTACTCCACCAAGCAAGATGAAATTCGCAGATTTCTTTCCACAACTCCTTGGGAGAAAGAAAAAGATGGGGCACTAGTTCAAGGGTACCTAGCTTGAGAGTTGTTTTTTTTTTTTTTTTTTTTTTTGATGTGCCTTGTGAAACTTTCTACCAATAAAGCCTAACATTTCAACTATGCTGTTTGGCATGACCATCATCCCCTGCCAAATTTCACTACCCATTCCCAGCCTGTACAAGATTCATACTTTCTTCACCTATCATAAGCTAGTTATCTGATCTGCATTCAGTTCAACTAAATTCACTTCAGTTAAACACACACATACCTAATATACATCTACTTTCCCCCATCCTTCCACTGGGGAAGAGATTTGAGTATCAGTAATAATTCACTGTGTGTGTGTGTGTGTGTGTGTGTGTGTGTGTGTGTGTGTGTGTTTATCTTGGTATATACATCATCTTGGTAGAAACAGAGACCAGTAGCAGGGAGTAGACTGCATCAGTGGGTATTGAGAGAGAAATTATGTGGGAGGGAGAGAGGGAAGAGACTTTCGGGCAGTTGGCATGTTGATGTAGAGGCTTTGGAGTGATGAGTGGGTGAAAATGAATGTTAAGGTATTTTGCTTTGTGACGCATTGTTTAAACCTCATGCCTCTCATTTAAGAATGCTGTCAGAAGTCATCCATCAAACTCTTCTAAGCCTCCTAGAATTGTATTTGGATTTTTATTTGGTTGTGTTGATAGCAGAATTAGACTTCAACAGGGTTTTTCCATATCCAGGTTAAAGTCAGAACCCGGGATAGCTGAGTCAAGTCAAAGTAATTCAAGGCCAAAGAACGGAGGTCAAAATAACTCAGGACCATAGTCTAGAGAAGAGTGATTTAGTGGGTTGGTTCTGGGGGGTAGTGGTGGCACATGGAACTCTCAGATAGCCATGCCACATATGGGTTAGAAACCCTGACTATTAAATGAGGAAAAGTGTGGGGCCTGAGAACCCCCGTAGAGCTATGGCTTGCTATAAATTCCTCAAATTTTTAGCATCAATCCTGGATTTATTTTAACAATAATCTTCTGGGTCAGAGACTTCACCAGAACTGATTTTAAGGTATAATCATGAGTGAGCCCAGCATTTTCAGCTTTTCTGTTGACATCCCTTCTGGTGGCCTTTTTTAGATTCAGTATGTCCAGAACTGAACCCAGTCCCTTCACCCTGTCCCATTCCCTGTAGCTTTGTTGAGGTTACCAACCACCCAGGTAACCAGGAAAGAAACACTGATTCTTCCTCTCCCTCACTCTCTGTATCCAATGAGACAATCAATTCAGTTGTTTCTACTTCCTAAAGCTCATTATATATCATCCTTTCCTTTTGAACATATTGTCTTTATGTCAAATCCTCACCACTAGCTTCCAAACTAGTGTCCCAACTCCAATCCCTTTCATAATCTATTTCACCACCTACATTGTCAGCAGAATAATCTTTCTGAAATATTTTGATGGCCCTCCTTTGTCCACAGAATCCAGTCTAAACCCGTTAGCAAGTTTCATAATTTATTTTGTAGTCTGCCTTGACCTTCCCTTCTGGCCTCATGTCCTACTACCTTACCTCAGTGATCCTATGGGATAAGATTGTCCCTCATACTCCATGTTTTTTCACACCTCCAAGCTGTGACTTCTACCCAGAATATCCTTTGCTCATTTCGTGTACCTGCAAAGTTTGGCTCAAATATTACTTTCTCTGAATCCTTTATATCCTACTGTCTCTGTTTAGTGTAGAGTTCTTTTGGTATAATATATACTATCTATAACATATTTTTGGAAAAAATATATTGTGTGTAAAGTACACTAATCTGTCATGTATAGCTAAATGTAATTTTGCATAGGTTATTCTTTCTTTTGTCTTGCCCTATCGCACTGGTGGTACCTCCAGTAAGTGCTGGAGAGACCTGCTGATAGTGTACCTCTTTGTCTCATTCTTGACCTCAGAGGAAATGCATTCAATATTTCACATTAAGTGCAGGTTAGTATAGATTTTTTTTTAGTTTTTAGTCTACTAGATTAAGAAATCATCCTTCTATTCCTATATTGCTCTTTGCTTAGTTTTAAATTATCCTAATAACTTATCAGTTATCATGTAGGAATAAGCATATGGTGTTTCAATATAGTTTAAATTTAGTCACCCAAGAAATACTAAAGTATTTGTGGGAGATACTATTTTAGACACTAGATGTCAAAGAAAAATGACACGGTCCCTGTCCTATACCACTTTACATCCTACTAGTACATACAAACATGAAAGAACTATATTAATATGATGATAGAGTTATGTACAAAATACTATGGGATTATTGAGTAGGAAGAAACTGACTTTAATAAAGATAGATCAAGGAATGATTCAGAGATATAAAGTTATCTTCAAATATTAACTTAATTATTCTCTTTAAACTGGGCTTGTATCTATAGTTTAATATCCATTTTGGCAAATATGCATTTTTACTGCCTATTTTCAGGATTGCTCACTATAGCCTCCAGTCTAGTATGTGATGGAGTACCATGAAGGGGGTAGCTGGGCTGATTCTTCACAAAGAGAGCTTATTCAACATGTGACTGGTATAAAAGCTGCTCCCAACCATGCCTGCTAAGGTTTAGGGATAATATGTCAAGGAAGCCCTATCACTGTCATTGCTCTTATCCGAGCTTTAGCAAAAATTGCAAGGGAGTAACTAGGTAAACATTTACCTGTTTAGTATTTCTAAAGTAAATCCTGTAGATTATTATCATCAGAATCACCCGAAACTTTGGAGTTGGGCTTTAGATATAATTCACATGCCATACATTTCCCCACTTTAAAATGTGCAATCCAGTGGTTTTTCATATATTCACAATGTTGTGAAATCATCACCACTATCTAATCCTAGAACATTTCATCACCTCAAAAAGAAACTGTACTCATTAGCAGTCACTTCCCATTTCCCACCTCCCTCAGCACCTGAAAACCACTCATCTACTTTGTGTCTATGAAGTTGCCTATTCTAACCATCTCATATAAGTGAAATCATACAATATGTGATCCTTTGTAAAAGACAACATGTTTAAAAGCAAAATTAGTAACACTGTCAGGTGGAGTATATAACAGATATAAAAGTAAAAGGAGGCTAGGTGCAGTGGCTCATGCCTGTAATCCCAGCACTTTGGGAGGCCAAGGTGTTCAGATCACGAGGTCAGGAGATCAAGACCATCTTGGCCAACATGGTGAAACCCTGTCTCTACTAAAATACAAAAAATTAGCTAGGCATGGTGGCTCATGCCTGTAATCCCAGCTACTTGGGAGGCTGAGGGAGGGGAGTCACTTGAACCCAGGAGGCAGAGGTTGCAGTGAGCTGAGATTGCACTGTGTCTGGAATTGGTTCAATCTCCCCTCTAAACAGGACTCACCAACTGCTTTTGGGAATTGGACGATGACCGCTCTAGCTACTTCCTGCCAGAGAGGGGCAAAGAAGGGGCCCTGCAGTTGTAGTGTCCTCCAGAGGGGAACTCTTTAGACCAGTGAAAGGGCCAGTGGGTCGGTCCAGGGGTCCTCAGTAGAAGTTGTTAGTTGAGCTCATTTGGGGTTCCATTTGTAAGACCATCTGTAGCTTCATGGCCTTGATTCTAGAGGAAACAAATTTGACAAGGAGGTTAAAAATACAGAGCCCGAAGGCGAGTAATAGCAAGATGGCTGCCAAGAGACCTAGAAAGGGGAGAAGCCATGTTGCCCAACTCCAGAGGTTGGTATAAGAGTTTGAAAGGTGTTGTCTGATTTCAGAAGCCTTTTCCTGTAAATGCCAGGCGGCATCTCATACTATCCCTGACTGGTTAGTGTAAAAACAATACTCTTCTCCTAAGAAGGTGCAGAGTCCTCCTTTCTCAGCAGTGAGGGGGTCTAGGCCTCGGCAGTTTTGGAGAGTCACTGCTGCCAAAGGGTTTATTTGGGATTGTAGAGTAAGGATAGATTTCGTTATTTCATGCAAACTGTCTGAGAAATCCTTTGAGAGTGTGTGGTAGTAGGATAATGAAGGAGATAAATTGGCTATTCTGGTTCCTGTAGCAGTAGCCATTCCTAACCCTATAAGTAGGGGTATCAGTCATATGGCTCTGTGCTGATGGACTTGAGCTTTGAGGGGTACTGATAGGGTCTGATTTCCTGGGGCAATGTTAATGTTGGGACTTAGAAAGACTAAGGTGCAGGTGCCTGTCCAGTTAGTGGGGAGGCAGATATAGGTCGACGTTCCACATAAGAAGAATATACCTTGGCTGGGTAGACAGAACTGGTTGTGTATGTTAAAAAGGTGTGTGAGTTTGTTGTTTTCATTTTCCCATACTCCTAGAGTACTTGCCAAGGTAGCTCCAGTGAGCAGCTGGAAAGGGGTGTTGGGAGCAAACTGAGTGGCTCCCTGTGTTCTGTTTTCCCATTGGAGAAAAAAATCGTTTTGTATCTACCAGGAACCATTCCAGAGAGTGATTGAAATAGGGGATGAGAAGGCATTCACTAGTGGTGGGGGCGCTGCTGGAGGGAGTCCAGGGGTGAATGGTCATGCAGGGAGTATGTTTGCCATTACAAAACCTGGACTGTTTGTTAAGCAGGGAGGAGGCGATGATTTCTGGGTGCCCTGAGAAGCAGACAAGCCATCTGAATGGAGCTGTTTGGGTGACTCAGAAGTTACTATGATCAGCTGGGGCTTGAAGTTGTATGGTGTAATTACACTAATGGGTTAGTAGGTACCCCAGGGGCAGGCCTTATAACAGGTTGCATTGGATGCATAAAGGGGCTTGGAAAGTTAAGATGGTATTTGTAGTTACAGGGTCATGTATGGGCTTTTCATTGCTTGTGTAATAGGTGAGGTGGGAAATGTAAGAACGTAAAAGTTGGATTGCACATCCTGTTAGGGTATTCTTCGTCCTATCAGAGATGGGGAAGTGGGCTAATGATTGCATATTTAGAAATCAGAAAGCGTCTTTTCCTTCACAATGAGGGTGGTAAGTTAAGTTGGTAAAGACCCAGTTTTTTGCGGGAATGGGAGTGGCAACGTAAGCAGAAGTTGATAGAGAGATACAAAGCCAACAGTCATTTGCCAGGGAAGGACTGGACTGGTTTAACAGAGAGTGGGTTAAGTTGAGATTATTGTAGAGGTAGTTAGGAGCTAGTGGAAGGGGAGGGGTGATTGTATGAGGTATCCAAGGAAGCAGGAGGGATAGATAGGCAAAGAGCAAATAGGAAGATAAAGAGGGTGCTCTGGAAGATGAGATCATCTTATCCAGTCCAAGTTAAAGGTAGGAGTAAATTGCTGTCAGAAGGGAGGAAGAGAGAAAGAAGGTTGATGTGATTAGGATTTTCATCCCAGCAGGAGCTACAGTATATAGTCTTATCACAAAGAGTATGGTTAGTATGCTGCTTAACAATATGATGAAATAGTAAAAGGATTCCATTAAAGGGGCAAGGAGAGGTGTTAAAGATTATGTAGGTTTTCACTTATCTTTTTTAAGAAGGAAGGGGTTTTTCTTCAGGATTGGTGGTAGGAGCCTTTTTAGTCTGGGATGTTTCCTTTTGAAATAGGAAGATGCAAGTCCTCCAATGGTTCACAGGTATATCGAGGCTGGTCTGGCTGATCTTGGGACTCCTGAGCTGACAGTCCCACAGGTTCATCAAGGGGTGTCCAAAATTTAACTCAGATATGGTGAATCCAAGATTCCACTCCTGCCACCTTAACTGCAGTGGGGGTAGAGAGGATTACTGAGTATGGTTCTTCCCACAGAGTCCATAGATGGGGAGGTAGAGGGGAGAGATTTGACCAACACTAGATCTCCTGGTTGAAACAACTCTGCTCCGTTTTCTCTGTGACATCCTTCAGGTAGGTTTTTAAGGTTTTGTTGATATTTTGCCAAAGAAGTTATATCTTTGACCAAGTTGGCCATTTCCTGATCAAGTAGGAGGTCATTTGTGAGAAAAAGGTTGTCCATACAGCATTTCATATGGACTGAGCCCCATTTTGTGAGGAGAATTTCAGATTCTCAACAAGGCCATGGGCAAAAGAGTAGGCCATAGGAGACGAGTTTCTTGTGTTAGTTTCTTTAAGTGCCTCTTGAGTGTTTCATGTGCCTTCTTGACCTTCCCTGAGGATTGCGGCCTCCAGGCACAGTGAAGGTGATATTGTATTCCTAGTGCCCTGAAAATTCCCTGAGTTATCATGGCTTTAAAAGCTGGATATTGTCACTCTGTAAGCTTTGGGGAAGCCCAAATCTAGGAATTATTTCATGAATTAGGACTTTAATCACTTCATGAGACTACTCTGTCTTGCAGGGGAAAGTTTCTATCCAAGGTGTCAACACAGACCAACAAGTATTGAAATCCCTTTGACTTAGGCATATGGGTGAATTCTAACTGCCAGTCCCCTCCAGGATAGTGACCTATTCTTTGTTCCCCGGGCGCCTTACAATGGACCAAGGGATTATTCTTTTGGCACACCTCACAGGCTTTGATTACCCGTCGGATGGTCCGGAGGAGATTTGGCCCTGTAAATAGGGATTTGGCTATTTGATGAGTGTTTTCAATACCCATATGAAAAGTTTGGTGGAGGGTTTTAAGTATTTTCCACTGGCTGGCTTCAGGTATAAGTATCTTTCCTTCCTCTGTTGTTAACCACCCCGAGGGGAGAAAAGTATGCCCCCGTGAAAGTCCCCATTCTGTTTCAGTCGGGAAATACTGGGGCTTAATCTCTTGGAGGGGGTTGTTCCATATCAACGGTCTTTCCATAGTTATTTCTAATGGGAGGTTCTGCCTGGCAGGAATTTTGGCCTCAGCATCTGCCCGACGGTTTCCTCCTTCATCTTTCTGATGGCTTTGGCAGTGTAAGACTGCCATCTCCTTGGGTTTTTGCACTGTGTGCAATAACTCCATAATTTCCTTGTGGTATTTAATGGGGGTTCCCCCAGAGGTTAGGAACTCCCTTTCTTTCCATATTGCAGCATGGGCATGTAGGATTAGATAAGCATACTTGCTATTTGTATACACATTTATTCTTTTTCCCCTTCCCAGTTCTAAGGCTCAGGTAAGTGCCACTAGTTCTGCTAACTGGGCGCTCGTCCCTGGGGGAAGAGGCTTACTTTCAAGTACAGTTACATCACTAACTATGGCATAACCTGTCCTTTGTATCCCATTCTCCACAAATGAACTTCCATCAGTATATAGGTTAAGGTCAGGATTAGCTAAGGGGACTTCTAAGAGATCATCTCAGGCAGCATAAGTCTGGACTATAATTTGTTGGCAGTCATGCTTGATTGGTTCTCCATCCTCTGGGAGAAAAATGGCAGGGTTGAGGGCCATGCACGTACATATTTGAAGCACCGGTCCCTCAAGAAGTAGTGCCTGGTATCTAAGTAGGCAGTTGTCTGATAGCCATAAACTTCCTTTGGCACCTAGTATGGCATTTACATCATGAGTAGTCCAGACAGTGAGATCCCTTCCTTGTATTATTTTGATAGCCTCTGACACTAAGACAGCCACCACCACAACTACCCTTAAACAGTGGGGCCAGCCTTTTGCTACTACATCAATTTCCTTACTTAGGTATGCTACTGGTTGTGGGGTTGTCCCACAAGTCTGAGTAAGGACTCCGAGAGCTATCCCTGCTCTCTCTCTGACGTATAAAGAAAAGTTTTGTCCTGTGGGAAGGCTTAAAGCTGGAGCTTGTACTAGGGCCTGCTTTAAGGTTTTGAAGGCTGTTTCTGCCCCTGGTTCTCATTCTACTAGATGAGTATTTGCCCTCTGGATCTCCTTGATTAGAGTATAGCATGGTCTGGCCATCTTGCTGTATCTGGGGATCCATAGTTGGCAAAAGCCGGTGATTCCAAGGAACCCCCATAACTGTTTTAATGTCTTAGGGAGAGGATAAGCCAGTATAGGCTATATTCATTCCTTGCTGAGGGCTCTGGTTCCTCTGGCTAAGATTAGGCCTAGATATTTGACCTACTGTAGGCAAAGCTGGGCCTTCGACCTAGACGCCTTGTAACCTTGATTGGCTAGAAAGTTCAAGAAATCTAGAGTAGCCTGCTGGCATGAGGCTTCTGAACTGGTAGCCAAAAGTAAATCATCCACATACTGAAGGGCCAGGATGTCTGGACTTGAGAAGTGACCTAGATCTTGGGCCAGTGCCTGATCAAACAGATGAGGGCTATCCCTAAACCCTTGGGGCAAGACTGTCCACGTAAGTTGGGATGTGTGGTCTGTGGGATCATCAAAGGCAAAGAGAAACTGGGAGTCAGAGTGCAGGGGAATACAGAAGAAGGCATCCTTGAGGTACAGAACAGTGAACCATTCTGCTTCCTCTGGTATTTGAGAGAGCAAGGTATAGGGGTTGGGTACAACTAGATATAGAGGAATTACTGTCTCATTGATGAGTCTAAGATCTTGCACTATTCTCCACTGACGTTTTGGTTTTTGTACCCTAGAATTGTGGTGTTGCAGGGACTGCTGCATTTCCTTACTAAGCCTTGAGCTTTTAAATGTTTAACAATATCCTGTAATCCTTTATGAGCTCCAGGCCTTAAGGGATATTGCCTTTGATAAGGAAAAGTGGTGGGGTCTTTTAGCCTGGTTTGGACTGGGTGGGCATTTTTTGCCCTTCCAAATTGTCCTTCCAATGTCCAGACTTCAGGGTTGATTCCCTCCTCAAGTAGGGGACAACAAATGGGTAACTTGTTCCCCATATTCATGTAGATAATAGCTCCAGCTCTGGCTAATATATCCCTCCTTGATAAGGTTGTGGGACTTTCAGGCATAACAAGAAAGGCATGTGAAAAAAGCAGTCTCCCAATTACAACTGAGGAGGTGGGAGAAATACCTGGTTACAGGCTGTTCCAGGATTCCTTGGATGGTAATGGACCTTGAGGACAGTCGTCTGGGACAGGAGATTAACACTGAGAAGGCCATGCCAGTGTCCAGCAGGAAGTCAATTTCCTGGCCCTCAATGGTTAAACATACCTGGGGCTCAGTGAGGGTGATGACATGAGCTGGCACTTGCCCTGGGCACCCTCAGTCCTGTTGTTGGATCATCTGGTTGGGGGCTTCTGGCCCAGAGAACCATTGCACTCTGGGGCAGTGTGCCTTCCAATGATTGCCTCAGCATAGCGGATATGGACGAGGGGGCAGCTTGTTTCTCATTGGACAACCTTTTTTAAAGTGTCCTTGTAAGCCACACTGATAACAAGCCCTACTGGGTGATTGACCTGCTCCATTTTCTGTCCTCTTTGAACCACCAAGGTTTGTTTGTCTGAGGGCCATAACTAAGGCTTTTCTCTGATCTCGCTTTTCCTTTTGGGCATGTTCCTCTTGGTCCCTATTATAGAACACCAAGGTTGCCAGGTTTAATAATGCCTCCAGATTTTGTTCAGGGCCCAGGGCTCACTTTTGGAGCTTTCTCCTGATATCTGCAGCTAATTGGGCAATAAACCTATTTTTTAGAATCAACTGACTCTCGAGTGACTCAGGTGACAGGGGAGTATATTTTCTTAAGGCCTCCCATAGCCGCTCAAGGAAGGCAGAAGGATTTTCTTCCTTTCCCTGAGTTATGGTAGATATCATTGAATAATTCATGGGCTTTTTCCTAATTCTCCTTAGTCCTTCTAGAACACAGGTCAACAGATGTTTACAACTGCAGTCCCCATGATCCGAATCGAGGTCCCAGTGGGGATCCATACTGGGGATGGCTGGCTGACCAGTAGGGAATTTGTCTCTTTATTTGGCTGTCATTCTATCATTTACTTGTCTAAGATACCAGGTATCTCCAAACTCTCGGGCTGCAGCTAAAGCCACATTCTTTTCATTAAAGGCCAGTGTTTGATCGAACAATAGCATGACATCTCTCCAAGTGAGATCGAAGGTTTGCTCTAGACCCTGTAGACATCTATGTACCTATCAGGATCATCTGAAAACTTACCCAGGTCTGCCTTGATCTGCTTTAAATCAGAGAGGGAGAAAGGGACATGTGCCCAGGTTGGGCCAAATTACCCTCCCCCTACAGCTTGAAGGGGACATAACAAATAGCCCGGGGGGTTTTGTGGTCCTTTGAATATTTATTTGCTTATTTCCTTCTGGGTGAGGGAGATTAGAGGAGGCTTATCATTAATAGGAAGGGGAGCTATAGGGAGGCTAGGATATGGGGGTAAGCTGAGAGTTCCTCCTGTGGGATATAAATTGCAAACTTTGCATAGTGATGTATTCTCCTTCAATGAAAAGAAAGCTTGAACATAAGGTATTTCACTCCATTTGCCTTCCCTCTTACAGAAAACGTCAAACTGCAGGATAGTATTGTAATTTATACTTCCCTCAGGTGGCCATTTTTCCCCATCAGAGAGAGAATATTGGAGCCAGGCCATGGTGCAGAAAAAAATGAGCTGCCTCTTTTTCAGGGTTTGTGGGTCAAATTGGTCCCAATGGCTTAGGATGCATTTCAAGGGTGAGCCTGTTGATGACTGAGTGTTTCCCATCTGAAAGACAAAACCGCCCATGGTTTTGGTTTGTTTGTTTCTCACCCTGCCCAAGAACCTGCAACGGTCCCTGGACCCTGCTGATCAGAATGGTTGCACTCACTGATGCAGCAGCAGAAACACCTCTTGCCCAAGAACCTGCAATGGTCTCTGGACCCTGCTGATCAGAATAGTTGCGCTCACCAATGCAGCAGCAGAAACACTAGTTTTCCTCCTAGACCACGAGGGAGGACCAAGGAATGTCAGATTTAGTGGCCCTTACCGATGCATTCTCGAAAACCTGCACCTTTGCCTGTCCTCCTAGACCACAAAGAGGACTGAGAAAAATCGGATTTAGTGGACCTTACCAACACATTCTCAAAAACTTGCACTCTTACCTGTCCTCCTAGACCACAAAGAGGACCAAGAAAAATCGCATTTAGTGGCCCTTACTGATGCATTCTCAAAAACCTGCTAGAGTCCTAAGCATTCTCCTGTTAGTAATGGGACTTTACTCATGTCCCATAAAGATGTTGTGCCCCAAAAATGAAGTGAAGGGCCATACCCTGAGGGAGGGAAGGGATCTCCAGAGTTGGAAGAGTGATGCTTTTTGTCCTCACTTATATGAATAGGAAGGAAACAATTTCTGAGGCTCCCCATATCCTAGCTTCAGGAATAGCTTTTGTTAGGCCTGCTTGTCTGAGGAGGGATCATAAAATTCCAGATAGTGCCCCCTACAATGGGGCTTTGGGCAAAAATTATGTCTTTCTAATTGGTGAGCCCGGGTGCCTAAAGAAGGGAATAGAGTCCTGAAGTTTATACTAGAAATCATTCTTATAGAAGAAACTAGAAAAGCACCAGAGACAGGGAGTGGTTTTTAGAAACGAGACTAGCCTCGGAGAAGAGAGGCAAGAGGAAGTTTGTCTGACAGGCATTAGGACCCAGGAGGAAAGGGTCAGGATAGACAGGATAGACGGTCAAGTCTCGCTTGGGCAACGTGACTTTGAGAGTTCCGCTTATGGCTGCAGGGTCAACCAATTTGTTGTTGGGACCCTGGAGCTGAATGGCTTTCCTGTCTGTCGATCCTTGGCTCAGCCCAGAAGTACAGGAAAAGCGGAAGCTGGTTCCAGACAAACCAACGCTCTCAACTCTGAAGAGTCAGGAGTTGTTAGAGAGCCTTTTCTCAGAAAGCCTGACACCCGTGTCTTTAGTCTGGCATCCATGCTAGTCACTTTTAACTGGCCAATAGGTGCCTGGTATTTAGTCCCCAAATTCTAAGGAAAAATAAGACAGAATAGCAAGCAAAAGGGGTCTGATGGTACTCACCACTTGGTGATAGGCGACAGTCCCATCTGGGTCACCAAAATATGTCTGGAATTGGTTCCTTCCAGTGGGTTCTTGGTCTCACTGACTTCAAGAATGAAGCCGCGGACCCTCGCAGTGAGTGTTACAGTTCTTTTGTTTGTTTGTTTGTTTGTTTGAGACAGAGTCTCGCTCTTTTGCCTAGGCCAGAGTGCAGCGGCGCAGTCTCAGCTCACTGCAAGCTCCAACTCCCGGGTTCACGCCATTCTCCTGCCTCAGCCTCCCGAGTAGCTGGGACTACAGGCACCCACCATCATGCCCGGCTAATTTTTTGTATTTTCTTTTTGTAGTAGAGACGGGGTTTCACCGTGTTAACCAGGATGGTCTTGATCTCCTGACCTCATGATCTGCCTGCCTTGGCCTCCCAAAGTGCTGGGATTACAGGCGTGAGCCACCGTGCCCGGCCGTTACAGTTCTTAAAGATGGTGTGTCCAGAGTTTGTTCCTTCAGATGTTCAGATGTGTCCAGAGTTTCTTCCTTCCAGTGGGTTCGTGGTCTCGCTTGACTCCAGGAGTGAAGCCGCAGAACTTTGCAGTGAGTGTTACAGTTCATAAAGGTAGTGCAGACCCAAAGAGTGAGCAGCAGCAATATTTATTGTGAAGAGTGAAAGAACAAACCTTCCACAGCATGGAAGGGAACCCGAGTGGGTTGCTGCTGCTGGCTCGGGTGGCCAGCTTTTATTCCCTTATTTGGCCCTACCCATGTCCTGCTGATTGGTCCATTCTACAGAGTGCTGATTGGTCTGTTTTTACAGAGTGCTGATTGGGGCGTTTACAACCCTTTAGCTAGACACAGAGCTCTGATTGGTGCGTTTTTACAGAGTGCTGATTGGTGCATTTACAAACCTTTAGCTAGACACAGAGTGTGGATTGGTGTGTTTACAATCCTTTAGCTAGACAGAAAATTTCTCCAAGTCCCCACCCGACCCAGAAGCCCAGCCAGCTTCACCTCTCAGCACCACTGCACTCCAGCCTGGCAACAGAGCAAGACTTCATCTCAAAAAAAAAAAAAAAAGAAAAAAAGAAAAAAAGTAAAAGGAATAACAATAATACCATAAGTATTTAGAATTTGGAGGGGAGGGTGATAAGCAGAATATGATCCCACAAGGATGTCCACATTCTAATCTCTGGGACCTGTGAATATGTTACATTTCATGACAAAGGGGAATTCAGGTTGCAGATGGAAGACTGTGAATCAGCTGACTTTGAAAGAGGAAGGTTATCCTGGATGGGCTCAATCTAATCATATGAGCTCTTATAAGTGAAAGAGTAAAGCAGAAGAATGGGTCAGAAATGTGTTGTGAAAAGAACTTAACTCACCAGTGGTTGCTGGCTTTTAATATGAATGAAGGTGGCTACAAGCCAAGAAATGTAGTGGCCTCTAGAAACTAAGAATGATCCTCGGTTTACAGCCAGCAAGAAAATGAAAGTCTTGATCCCAAAATCTCAAGTAACTGAATTCTGCCAACAACCTGAATGAGAAGGAAATGAATTCTCCCCTGGAGTCTCCAGAAAGGAACACAGTGCTGCCAACACTTTGTTTTTAACCTAGTGAGATCTATGTCAGAATTCTGGCTTACAGAACTGTAAGATAATACATTTGTATTGTTTTAGCCTCTAAATTTATGGTAAATTATTATGACAGCAATAGAAAACTAACACAGCAGGTACATGGAGTTATGTACTGTTACAACAGTAACAGTATGTTACTTGTAATATTATTTTACAATATTATAACTTGTGAAGTAAGAAGTAGAAAGTTTCAGATGTGAACTAGGAAGTATAAAATGTTCTATTATTGACTATAAATGTGCTTTTATAAGTTAAGAATATACTTTGTTAGTCCTAGAGCAACTATGTAAAAACAGAATAATAAAAAGATGTTTAGCCAAGACACAAATAGAAGATGGGGCACTAAAAATATTTGATTAACCCAAAAGAAGGCAAGAAATGAACCATGGAAGACTAAAAAAAACCCAAGAGACAAATGGAAAACCAACAACAAAAGGGTAGACTTAAACCCAACCACATAAAAATTACATTAAATGTAAATGGACTGAACCATTCAATTAAAAGGAAGAGATTATTGGGCTGGATAAAAACAGAAAGACCAAACAAGATGCAGCCTATAAGAAATGCATACAGCTATATAAAAATTTTAAAGTAAAACAATGGTAAAAATGTGTATTATGCAAATAGTCATCATAAGGAAATTCATATGAAATAGTAATTTAAGACTTTAAGAGAAAAGATATTAGGGTATTATAAAAGATAAAGAAGGGCATTTTATAATGATATGACTTCCCATGCCCCTAAATATTCTTCCACTGAATGAGAGCTTCAAAATTTATAAAACAAAAACAGACAGAATCAAGGGA
Organism: Homo sapiens; assembly: GCF_000001405.40. NCBI lineage: Eukaryota > Metazoa > Chordata > Mammalia > Primates > Hominidae > Homo > Homo sapiens. Next base: position 91,458,333 of record NC_000007.14, read on the forward strand.
GAGAAATAAGCACATTTGCAACCATAATTAGAGATTTTAACACAAATCTCTTGGTAATTGAAGAGACAAGTAGGCAAAAAAATTAAGACATGAAAGACCTGAACAAACTATTAAGCAAATTTACCTAATTAACTTTTATAGAACACTATATCCAATAACTGAAAAAATATATTAATTTCTAGTGCACATGAAATATTCACCAAGATATACTGGGCCATAAAATAAATCTCAATACATTTCAGCAAAGCATGTTCTCTGACTAGATAGAAATTACGTTAATAACCATAAATAAGTTGTCACAAAAATGGAAATAAAATTACACACTTTTCAGTAACCCATGGGTTAAAGAAGTAATGAAAAGGGAAATTAGAAAATAAAAGTGAAAGATAATGAAAACACAAAATATCAAAATCTGTGAGATATTTAAAGCAGTGCTGATAAATTCATTTCTTTTGTGCTTATTCTAAAAAATAAAGTTTTAAAAATCTATTTCAACTTTTAAAAACTAGAAAAAGGATAGCAATGTAAATAAGAAAAAGGACATAATAATGACAAGGGCAAAAATAAGGAAATAAAAAAACAGACTGTACCCGAGAGAGAGAAGGAACATAGATTTTCAATATCAGAAATGAAAGAGAAGTATACTACAGATGCTAATGAAAACTAATAGGAAAATATCACCAACATAAAATAGTGAAATACCTTGAAAAATACATCTCACCCAATCTGACTCAAAAAATAAAAAATGTAAATAGCCCTATATCTATCAAGAAATTAAATTCATAATTAAAATTATAAGCATATATTAAAATTCAGAATTTAAAACCTTCTAATTTATTTTCAAACATTGGTATTTTAATAATACAATTTCTATCAATAACACCAACTTTACATCATCTCTTTCAGAATTCCAATAAGTATACAAAATGTGGCTCAATATTGTTAGCCATTCCTCTAAGTGTAAATTACAACCAGAAATCATACCAGTTCCTACCCATTATAATAGCTAAAATTAAAAAGACTGACAATTCTCAGTGTTAGTAACAATGTGTAGCAAGTGGACGTCTCCTAGATTCTGTTGGGAGTGTGTAAAACCACTTTTGAAAATAGTGTGACAATTTTTATATAGTTATATGTCACTTAAAAATGGGAATACATTCTGAGAAATATATCATTAGGTGATTTCCTTATTGTGAGAACATCATAGAGTATATGTATGTGCACACCTAGATGATATAACTTACTACACACCTAGGCTAAATGGTACATCCAAACATAGAAAAAGTACAGTAAAACTGTAAGTATAAAGTTTTAAAGACGGTGTACCTGTATAGAGCACTTACCATGAACAGAGCTTGCAGGACTGGCAGTTGCTCTGGGTGAGTCAGTGAGTGACTGGTGAATGAATGTGAAGGCCTAGGACTCACTGTACACTAAAGAGACTTTATAAATACTATACACTTAGCCTACATTAAATCTATTTTTTAAAAATTTCAGGCCCAGCATGGTGGCTCAGCACTTTGGGAGGCCAAAGCAGGAGGGTTGCTTGAGGCCAGGAGTTTGAGACGAGCCTGGACAACATAATGAGACCTCATGTCTACTAAAAATAAAAGAATTAGACAGGCTGGTTGGCGCTTGCCTGTAGTGCCAGATACTGGAGAGACTGAGGTGAAAAGATCCTGTGAGTCCAGGAGTTTGAGCTTGCAGTGAGCTATGATCATGACACTGCACTCCAGCCTGGGTGACAGAGCAAGACCCTGTCTCAAAACAAACAAACAAACAAACAAACAGCAACAACAAAAAGAAGTTCTTTCTTCAATAACATATTAACTTTAGCTTACTGTAACATTTTTACTTTATAAATTTTTAATTTTTTTAGCTTTTAGACTTTCGCAATAACACTTAGCCTAAAACACAAACACACGGTACAGCTGTACAAAAACATTTTCTTTCTTTATATCCTTATCCTATTTTTAAAATGTTTCTTTTTCACTTTTAAAACTTTTTTGTTAAAAACTAAAACAAAAATACACATATTAACCTAGGCCTACACAGGGTCAGGATCATCAAGACATCATGGGGCAATAGGAAATTTTCAGCTCCCATGTAATCTTATGTGACCACCATCCTATATGCAGTTCATTATTGACAAAAACGTCATGGTGTGGCCTATGACTGTAGTCAAATATGAATTTCCCATGTAACTGAGCAACTCTACTCTTCATCATTTACCCAGGAAAGAAAACATTTTGCCAAAGTATTAGATGAAGAGTCATTTTCTATGAAGAATAAGTATTCAATAACCATTTCCAGCGTTCCCCACTATTATCCTGGACTAGATGAATATAAAAGATATATTATCTGCCTTATGGAAACTGCCTTCTAAGATTAAAAAATAATCAAAATATACTTGAATTTCAAAAATTTAAAATCCACTTTGAATTGTACTTGCACAAGTTTTCATTTTTACATAATAGATCTAACTAGTTAGGGAGCTGTTTCTTTCTTGATGGCCTATCCAAGAAATAATTTTCTTTAATTTCTAGGCTCTTGAAATGATTGATGAATCTATAGAAGAGCTTTCTGTGCTGGTTCTCAGTGAATCACCAGAAAGACTCATGAGTTTCTTTTAACATTTCAAAGCTATTCAAAAGTGCAGTCCAATTTGGTAATTGAAAGAGTGATTATTCTCTTTGTGAATTATATAGCTTCTCTGTTTCTCTTATTCTTTGGTTATTTTATCCCCACTTGTCTGTTTCTCCATTGGAAAAGAGGCTTGGACACTAGAAGAAAGCCAGGTCATAGTTAAGTAAATATGTTTACTTGGCAAATACCTCAATTTGTGGGGAGAAATGAACACTGTAGTTTAAATAATGGTTTTAGAATTATCTTAAACTTTTTTTATGACAAGCTTCGTATCTTGACACTACTGATGTGGGGTGTGTGTATGTTGGGGTGGGGGAGGAAAGAGAGATGGTTATGATAAACAGTAGACTCAATAGTTCGAACATAAAACATAAAACTAGTTTTATTTTTAAAAACTGTTACTTGTCAAAGTAGACTTTTTTTTCTCCTGTTTAACATGCTACCTCTTAGTCATGGAGTAGCTATGAGCACAACCAATGTCATTCTTTAAAAAATTATTCCAATGGGGGCAATACTGGTCTTGGGAAGGAAAGCCTACACTTGATGCAATAATATATGGTTAACAAATTCACAATTGAGTGACTTTTCTTGCAGCTGTGGTTCAAATTATAGACATTTCAGATGTTTAATGGTGACTTTAATTTACTGTGAGGAAGTGTATGATGAGCATCTGGAAGGACATGATTTTACTTTAATCATTTTGATTTAGGTGATAGTAATTACAAGTATCATCATGGTCTGTAGAGAAAACATTGGTTTTACTGTTACCTGCCAGGACTTGTTTCCATCCTTTACCAGGGCATTTTTTTCTTGGACCAGGAGGAGTTAAATCATCATTCTGAAATTTCCTTTGCTACTTAAGTGCCTGGCATGATCATGGATTCATAATAATGGAACAAATTGATGAGTTTACTTAGCCAAAATGACTACGGTTTAAAAGATTAGGAATAATGGTGTTTAAGTTAACTGGGAAAAGCAGTGTTAATCTGCCCCAGAAACTTTACAGCTAAGTAGATGCAGCAATTTGAAAGACCTTGAAGTAACATAAACTGCTTCTGACTGTGCAGGTAGTTTTAGGAAAAGTTTCACTAAGTGCTTAGCCAAGAAGGCATTAAGTATGGAATGAGGCAAAAGCCTTTCTCTTAGCTCTTCAGTCATTCTATTTCCTGTTTTAACAAATACAAAAAAGAGACTTAAACTCAACAACAAAATATCTCAGCTAACTAAGAGGTTTTTCAACCCAGAGGGACTATTCAGAAGATAGGAATAAACATACTTCAATATGGAGACATCATTAAGCATATGTAGCACATGGCAGATATCAATAATATTTATTGAATGAATATATGAAAATACCACCAATCAAAACTTTATTAGAAGTCAGTTGTTGAACAGCTACTAGATTGTAAATTTATCTTACAAATATGAGAATCATGGTTTAAAAAATATGTGGAATCCCCTAAAGACTACTTCTCCATTGAAAAGATCCAATTCTGTTCTTGGCTCAGCTAATATCGTTCTTCTGGGCTCTCTGCCTCTTATATTTTTTTATCTGTAATATGGGGGCCACAGCATATTTTCTTTCTACATCACTAAGTTGTGGTGAAGATCACTTGAGCAAATAGCAATGTGTCAGAAACTGAAGAGAGTTGAAAGATGTAGTGTTTTCTATATTATTCTATTTATGTTTTCCTAGGTACTCCCTTTTCTCTTGTTCCTCTCCCACATAAATACTGCTGATAGGGGCAGGAGGCAGACATATCCCTAGGCAGATGAGGCGGGTTTCTGGTGAAACCCCACCTTCAAACCAAAGACACTTTAAAGCCTGAAAGCCAAGCTACAAGTCTTGATAAATCAATGGACCAGATTCAGAATCTCTCTTCCCGTGTGGCGCACTTTCCTCTGATAGATCTCTGCCCTTCTCCTATTTTACATATACCTACCCTTCCCTAGCTGGGTTTTTACACTGTCATACCCATCTTTGAGTGCTGTCTTTGTTTTAGCCTTTTTTGCATACTCACAAATCAATCAGCATGCACTCCCTTATTCTGAGCCCCTAAAAACCCCGGATTCATCCACACTTTGGGACTGCCCGCCTTTAGGTGGGAAGAGACCACCCAACTTCGGAGAGGGGGCTGCACTCTGGGGTCCTCTCTCTGCTGAGACCTGTCGCTCAGTAAAACTCTCCTCACCTTCGGTTGTCAGGGTAACCTCTTTATTCTTGGAAGTGAAACAAGAACTCGGGACCTGCCAAAATTGAGTACCAGAAAGGCTGTAACACTGTAGCCCTCCACCCTCTGCCAGAGGTGGGAAGCCATCCCACATTACGCGAAGACACCCCACATCACGGGAAGCCGTGGCAGGGCTAGGCCAGCCCCAGAGCCGTGGTCAAGAACAGGGCCACGGGACTAAAAGAGCTGTTAGCACACTGTAAAACACCCCCCTGGGCTTCACGGTTGCTGGCATCCCTGTTCAGGTGACACAGCATTCCCCTCGTCCAGACTCCACGCCCAAGGCAGAAGCAGGTTGTGGCATACCCAGCCCAGCTGCGGGCTGAGCGCGGATCCCGTGGCGAGTGTGGGATCTGCGCAGGAGTGCAAGCCAGGCGCAGTTCACTGGGCTGGGTGGAGAGGGTACCTCCTGTGGTGAGTCCGGGGCTGAGCCAGGCACAGGCAGGGGCATCACTGGCCATGGAGGTCTCCAGCTGGTGACGTGGCTCTGAGAAAAATCCTGCACAACTGCTAAAGGTATTTGAGATCCAGGCAGTGTGCTTTTTTCTGGACGTTATAAATAAGCCATGCTTTTGGTCCTGAGGTCACTCAGAGGTTATACTCAATTATTCCAGAGTCAATTAGGCCCAGTCCTGTTTAGCTAGGTTTGCTCTCTCTTGGGCTGTTTCTCTTGAAGCAATTTTTCTCCATATTAGAACCTCTCTCTAAGGATACATAGCAGAAATTAAAGAATGCCAACATCATATTTTCTTAGAGTTTAAAAAAAGGCATTAGGGACCTCAGCACAGACCGTCCTGTTACCTAAGCATAAGGTCACACAAAGTTCCTTGGTCATGAGAGACCACATCTACATATAGCAAAGCTGAGTACAGTGAGCCGAGATCGCGCCACTGCACTCCAACCTGGGCGACAGCGAGACTCTGTCTCAAAAAAAAAAAAAAAAAAAAAAAAGCTGAGTATTCCCCAGCTCCCTATCCAGTGCTTTTTTCATGACTCCAGTCTAATTAGTCTGGTAAAGATGCTTTTGGCATAGAGGAGTTGAAGGTCTTAGTTGAAGTGGGGGTAATCTTTTTGCCCTGTCTTTTCTACCATCTTTGCCTGGGTATTTGATAGGTGACTTTGAATGTGGAGTCTCAGAACCTGTAGTGAAGATTTTTAAAACTATGAACTCTGCAGGTCCCGGTTTTGTCCTTTAGTTCATTATTTGGAATCCATAAAACACAGATTCTATGAAGAGAAACTCCTAATGCCAGATGCTTTTAGTGGTTAGGTTATTATTATTTTTTAAAGTAGCAACTTCCAGACTCTAGTCAAAGTATATCCTGGACTTATAAATTATGGAATTTGTACTTAAGTACAAATTTATTTTGTACTTTTTTGTTTATTTTACGGAAATTTGAACTAAATATTCCCCAGGTAAAGGTATCATGATGGATGGAGGTCTCCCAACATAATTTCCTCCTTATCCAATTAGTCTACCAATCCTGCTAATCCCGTTCACCCTGCCAGTGCCTGGTTTAGGAAAAGCATGTGATCTGATTGTAACCAATGATCCATTAAGGAAGGTCTGCTAGGTGGGGTTGGGAATTATGGGAAAGATTTCCTTGCTCCTAAAAAGTTAACAAGGAAGACATGGCCCATTTTCTTTCTCTAGACACAGTTATATCCGGATGTGATGCCTAGAACTGCTACAGCCATCCTGATGTCTGCCTGAGAATGAACCCGACCAGAAAGCATTGTAGACCCAAAGTGGGTGTTAGAGAGGTAGAGACAGAGACCTGAGAAACTGTGTCTTTGGGAAATAATTATTTTAACCTGTTTAATAGAAGTTTTCTGTTAACTGCAGCTGAAGGCATTCTAATTGAAAATGTGGGTGACAGAAATTCTAACTTTATCCTTGATAACCCACCCTCACACCCTCATCTCTGAAAATGCTTTGAAAAATAGTTTGCTGATACATGGCCATTCTCTGTGAATTTCTCTCTAAGGAAATGTGGCTCTCAGAACACAGAAATAAAAATTATTTATAAAGACCCTTCCTAGATAATCTACTCTGCTTCAGGTGGGTTGGATAAAGGATAGAATTAGTTCAGGTATTAGAGAGAAAAGTCAACCAACAAGCCTATTAAGTGTCTACTTGTGCCCAGTATTTTACCCAAAACTTAATCGAGTAGATAAATTATTTGTATTTTTTCTTGAGAAAGATTGTTCATACTTGATTATTAGTTTCTAAAGAAAGTATTCTTAATTCCAAGCCTAATAGCTCTTATGTCATTAGTTTCTAGTGCAGAGAAATGTACTTGATGAATTTGTGTTGACTTTTTTTTTTGCTAGCCAATATGAAGGTTGCCAGTCCCTGCCAAAATCAGCACTAAAACTATTTTTCATGAGTAATAACAATAATATTCTTTTTTAAATAGCACCTTTAACCCAAAAATCTTAAGCCTATATAAACATTCACTCAACAATACACTCAAAATCTCAGTATTTGGTTGATGGGGAAATTAACCTAGATGCAAGAACATGGAAATAAAGATAGAGCCTAGAATACTGACTCACAATAGTCTTTCAGTCTATTGTCCCCACCTAACTATTCAAGAAAAATAAAAAGTACAGCGGCTTCAGCAGTATAAACACCTAAGCTTTTCCATCCCCAGCTGATGATTCATTATTTCCCTTTTCCTGCTGTTTAAAATTATTTTTTATTTTTATTACATTTTATTTTTGACAGTGAGACATCTACATGTCAAAGGGTAAGGAAATTGAGCTGGTTAAAACTATCTAAATTTCTTGCATCTGCAAAAAATGACTTGGCAATATTTGAGGAGTGACGTTTCTTTAGATACTTACAGAGCTTCCTGTTGGGCTAAAGTATTGTCAAAACAATTTTTTTCTTGGTTCTTAAGTAATTCTCTTTATAAATTGAAAGGGAAGAGAAATTGGAATCAAATTTTATAAGAATAAGAAATAATAATGCATTAACTTTCCAATATTCTGAAGTTCACCAGATTATGAGGAAAGCTTTGAACTCCACGATTTGGGACTTAGGATAAGCAGAAGCTAGGTAGAAGTCCATCTTTGACCAACAATATAAATTTTTAAGAAAATTTAGTGACCAGGGGTAGTGGCTCATGCCTGCAATCCCAGCACTTCGGGAGCCTGAGATGAGTGGATTGCTTGAGGTTAGGAGTTGGAGACAAGTCCGGGTAATATGGCAAAACCCCGCTTCTACCAAAAGTGTTCAAATTAGCTGGGCATGGTGGCACACATCTGTAGTCCCAGCTACTCGGGAGGCTGAGGTAGGAGGATTGCTTGAGCCTGGAAGGTCAAGACTGCAGTGAGCTGTGATTATGCCATTCATTGCACTCCAGCCTGGGTGACAGAATGAGACCCTGTGATATAGTTTGGCTGTGTCCTCACTCAAATCTCTCATTGAACTGTAATAATCTCCACCTGTTAAGGGTGGGGCCAGGTGGAGATAATTGAATCATGGAGGTGGTTTCCCCCATACTGTTCTTGTGGTAGTGAATAAGTCTCACGAGATCTGATGGTTTTATAAATGAGAGTTTCCCTGCAAAAGCCTTCTTGCCTGCCCACCATGTAAGACTTGACTTTGTTCCTCCTTTGCCTTCCAGCATGATTGTGAGGCCTCCCCACCCACATGGAATGGTGAGTCAACTAAACCTCTTTATAAATTACCTGGTCTTGGGTATGTCTTTATTAGCAGTGTGAGAACAAACTAATACACCCTATACCCCAAAAATTTTTTAAAAAGGAAAAAAAAGAAAATTCATAGTAAAACTAAGATTTTATGATATTGTATTTGACAGATGACAAACTTTTTGAATACAAACAAATGAAAATTAACAAGCTAATTATAAATTAGCAATTTTCCTTATTAAAGTAAATTCATTAGGGTCTTGACGTGACAACATTTAGATGAATCCATTGTTGGCAATTGATGATTACTCTAAATTCCTAAAGACTTGGAATTGAAAGATCCTCACAGAAATTAGTAAGAATGCATTTTTTAAAGGTAATTTTACTTATTCAGTTTTAGTACTCTTCCATTGGGGTCTATGTTAGCCAGGGGTCTGAGTCAGTCTATAAAGCATCATGTGAACACGGCCGGTCAGCTCTCAGAAGGCAGTTTCACAGTGAAGATCTTACTAAAATATCCCCATCACATTTTCCTGCTGCTGAGTTCACAAAGAGAGCACAGAGGCAAATGTGGGTTTTCCTTTAGTTTACATTTTCAGCCTTCCATCAATAACTCTCAGCCATCCTTGTCAGGGACCTACACTGAAGCTGTGATTTCATAAATTGCATAAAAGGATTCATTAATGCTGAAGTTTAATATGAAAATCAACATATCACAGGAAACATTCTAGATTTAGTAGGTGGTGCCACTTACAATTTAGTGGAATGCCAAATCATATGTTTTATTGGAGATATACTTTATTTCTTTTTTATATTAGGCAAGATCTGTCCATCTGTTATTCTGGTTGTTAAACTTGCTCTGAAATAATAACTGACAGGTAATTTCTAATTTTCAAGGAACTTTATTATTACATCGAATGCTCACAACTGCCCTATGAAATAACTTGGAAAAACATTATTATCCCCACCATTGTCACTTGCCCTTGGTGGCTCAGCTGTTTAGCTGGCATTAGAATCCAGTCTCCTGATTTTTTATCCATTGATCTTTTTTTCTCCATCATTGTAACTTTCTTACAATCCTGAAATATGTGTGGATTATCCCTCACCTAACTCATTTATGTTAAAATATTGTCACTATCATCTTTATTTTCCTGTACTTCCTCCGTAAGAACTGAATCACCACATAAATCCCCATTTCTAGGCATAATATCTCTTTAGTGTTGCTATAAATTATTCAATAGATTTATCCTGCTTCTCAAAGGCTGATAAGCTTCATTGTGGAGATCATCTCTCCGCTGCATGCTATTATTGTTACCCCACTGGAACAAGTCTGCATGAAAAATCCCTTATAAAATCTTTATAATCTGAAATTGCTATAAATTACCCAATTCAGGAAGGAGAAAATAATAAAACATATCCACACCATACCCAGATTTTTGAAATGGTTGAGCCAACTTTACTACTCTACCATGGAAGAAATCCAAAGATCAACAAACCCAGGCCCTCTGTAAGTCTCTTCATTATTATGTCTCTGCTATCACAAAGTATGTTATCTGGCATCAAAATTACATTAATACTGTATTCACATTGCTCTTGCAAGAAACAAATACTTCTTTGTGTCTGAATTTTCCACATGGTTGCCCTGATGAAACATATGCCATTGGAGGACAAATATATTGATGCAAGTGAAAAAGAGCAATTTAATTCCAGAACCTAGTTAGAGATAAAAGATGCCATCTCCTTATTTCCTGAAATGCAGCTTATATAAAATGCCACACTGGGCTTAATTTGTGGAGAAAAAGCATGCTGCAACTTCATAACTGACAATTTTTCTAACTTGACATTTTGTTCATTCCAAAAATGCTGAACCAAATTGTGGGCAACTTCTTCCCACCACTTCTGGCAAACCCATTCAGTAACTCTTAATGTTATTATTGAAGATGAATGAGCCACCCAAGCTTTTAGAAACTCAATTCCAAAAAAATCTCTATAAGATTTTGGTACAAATGCAAAGAGCCAAATTTTGAAATTTCCTGGATCTGCAAAAATATTTTTTCCTGGGAGGACTTGCAGTGCTTCCTTTCTGGTTAAGCTGTGATTCTACAAACTTTCCTTGAAAACTGTGGTACTCCTGCCAGAAATTGAAGAATAAAAGGAAGAAACTGTAAACCCTTAAAAATAGTTATCTAGAATAATTATCAGTAAGTACAGATTTCATTGAGTAATTACTTGCTGGAACACTTGTTCTAAAAGGAGAGATTTTTGCAAAAGAATAAGATTATTTCATTCTCAATCAGCACATCTAAGCCACTCAGCTTCCACATTTCAGACTGAAGCTGAGGTAACTCTTTCCCAAATACTTGATGAAAAGTGAAAAACTAAAACAAGTTTCAACAGTTATGCAGGGCACAATCTGAATGAGTTCAGAAGATTTGTGTCTTATTATTTTTATTGAATTTACTTGTAACAGTATACAAGTTTAGACATAGACTTGGATATTTCCACAGGGTCTGGAAGAAACAGCATACTGGCCCTGAAATGCTGATATGACATTCATTCTCTGAAAATAGCACACACCTCTTCCATCATCATGCAGCCCAGTTCCCGATGTATATAGGGCAATTCATAAATAATGAATGGATGAATAAATAGGAATAGAGTGTTTGCTGTTTGGTAAATTGTGCCTTCCTTCTCTTGGGAGACATAACCATTCATTTTCATACAGAGAGCCCTTGAAAAAATAATTTGAGCTTGATGCTAAGGGTCAAATGAGAGTTAGGAGAAGTGGAGCAAAGGATGCAAACAGTGCTAGTCATACCTTAACTAAACTGGTAGTCGTTTCCTATTCCTACTTTGGAATTTGTCTCCACATTAGTTCTCTTTAAGGAAAAATAACAGGAAATTCATGCTTTAACTGTTACTTAAAAACTAAAATGAAATGAACCAAAAGAAACAACAACACCACCACCAAAACAATCCTAGACCTTAACCCTTTTCTGGAATTTGAAAGTTGGTCTTGAAATACTTTGGTTCACAGCATTTTGAAGTTGAACAGAAGCACACTATATCCTGGGTTAGAAGGACTTTTGCAGGTTTGCAGAAGGTTTTTATATATCCAGCAGATAAAAGTCTCTCTTTGGTAATATTTGCCAGCCCATCTGATCTCTCCCCATGTGCAGAATTCCCATTGGCTTTACAGGGATTTTGACTAGAAGTAAGACGTAAAATCCCAGATCCCACCAAGCACTTAGAACAAAGGAACACATTTTTGTTCTACTTTGACTTCCTAGTTACAAATATTTTCTAACTTGTTAGAATCAATTAAGAGGTAAATTATATCATGTTAAAAGAAGAAAATGGAAGAATCTAATGGATCTTAAGTGTCACAATTCAAGCACGTCGGAATGAGTCTTCTGATCCAAATTGGGTTTGTGGCTGGTCAAGCAACAACAAAGAGGGAGGAGTAAAATATAAATAGCTCTGTATAATAAAAAGAGGTAAATTACTGTATGACCAGAGTTACTAATTGTAGGATAATATGTGACTGACAACAATGGTTTTGCTTTATAGACAGAATTAGGTATGAGGCTTATGTCATTGTTAGTAGTAATTGAGGTTGGAGAGACTCAGGGAAGGGCTGCTAGGAGAGAAAGAGGAATTTGCCAAATCTATTGAATACCTATTACAGGTCTACTATAGTCACTGTATTAATAGTTCAAGAACAAATTATACAGAGATGTAATTGTTTATAAACACAGTTTCATCCTATGCTTTGTCTCATTTTAATTTTTTAAAACTTTTTAAAAATTTCAGTAGTTTTGGGGGAACAGGTGATGTTTCATTACATGGATAAGTTCTTTAGTGGTAATTTCTGAAATTTTGGTGCACCCATCACCCAAGCAGTGTACACTGTACCCAACGTCTAGTCTTTCATCCCTCATCCCCCTCCCATTCTTCCCTCTGAGTCCCCAAAGTTCATAATTCTTATGCCTTTGAATCCTCATAGCTTAGCTCCCACTTACAAGTGAGAACATATACTGTTTGGTTTTCCGTTCCTGAGTTACTTCAGTTAAAATAGTGGTCTCCAATTCCATCCAGGTTGCTGAGAATGCCATTATTTAATTCCTTTTTATGGCTGAGTAGTATTCCATAGTATATACATACCACATTTTCTTTATGCACTCATTGATTGATGGGCATTTGGGCTGGTTCCATATTTTTGAAATTGAAAATCACATTGCTATAAACATGCATGTGCAAGTGTCTTTTTCATATAATGACTTCTTTTCCTCTGGGTAGATGCCTAGTAATGGGATTGCTGGGTCAAATGCTAGATCTACTTTGAGTTCTTTAAGAAATCTCTATACTGTTTTTCATCATGGTTGTACTAGTTGACATTCCCATCAGCAGTGTAAAAGTGTTCCCTTTGCATCACATCCATGCCAACATCTGTTGTTATTTTTATTTTTTAATTATGGCCATTCTTGCAGGAGCAAGGTGGTATCGCATTGTGGTTTTGATTTGCATTTCCCTAGTAATTAGTGATGTTGAGCATTTTTTCATATGTTTGTTAGCCATTTGTATATCTTCTTTTGAGAATTGTCCATTCATGTCCTTTGACCACTTTTTAATGGAATTATTTCTTTTTTCTTGCATATTTGTTTGAGTTCCTTGCAGATTATGGATATTAGTCCTTTGTTGGATGCATAATTTGCAAAAATTTTCTCCTACTCTGTGGATTTTCTGTTTACTCTGTTGTTTATTTCTTTTTCTGTGCAGAAGCTTTTTAGTTTAATTAAGTCCCATCTGTTTATGTTTGTTTTTATTGCATTTGCTTTTGGGTTCTTGGTCATGAACTCTTTGCCTAAGCCAATTTCTAGAAGAGTTTTTCCCATGTTATCTTCTAGAATTTTTATGGTTCTTGTCTTAGATTTAAGTCTTTGATCCATCCTCAGTTGATTTGTGCGTACAGTGAGAGATGAAGATCCAGTTTCATTCTTCTACGTGTGGCTTGCCAATTATCCCAGCACCATTTGTTGAATAGGCTGTCCTTTCACCACTTTATGCTTAGGAATAGGCACACAGACCAATGGAACTAATGGACAGAGCCCCCCAACCCCCAAGTCAAAAGAATTGAGGTTTATTCCCCGTCTTGTCTTTAATGCACTGGGGGCCTTTGGTGATTAGTGGACAACTTCAGCCTGCATATCAACTGGAGCACTAAAGGGCTTACTCATATACACTAACTCAAGTTCAAAAACTGGCTATTGTTGAGGAAGAGCCAAACAAGTTGCAATTGAATTAACACTTAATGCATTCAAGTGGCTCGTTATAAAGCCCAAATAGTTGTAAGATTTAACTCTTGATATACTAGTTATCATGGTTGTGTGATATTTTTTCCTGTCTGCTAAAGTTAATTGTCATCTATAAAACTCTAAACTTACATCCTTTTATTCTTTGTCTAGAAATTATCTCAGGAAATTAACCTATATAAATTCTGGCTATAAACAATGTTCACCATAATGTTATTTATAATGGCTCCCAAATTTAAAGGACCATAAATATCCACAAATGTGATATTTGTTAAATAAAGTTGAAATAAGATATAATGGGAGATGACCTTTTATTATTATTAATTTTTACTTTTCAAATTTTAAATTGAAGAATTATAGATGTATATATTTATGGATTACAAAGTAATGTTATGATTTATGAATAAACGTGGAATAATTAAAACTAATTAACATATCTATCACCTGAAATGTTTATTTTTTTGCGGTGACAACATTTAAAATTTACTCTCTTAGTGATTCTGGAATGTATAATACATCATGTTTTATGATATTCACCATGCTGTGCAATATATCTCAAAGGAAAAAAATCCTTATTAGTCCTATTTGAGGCTTTCTGCCCTTTCACCATCATCTTCCCTTCTCTCCCACCCTCCCAGCCTCTGGTAGCCACCATCCTACTCTCTGCTTATTTGTGTCTGATTATCTTAGATTCCATGTTTGAGCACATGTGCTATTTGTCTTTCTGTGCCTAGCTTATGTGGGAGATGATTTTTTTTTAATGAAAAAATGCCAGCAAAAATGGTAGTAGGAAACTCGAAGGGCCCATCGCTCAATAGAAACCCCGAAAAGACTAGAAAACACTGTCAGAATCAACTTTGTCAGAACTCTGAAAAATTATCAGACTTAAAGCAGCCAAGCAAATGCTTAACCAAAAAAGGGGTAACTAAAACCTGGTAAGAGAGCTTTGTGGCATTTTAACTTACCTTTGTTTCCACCCCCTCTAGTGCGATGGCATTGAAGATGACAATCCAGTTCCTGATGTGTGTTCCTCGTGATGGTGGGAGCAAAGTGAATTTTGTTTTCAAATAACTGTCATTGTCAGTTTTGACCTATCAAGTGGCTCCCTGAAACACTAACACAGAAAGCATGCCTCTATTGTGCTTAACTTGGAACTCTCTCAGGGTTGAGAAATGGCTATGAAACTGAACAGCTACTGTCACTTAGGGCAAAGGAGATCAGTTGGGGTAAACAATAGACACACTGAAAAGCCTGGGAAGAAAAGCTGGGTAGTAAGATGTTTTGGAGTATAAAGACTTCAAAAAGGTTTTTAAAATTATGGAAATTTAGTCATACGCATGCCCAGGATGGGCACATACTCCTAATATATCTGAGAACATCCTAAGCTTTTACCTCTGGCTGACCTTCAAGTTCCACATAGGCAGGAAATGAAGGCAAAGGCAGAGTTGTAAACTTTCCAGCTGAATAGTTAAAGTGTGCACTAACATAAACACAAATACACACAGAGCTCAGTTCCAAAAGACTAGAAGGCTTCATTTGTTTGTTTTGTGTTCGTGTGTGTGATTCCAAGTGTTTAAGGAAATCTGTCAAGTCACTAGCTAACCACTAAGTTAATAGAATAGAGATTTTAGAGACCACACATGACAAAGAATATAGTCTTTACAAAAATGGTTTAGAAAATTGACTTAACAAATAAATATAACCCACCACAAGTAGCAACAAGAAACCCTGGGAAAGGGGGAGAGTCTGATTTCTAGATTTCCCATATTATAATATTCAAAATGCCCTGTTTTTTTTTGTTTGAAATTATGAGGCATGCAAAGAAACAAGAAAGTATGGCCCATTCACAGGAACAAAAGAAATTAACAGAAACTATCCCTGAGGAAGCCCAGCCATTGGACTTAATACACAAAGCTTTTAAAGCAATTGTCTTAAATATGCCCAAAGAGTTAAAGAAAGCCATGGACTAAGAACTAACAAAAATTGAGATTAATTCTCAATAAACATAGAATATCAATAAGGAGCTAGAGCTTATAAAAAGGAACCAAATGGAAATTCTGGAGATGAAAAGTACAATAACTGAAATGAAAAATTCACTAGAGGGACTCAGTAGCAGATCTGAGCAAGCAAAAGAAAAAGTAAATTTGAAAGTAAGTTAATGGAAAGTATTCAGTTGGTGAGCAAGGGAAAAAAAGGAACAAGGAAAAATGAACGGCACCTCAGAGTGCCATGTGACACTATCAAGCTTACCAACATAAGTATAATGATGGACCAGGGGTAAGGGGAGAAAGGAACAAAAATAATATTTTAAAAAATAATGGCCAAAAATGTCCCAAATTTGATGAAAGACATAGATCTATACCTCCAAGTAGCTGAACAAACTCTAAATAGAATAAACTCAAAGAGTTTCACAGTCAGATACATTATAATCAAACTGTTCAAAGACAAAGAGTGTTTTCTAAAGCATTAAGAGGCAAGCAATTTGTTATGTACCGGGGATCCTCAATAGGATCAACAACTGGTATCTCATCGGAAACCATGGAGGCCAGAAGGCAGTGGAATGAGATATTTAAAGTGCTGAAAGAAAAAACTATCAGCTAAGAGAGCCATATCTAGAAAAACCATCCTTCAAAAGTGAAGGATATATTAGGGCATTTCCAGATAAAAGCTGAGGGAATTCATCACTCTGCTTATAGACCTGCCCTATAAGAAAATCCAAAATGAGTCCTTCAGGCTGAAATGAAGGGCACTAGATAGTAACTTGAAGCCATACAAATATATAAAGAACACTAGTAAAAAGAATTAAATATGTAAATATAAGAGCCAGTATTATTGTATTTTTGGTTTGTAATTCCTTTTTTAAATGACTTAAAAATCCACAAAACAATAATTATAAATCTATGTTCATAGACACACTACGTATAAAGATGTAATCTGTGATGATAACAAGACAAAGGGTAAGGGACAGAAGTATATAGGAGAGTTCTTTATCCGATTGAAGCTCAGTTGATATTAATTAAAACTATGTTGTTGTACATATAAGATATATAATTGTAATCCCTAGGGTAACCACTAAGAAAATACTTGTTTAAAGATAAAGAAAAGCAAAAGTAAAATCAAAACAGTGCACTAGGAAAAAAATCAGCTAAACACAAATGTAGGCAGTCATAGAGGAAA
Source organism: Homo sapiens (assembly GCF_000001405.40). Classification (NCBI taxonomy): domain Eukaryota; kingdom Metazoa; phylum Chordata; class Mammalia; order Primates; family Hominidae; genus Homo; species Homo sapiens. Next base: position 91,475,359 of record NC_000007.14, read on the forward strand.
TGAGGAACAAAAAAGATATAAGACATGTAGAAGACAAGTAGCAAAATGGCAGAAGTAGATCCTTCCTTATCATCAATTATTTTAAATGTAAATTGATTAAACTCTCCAATTAAGAGACAGAGATTGGCAGAAGGGATTTAAAAAAACTGACCCAACTTGTACTGTCTACAAAATACTCACATTAGATTCAAAGGAACAAATAGGTTGAAAGTGAAAGTATGGAAGAAATATATTCCTTGCAAACAGTAGCCAAAAGACAGTGGGACTTCTTATATTAATGTCAGATAAATTGATTTTAGGTCAAAATTGTTACAAGAGACAAAGAAGGATATTATATATAGACAATGTCAATATATCAAGAAGATATAACAATTATAAATTTATACCCACCTAACTACAGAGCCCCAAGATATATTAAGCAAAAATTGACATAATTGGAGGGAGAAATAGGAAATATTACTAATTGTTGGAGACTTCAATTCCCCACTTTCAACAGTGGGTGAAACAACTAGCCAGAAGATTAATAGGGATATAAAGGATTGGAAGAACACTATAAACCAACTAGACCTAATAGACATATACAGAACATGCCACACAACAACACATATGCACATACAACATTCTCCAGGATAGACCATATGTTAGGCTGCAAAATGAATATTAACAGATTTTAAAACATTGAAATTATAGGCCGGTTGTGGTGGCTCACACCTGTAATCCCAGCACTTTGGGAGGCTGAGGCAGGTGGACCACTTGAGGTCAGGAGTTCAAGACCAGCCTGGCCAACATGGTGAAAACCTGTCTCTACTAAAAATATGGAAATTAGCCAGGTGTGGTGGTGTACACCTGTAATTCCACCTACTTGGGAGGCTGAGGTGGAGGATCACTTGAACCCAAGAGGCGGAGCTTGCAGTAAGCCGAGATTGCACCACTGCACTCCAGCCTGGGTGACAGAGCAAGACTCCATGTTTTTAAAAAAAAAAAAAAAGAAAAAAAGGAAATTATACAAATTATCTTCTGTGACCAAAATGGAATAAAATTAGAAATCAATAATAGAAGGAAATGACACTTCACAAGTATATAGAAATTAACACAATCTTAAGCAACTACAATTACAATGGGAAATTAGAAAATACTTTGATATGAATGAGAATGAAAACATGATCCAAGGACTCTAATGGATTAAATATAACCACTAAAACGTATATGCAAGTATATGCATTGATATAGAAAAATGTTGGCCTGGTGCAGTGGCTCATGCCTATAATCCCAGCACTTTGGCAGGCTGAGGTGGGCAGATTGCTTGAGCATGGGAATTTTTTTTTTTTATACTTTGAGTTTTAGGGTACATGTGTACAATGTGCAGGTTAGTTACATATGTATACATGTGCCATGCTGGTGCGCTGCACCCACTAACTCGTCATCTAGCATTAGGTATATCTCCCATTGCTGTCCCTCCCCCCTCCCCCCACCCCACAACAGTCCCCAGAGTGTGATGTTCCCCTTCCTGTGTCCATGTGTTCTCATTGTTCATTTCCCACCTATGAGTGAGAACATGCGGTGTTTGGTTTTTTGTTCTTGTGATAGTTTACTGAGAATGATGATTTCCAATTTCATCCATGTCCCTATAAAGGACATGAACTCATCATTTTTTATGGCTGCATAGTATTCCATGGTGTATATGTGCCACATTTTCTTAATCCAGTCTATCATTGTTGGACATTTGGGTTGGTTCCAAGTCTTTGCTATTGTGAATAGTGCCACAATAAACATACGTGTGCATGTGTCTTTATAGCAGCATGATATATAGTCCTTTGAGTATATACCCAGTAATGGGATGGCTGGGTCAAATGGTATTTCTAGTTCTAGATCCCTGAGGAATTGCCACACTGACTTCCACAAGGGTTGAACTAGTTTACAGTCCCACCAACAGTGTAAAAGTGTTCCTATTTCCCCACATCCTCTCCAGCGCCTGTTGTTTCCTGACTTTTTAATGATTGCCATTCTAACTGGTGTGAGATGATATCTCATTGTGGTTTTGATTTGCATTTCTCTGATGGCCAGTGATGGTGAGCATTTTTTCATGTGTTTTTTGGCTGCAAAAATGTCTTCTTTTGAGAAGTGTCTGTTCATGTCCTTTGCTGACTTGTTGATGGGGTTGTTTGTTTTTTTTCTTGTAAATCTGTTTGAGTTCATGTAGATTCTGGATATTAGCCCTTTGTCAGATGAGTAGGTTGTGAAAATTTTTTCCCATTTTGTGGGTTGCCTGTTCACTCTGATGGTAGTTTCTTTTGCTGTGCAGAAGCTCTTTAGTTTAATTTGATCCCATTTGTCAATTTTGTCTTTTGTTGCCATTGCTTTTGGTGTTTTAGACATGAAGTACTTGCCCATCCTATGTCCTGAATGGTAATGCCTAGGTTTTCCTCTAGGGTTTTTATGGTTTTAGGTCTAACGTTTAAGTCTTTAATCCATCTTGAATTGATTTTTGTATAAGGTGTAAGGAAGGGATCCAGTTTCAGCTTTTTACGTACAGCTAGCCAGTTTTCCCAGCACCATTTATTAAATAAGGAATCCTTTCCCCATTGCTTGTTTTTCTCAGGTTTGTCAAAGACCAGATAGTTGTAGATATGCGGCGTTATTTCTGAGGGCTCTGTTCTGTTCCATTGATCTATATCTCTGTTTTGGTACCAGTACCATGCTGTTTTGGTTACTGTAGCCTTGTAGTATAGTTTGAAGTCAGGTAGTATGATGCCTCCAGCTTTGTTCTTTTGGCTTAGGATTGACTTGGTGATGCGGGCTCCTTTTTGGTTCCATATGAACTTTAAAGTAGTTTTTTCGAATTCTGTGAAGAAAGTCATTGGTAGCTTGATGGGGATGGCATTGAATCTATAAATTACCTTGGGCAGTATGGCCATTTTCATGATATTGATTCTTTCTACCCATGAGCATGGAATGTTCTTCCATTTGTTTGTATCCTCTTTTATTTCATTGAGCAGTGGTTTGTAGTTCTCCTTGAAGAGGTCCTTCACATCCCTTGTAAGGTGGATTCCTAGGTATTTTATTCTCTTTGAAGCAATTGTGAATGGGAGTTCACTCATGATTTGGCTCTCTGTTTGTCTGTTATTGGTGTATAAGAATGCTTGTGATTTTTGTACATTGATTTTGTATCCTGAGACTTTGCTGAAGTTGCTTCTCAGCTTAAGGAGATTTTGGGCTGAGACAATGGGGTTTTCTAGATATACAATCATGTCGTCTGCAAACAGGGACAATTTGACTTCCTCTTTTCCTAATTGAATACCCTTTATTGCCTTCTCCTGCCTGATTGCCCTGGCCAGAACTTCCAACACTATGTTGAATAGGAGTGGTGAGAGTGGGCATCCCTGTCTTGTGCCAGTTTTCAAAGGGAATGCTTCCAGTTTTTGCCCATTCAGTATGATATTGGCTGTGGGTTTGTCATAGATAGCTCTTATTATTTTGAGATACGTCCCATCAATACCTAATTTATTGAGAGTTTTTAGCATGAAGGGTTGTCGAATTTTGTTAATGGCCTTTTCTGCATCTATTGAGATAATCATGTGGTTTTTGTCTTTGGTTCTGTTTATATGCTGGATTACATTGATTCATTTGCGTATATTGAACCAGCCTTGCATCCCAGGGATGAAGCCCACTTGATCATGGTGGATAAGCTTTTTGATGTGCTGCTGGATTCGGTTTGCCAGTATTTTATTGAGGATTTTTGCATCAATGTTCATCAAGGATATTGGTCTAAAATTCTCTTTTTTGGTTGTGTCTCTGCCTGGCTTTGATATCAGGGTGATGCTGGCCTCATAAAATGAGTTAGGGAGGATTCCCTCTTTTTCTATTGATTGGAATAGGTTCAGAAGGAATGGTACCAGTTCCTCCTTGTACCTCTGGTAGAATTTGGCTGTGAATCCATCTGGTCCTGGACTCTTTTTGGTTGGTAAGCTATTGATTAATGCCACAATTTCAGTTCCTGTTAGTGGTCTATTCAGAGATTCATCTTCTTCCTGGTTTAGTCTTGGGAGAGTGTATGTGTCGAGGAATTTATCCATTTCTTCTAGATTTTCTAGTTTATTTGCATAGAGGTGTTTGTAGTAATCTCTGATGGCAGTTTGTATTTCTGTGGGATCGGTGGTGATATCCCCTTTATCATTTTTTATTGCATCTATTTGATTCTTCTCTCTTTTTTTCTTTATTAGTCTTGCTAGCAGTCTACCTATTTTGTTGATCCTTTCAAAAAACCAACTCCTGGATTCATTAATTTTTTGAAGGGTTTTTTGTGTCTCTATTTCCTTCAGTTCTGCTCTGATTTTAGTTATTTCTTGCCTTCTGCTAGCTTTTGAATGTGTTTGCTCTTGCTTTTCTAGTTCTTTTAATTGTGATGTTAGGCTGTCAGTTTTGGATCTTTCCTGCTTTCTCTTGTGGGTATTTAGTGCTATAAATTTCCCTCTACACACTGCTTTGAATGCGTCCCAGAGATTCTGGTATGTTGTGTCTTTGTTCTCGTTGTTTTCAAAGAACATCTTTATTTCTGCCTTCATTTCGTTATGTACCCAGTAGTCATTCAGGAGCAGGTTGTTCAGTTTCCATGTAGTTGAGCAGTTTTGAGTGAGTTTCTTAATCCTGAGTTCTAGTTGGATTGCACTGTGGTCTGAGAGATAGTTTGTTATAATTTCTGTTCTTTTACATTTGCTGAGGATAGCTTTACTTCCAAGTATGTGGTCAATTTTGGAATAGGTGTGGTGTGGTGCTGAAAAAAGTGTATATTCTGTTGATTTGGGGTGGAGAGTTCTGTAGATGTCTATTAGGTCCTCTTGGTTCAGAGCTGAGTTCAATTCCTGGGTATCCTTGTTAACTTTCTGTCTCAGTCATCTGTATAATGTTGACAGTGGGGTGTTAGAGTCTCCCATTATTAATGTGTGGGAGTCTAAGTCTCTTTGTAGGTCACTCAGGACTTGCTTTATGAATCTGGGTGCTCCTGTATTGGGTGCATATATATTTAGGATAGCTAGCTCTTCTTGTTGAATTGATCCCTTTATCATTATGTAATGGCCTTCTTTGTCTCTTTTGATCTTTGTTGGTTTAAAGTCTGTTTTATCCGAGACTAGGATTGCAACCCCTGCCTTTTTTTGTTTTCCATTTGCTTGGTAGATCTTCCTCCATCCTTTTATTTTGCGCCTATATGTGTCTCTGCATGTGAGATGGGTTTCCTGAATACAGCACACTGATGGGTCTTGACTCTTTATCCAGTTTGCCAGTCTGTGTCTTTTAATTGGAACATTTAGTCCATTTACATTTAAAGTTAATATTGTTATGTGTGAATTTGATCCTGTCATTATGATGTTAGCTGGTGATTTTGTTCAGTAGTTGATGCAGTTTCTTCCTAGTCTCGATGGTCTTTACATTTTGGCATGATTTTGCAGCGGCTGGTACCGGTTTTTCCTTTCCATGTTTAGTGCTTCCTTCAGGAGCTCTTTTAGGGCAGGCCTAGTGGTGACAAAATCTCTCATCATTTGCTTGTCTGTAAAGTATTTTATTTCTCCTTCACTTATGAAGCTTAGTTTGGCTGGATATGAAATTCTGGGTTGAAAATTCTTTTCTTTAAGAATGTTGAATATTGGCCCCCACTCTCTTCTGGCTTGCAGAGTTTCTGCCGAGAGATCCGCTGTTAGTCTGATGGGCTTCCCTTTGTGGGTAACCCGACCTTTCTCTCTGGCTGCCCTTAACATTTTTTCCTTCATTTCAACTTTGGTGAATCTGACAATTATGTGTCTTGGAGTTGCTCTTCTCGAGGTGTATCTTTGTGGCGTTCTTTGTATTTCCTGAATCTGAACGTTGGCCTGACTTGCTAGATTGGGGAAGTTCTCCTGGATGATATCCTGCAGAGTGTTTTCCAACTTGGTTCCATTCTCCCCGTCACTTTCAGGTACACCAATCAGACGTAGATTTGGTCTTTTCACATAGTCCCATATTTCTTGGAGGCTTTGTTCATTTCTTTTTATTCTTTTTTCTCTAAACTTCCCTTCTCGCTTCATTTCATTCATTTCATCTTCCATCGCTGATACCCTTTCTTCCAGTTGATCGTGTTGGCTCCTGAGGCTTCTGCATTCTTCACGTAGTTCTCAAGCCTTGGCTTTCAGCTCCATCAGCTCCTTTAAGCACTTGTCTGTATTGGTTATTCTAGTTATACATTCGTCTAAATTTTTTTCAAAGTTTTTAACTTCTCTGCCTTTGGTTTGAATTTCCTCCTGTAGCTCGTAGTTTGATCGTCTGAAGCCTTCTTCTCTCAACTCGTCAAAGTCATTCTCCATCCAGCTTTGTTCCATTGCTGGTGAGGAACTGCGTTCCTTTGGAGGAGGAGAGGCTCTCTGCTTTTTAGCATTTCCAGTTTTTCTGCTCTGTTTTTTCCCCATCTTTGTGGTTTTATCTACTTTTGGTCTTTGATGATGGTGATGTACAGATGGGTTTTTGGTGTGGATGTCGTTTCTGTTTGTTAGTTTTCCTTCTAACAGACAGGACCCTCAGCTGCAGGTCTGTTGGAGTTTGCTAGAGGTCCACTCCAGACCCTGTTTGCCTGGGTATCAGCAGCGGTGTTTGCAGAAGAGCGGATTTTCATGAACCGCGAATGCTGCTGTCTGATCGTTCCTCTGGAAGTTTTGTCTCAGAGGAGTACCCGGCCATGTGAAGTGTCAGTCTGCCTCTACTGGGAGGTGCCTCCCAGTTAGGCTGCTCAGGGGTCAGGGACCCACTTGAGGAGGCAGTCTGCCCATTCTCAGATCTCCAGCTGTGTGCTGGGAGAACCACTGCTCTCTTCAAAGCTGTCAGACAGGGACATTTAAGTCTGCAGAGGTTACTGCTGTCTTTTTGTTTGTCTGTGCCCTGCCCCCAGAGGTGGAGCCTACAGAGGCAGGCAGGCCTCCTTGAGCTGTGGTGGGCTCCACCCAGTTCGAGCTTCCTGGCTGCTTTGTTTATCTAAGCAAGCCTGGGCAATGGTGGGTGCCCCTCCCCCAGCCTCCCTGCCACCTTGCAGTTTGATCTCAGACTGCTGTGCCAGCAATCAGCAAGACTCCCTGGGCATAGGACCCTCCGAGCCAGGTGTGGGATATAATCTCCTGGCGCGCTGTTTTTTAATCTGTCAGAAAAGCTCAGTATTCGTGTGGGAGTGACCCGATTTTCCAGGTCCCGTCTGTCACCCCTTTATTTGACTAGGAAAGGGAACTCCCTGACCCCTTGCACTTCCCAAGTGAAGCAATGCCTCTCCCTGCTTCAGCTCGCACATGGTGCGCTGCACCCACTGTCCTGCGCCCACTGTCTGGCACTCCCTAGTGAGATGAACCTGGTACCTCAGATGGAAATGCAGATACCACCGGTCTTCTGCATCGCTCACGCTGGGAGCTGTAGACCAGAGCTGTTCCTGTTCGGCCATCTTGGCTCCTCCCCTGAAAATTGAGCATGGGATTTTAAGAGCAGCCTAGGCAACGTAGCAAGACCCTGTCTCTAAAATAAATAAATAAATAAATAAATAATAAACTGAAAATATATGTAATTTTTTTAGTGTTGACATTACATCAAGTTTAAAAAGAAAAGGTCCAGCTGCAAAATATAGGTGTGTACAGAAGGATTTCTTCAAAATGCCTCAGACACATGTATTCACACAAACAGAAGAGCATCTAAACAGTTACACAGCAGAAGTCCATTTTGGTTATCTTTAATTGATCATTTCAGATATTGTACTTACTTTTTTCTTCCTGTTTTTCTGTATTTTCTAATTTTCCCCAATGGATATGTATTACTTAAGTATATTTTAAATGAAATTTTAAAAAACAAAATGTAATGAAAAATAAATAGGTGCTGTTATGAGAAAATAATTGGACATGTGGGTTTTGATAGGATTCTGTTGTAATTTTTTAAAACATAAAGTCATTGAAACAAGCAGATAAAAAAATGAAATAGAGATTACTTAAAACCAGGAAATCTCAACAAAATTATTACATAATGTAAGCTTTTGAAGAATTTTTCAATCAGAATATTTAGCTACTGCCCTAATATCTCTTTGATGTGATTTACAGTTGGATAACAGGCTTCAAGGAGAAAGTAAACATACCCTAACATTAAGATGCAATATTTCAGGTGAATGATTATTTCACTACCAGTATTTGGAGCAGCCATTTCAGGATGATTGATCCTCTGGGAAAAAGAAAGAAATTTCCCGTCTTTGGCAACCTGGAGCTCTTTAGGGCTCTCAGCAGTGCTTGCTTTCTTTTTACATTGTTGGAAATCCAGTTGTATTAGATTAGCTGCAAGGATTAAAGTGTTACGGGAATGAAATATCCAAATATATTTTCTCTCTGAAGCCTTGTCTTTATTCTGATATAAGGAAAGTTTTATCATCTCAAAGTCCCTGTAAATTTAGTAAGGGAAAAACTCAAGTCATAAAATGTAAATCAAATCATAAAGTATGGACTTAAATGGCAATGGAAAAGCAAGAGGAGGCCTCTTTCTTTTTTTTTTTTATTTCTGACATTATTACCAAATATGGATCCTCTTTATGAAAGAATTAAGCTTGAGAACAGAGCCGAGAACAGGGACACTGACAGCACTCTTTCTGTTATTTTCTGTAATATAAGATGCTACTCTATAGGCAAGTTTTAAAAAATCCAATTTAAAACACACAAGAATAATATGAGGATTAGTCTATGTTTGCAAAACACCTTAAATTTCTGAGAAGAAATTCAGTTCTGCATGATCCCTGACATTTCTGAACCCCGCAGCCTGTTTCTCACTAGCTTTGTTCTCAGAAAATAGGACCTCAGCTACCAGTGTGCTGCGTTTTCTAGTTTTCCTTGGTATTTAGCTAAGGGATGAGCCTTCCCCATTTTTGTATGTAAATTATTCCTGCCTCTTTGACCACAAGAAGGAACTTTTTTTAACTTTTATTTTAAGTTCAGGGGTACAAGTACAGGTTTGTTACATAGGTAAACGTGTGTCATGGGGTTTGTTGTACAGATTATTTCATCACCCAGGTATTAAGCCTAGTACCCATTAGTTATTTTTCCTGATCCTCTCCCTCCTCCCACCCTCCACCCTCCAAAAGGCCCCAGTGTGTGTTGTTCCCCTCTCTGTGTCCATGTGTTCCTATCATTTAGCTCCCACTTATAAGTGAGAACATGCGGTACTTGGTTTTCAGTTCCTGCGTTAGTTTGCTAAGGATAATGGCCTCCAGAACCATCTGAAGAAAGAACCATTTAAGTGTGTTGACTATAATTTAGATCTGTTTTATGACAAACAGTAACATGACATTGCATATCAAATTCAGGAATGAAAAACATGACAATTTGCAATGTCCCAGAACTACCTAGAGAGAAATTTCTGATTTCCTTCCACAGGTGGGGCCCTGAAAAATCTCAGGAAAATTGATCTGGCTTTCTCAGAATTCCAAAGGATGCTTCTGACTTGCACTATTGTAAGAAGAGCTACCCGACTACAATCTTTTGTTTGTTTCTATCCTCTTTCATTAGACTGTGGACATTTTCACAGTCAGTAACATTTTCTAACATATCCCATTGCCTTGCATGTATTAGACTCAATGAATTTTGTGAGTTTATGTTTCTAATGATTCCCTGCACAGCAGGAAATCCAAATAGACAATAGTAGCAGAATCTAGTGATTAGGTCAAAGTGTAGGCCCTTCTTTGAATGGCTGTGTGGTGTCAGCTGACAAGACCAGTAGCAAAATCACAGAAGCTTCTTCATGAGGTGACACTGTCATTTCATCACCTTCAGACTAATAGCTCTTTAGTGCTTCACCTGTTAGTATTCACTCATCTCAGTTTCTACCATAAATACAGTTTTTGTAATAAGATTAACTTCCATTATCTTTTTAAGAAACCATATGTGATATTAGATTTTTTTAAGTAACACAGACCAATAGAAAAAATATTTGTTGCCCCCAAACACTGGAATATAGTTTTGGGGGACAATAAACATTTTATTCAAAATAGTTTTGGAGGACAATGAATATTTTGTTCAATATAAGTTGAATATTTACGAGGGAGTGTAGTATTGAGTATATTTTTCCTTCTGTTGAACCCTATTATTCCAATTCCAGAAATCAGAGAGTAAGTGTAGAAAGAGTGTGCATGACACATAATAATGTTGTACCTTATTTAGTCAATAATATTGAATTTATGAGAAATTAATATGTAAATAATTCCAGCAGCATAAGTTTGGGGGCTATTATGTGGGTCTGTTTCTTAATTCTCTATTTGATTCCATTGGTTAATTTATCAATTCCTGTGATGATTCCACACTGCCAGAGTTTTATACTCTGTCTTGATATCTAGCAGGGCATAGTCTTATATTTGGGTAGATGCCAAAATTAGAGCTGTTTCTTTTTTCTGAACTACATGTACTTTGATTCCTTTTAATAAATGCAGTAAAATGGAAATTACACATCAGAACACAGACGTTAGTCAGAGAGTTTCAATTTCCCTCTATTTCTTATCAAGTAGAATGCCAGGCAATACCCATATATTTCCTGTTCTTGCAATTCTCCAATAAATGTGAGATTCTTCAACAATCTGAGCTGTTCAGACCCTCAGGGATGGCATTAATCTCTTGTTAGTCTCCAAACTGTCCATGCTGGAGGGAACAACTGAAGGGTTATCCACACTTGCAGCTAAGTTTCTGCAGGCATGGCTGGGCTGTGAATTACAGAGATTTTTCTCATTCATGAACATTCCACACAGGTTGAGTACTTCTTATCTGAAATGCATGGGACCAGAAGTGTTTCAGATTTCAGATTTTTTCAGATTTTGGAATATTTGCATATGTGAGATATCTTGGCAGTGGGACTCAAGTCTAAACACAAAATTCATTTTTGTTTCATATACACTGAATACACATAGCTGAAGGTAATTTTATTCAATATTTTAATGATTTTGTGCATAAAACAAAGTGTGTATATTTAATAATCAGCAAGCAAAGGTGTCATTATCTTAGCCACCCATGTGGACAATCTGCAGGTCTTTGGCCTCACCATCAACCCTGACTCCGAATTTTATATGCTACTGATAAGCAATCATTTTCTTACACTTATTTACATGAGTACACAATATTAAAAAAATGACATACCATTAATACAGTGAAAAAATCAAGTGTCCAGAGTAACTAAACAGCACAGTAGCATCATCTGAATACTTGTGTCAGCTGTTAAACAAGAGCAACAACAAACAATGGCAGGCTTTCACTCTCCACCTACAATGCTGTGTTGTGATTAAAAGGTTACTGTACACTGTATTTTCTTTTTTAGATGAGAAGAAACATCAGAAGCAGTTGAGGGACCAGGAAGTGGGTCCTCTAGGGATGAGGAGGCATTCTGCTGGATGGCTTTTAAAAATGTTTCCTCCAGAGTCATCTGCCTCATTAACAACGGTTTTTGTCTTAGAAGTCTCTCTTTGATTTTATAAACTGACATGATTTCTTGTTCTATTATGAATGCACACTGCTCTAGTCCTTCAATATGCTCATCACACTTTTCACCATGTTATCTATAGGCACTTTTTCCTACAGTGTTAGCATCACCTTCATCATTACTATTATCATGATCACCTTGATTCAGAACCATTTCTGCCATTTCACCAGCAGTCAATGAATGAACAACTAAAGTCTCATTATCAAGGCTAAAAACTGCTTTGATATCCACTTCCTCCAACTTATTGATGGACTCTGAAGGTATATTTTTTGCATATGTAAGGAGGTTAGACATCATTTTTTCTCACTTGATGTATGAAATCTTTAAAAGTTACCATCTTGTTCATCATTATCACTGAACCTAATTGCAATCAAGAGGTTGTACCAGGCATGCACAGCTGTGTCTTTAGCCATTGTGTTCCAAGCATTGGCCACAATGTATACAACATCCTTCATGCCAAACTCCTTTCACAATCCTTCCACACCAACGTTCACTGTTGCTAGCATGCTGTTAAAGAAGGTGTTTTACTATCTACTCTTCATTGATATAAGTCACATGGCTGAACTAATGAGTCACATTTTGGAGAAAGTGCATGGTATAAACATTGTTTTTAATGAGATTTTGGCTGAAGGATGAGCAGAACAGTTGTCAAGGAATAACAAAATCTTGCAGTTGACAGGCAGTCCAGCTTCCCTACAGTGAGCATAAGCTGCTAGTACAAAATGTTTGTGAAACCAATCAGAAAAGATGTCCCTGGTGATCCATGCCTTTTTGTTAGCATAACATGGACTGATAAGAAATTCATTCCTTGAAAACAGGATGCAAGCTTTTGCCTACAACGAGTTTACACTTATGGGTGCCTGCTGCATTAGCACAACCCAGCACAGTTATTCTGTCCTTGACATTCTTAATCCCTGCAGCTGTCTCATCAGTTTTAGTGAGTGGATTTATGGGGCAATAACACCAAAACAGTGATGTTTCATTAGTATCATGGACTTGGTCTGGCATGATATTTTCATCAGCGATGACTTTGGCAAACTCATCAATAAATTTGCTACTTTGTGATCAGCAGATGCCTTATCACCACAAATCTTTAAAAACCTAATGTCATATCTTTCCTTAAATTTCTGCAGCCTATCAAATATTCACAGTTCCCTTTAATTTTCAGTTCACTGTGATAGAGCTTTGCTTGTTTTATGATCAGTATCCCATTAAGTAGCATGTGTTCAATATGATACTGTGGATTCATTCTTTCTTTTTATTTTTTTTTAAATTTATTTTATTATTATTATACTTTAAGTTTTAGGGTACATGTGTACAATGTGCAGGTTAGTTACATATGTATACATGTGCCATGCTGGTGCACTGCACCCACTAACTCGTCATCTAGCATTAGGTATATCTCCCAATGCTATCCCTCCCCCCTCCCCCCACCCCACAACAGTCCCCAGAGTGAGATGTTCCCCTTCTTGTGTCCATGTGTTCTCATTGTTCAATTCCCATCTATGAGTGAGAATATGCGGTGTTTGGTTTTTTGTTCTTGCAATAGTTTACTGAGAATGATGATTTCCAATTTCATCCATGTCCCTACAAAGGACATGAACTCATCATTTTTTATGGCTGCATAGTATTCCATGGTGTATATGTGCCACATTTTCTTAATCCAGTCTATCATTGTTGGACATTTGGGTTGGTTCCAAGTCTTTGCTATTGTGAATAGTGCCGCAATAAACATACGTGTGCATGTGTCTTTATAGCAGCGTGATTTATAGTCCTTTGAGTATATACCCAGTAATGGGATGGCTGGGTCAAATGGTATTTCTAGTTCTAGATCCCTGAGGAATCGCCACACTGACTTCCGCAAGGGTTGAACTAGTTTACAGTCACACCAACAGTGTAAAAGTGTTCCTATTTCTCCGCATCCTCTCCAGCACCTGTTGTTTCCTGACTTTTTAATGATTGCCATTCTAACTGGTGTGAGATAGTATCTCATTGTGGTTTTGATTTGCATTTCTCTGATGGCCAGTGATGGTGAGCATTTTTTCATGTGTTTTTTGGGTGCATAAATGTCTTCTTTTGAGAAGTGTCTGCTCATGTCCTTTGCTGACTTGTTGATGGGGTTGTTTGTTTTTTCTTGTAAATGTGTTGGAGTTCATTGTAGATTCTGGATATTAGCCCTTTGTCAGATGAGTAGGCTGCAAAAATTTTCTCCCATTTTGTAGTTTGCCTGTTCACTCTGCTGTGCAGAAGCTCTTTAGTTTAATTAGATCCCATTTGTCAATTTTGGCTTTTGTTGTCATTGCTTTTGGTGTTTTAGACATGAAGTCCTTGCCCATGCCTATGTCCTGAATGGTAATGCCTAGGTTTTCTTCTAGGGTTTTTATGGTTTTATGTCTAATGTTTAAGTCTTTAATCCATCTTGAATTGATTTTTGTGTAAGGTGTAAGGAAGGGATCCAGTTTCAGCTTTCTACATATGGCTAGCCAGTTTTCCCAGCACCATTTATTAAATAGGGAATCCTTTCCCCATTGCTTGTTTTTCTCAGGTTTGTCAAAGATCAGATAGTTGTAGATATGCGGCATTATTTCTGAGGGCTCTGTTGTGTTCCATTGATCTATATCTCTGTTTTGGTACCAGTACCATGCTGTTTTGGTTACTGTATCCTTGAAGTATAGTTTGAAGTCAGGTAGTCTGATGCCTCCAGCTTTGTTCTTTTGGCTTAGGATTGACTTAGTGATGCGGGCTCTTTGACAAAATTCAACAACCCTTCATGCTAAAAACTCTCAATAAATTAGGTATTGATGGGACGTATCTCAAAATAATAAGAGCTATCTATGACAAACCCACAGCCAATATCATACTGAATGGGCAAAAACTGGAAGCATTCCCTTTGAAAACTGGCACAAGACAGGGATGCCCTCTCTCACCACTCCTATTCAACATAGTGTTGGAAGTTCTGGCCAGGGCAATTAGGCAGGAGAAGGAAATAAAGGGTATTCAATTAGGAAAAGAGGAAGTCAAATTGTCCCTGTTTGCAGACGACATGATTGTATATCTAGAAAACCCCGTTGTCTCAGCCCAAAATCTCCTTAAGCTGATAAGCAACTTCATTCTTTCAATACAGAGTTGAGATCTTCCTTTTTAGCTTTATGCAGTGTTTTTCCATTTCTCATTAAATCCTGTTTATCACTTTCAGCGTAGAACTTCAACAGTTTATCCATCTGTTTCTTCAGGTTATATATAGTGGTCATTCCAACACCATACTTTTACTCCTATACCACAGAGCAGAGCAGAGAATAAGCAAAAGAACCCACAGTGACTAATCCACGTAGGTCTTGGACCCATCTGGTCACCATGGGGAACCTACCATTGATATGTCTGGACTGCATATGAGCCATTTTATCAGCCTTTGTAGGTGTGCTTACATGGGGGGAATCTGGGCCTGTGCATAAAAAGCTGTATCACAGCTGAAGAGGGCTGGGAAGGTCTTTTTTCCCTTGGGGACAAGAAACCAACTATGTGTTGACTGCCACCCATCACATGAGGTCAGGTGCAAAATGTTCTACTTGTAGCATCTTGTTGGTGCTCAAAAAGTTTTGAATTTTGGAGCATTTTGGATTTCAGATTTTTAGATGAGGAATGTCAGCCTGTATACCTTTATTTACTAAAAATGCCTTTATTATTTCCAAAGTTGTCTATAAAATTTTTTGTTCCTAAGTACATTGTACTATTTATTGCTATTTTGAGTGGAATATTTTCTTTTAATATTTTTACCAGCTGGTTATTGATCATGCACAGGAAAATTCTTGATTTTTTAGTCTTTTGGAAGATAATCTTACTGAAGAAAAAGTTCATCTGCAGAAAACTTTGTAGCTCAATAAAGTCTCACAAGCTCAATTCATACCTGTAACTAGCAACCAGGTGAAGAAAAGATGCCTGCCTCATATTCTCTTCCCACCACTGCCTTCACCCCAAGGGTAACTTCTTTCTTAACTTCTAGCACCATGCAATAATTTCACCTGCTTTAAATTTCATATAAATAAACTCATACACTACAAAATCTTTAGTGTCTGGCTTCTTTCATCCCACATTCTGTTTTCAAGATTCATCCTTATTGTATAAAGTTGGCATTTATGTATTCTTAATGCTGAATTGTATTTTATTTTGCTAATATACCACAATTTAGTTATCTATGCTATTTTATGGGGATTGGATGGTACTTGCATGAACATTATTGAACATGTCTTGTACATTTAAACTTATTTATGCATTTTTATTGGTTTACATATCCAGGAATAGAATAGCTTATTAATAGATTTCATATATACTGCCAGATATCTACAGGGGATGAACGAATTTATAGTACCACCAGGAGTGTATGAGAATTAGTACTTAACCCACAGTGTTCCAGTTCTGCACCCTTGCCAACATGTGGTACTGAGTACATTTTTCATCTTCATTTTAGTCATTTAATGTAATAGCAGCCTTTGCTTTAATTTTGCATTTCCCTGAAAACTAGTGAAGTCAGGCACATTTTCAAATGTGTACCAACCATTTGAAAATCACTTGTGGAGGGCCTGCTCAAGCTTTCCATTCATTTTTCTTTTGTGTCTATCTTTTTATTGCTTTGCAAGAATTCTTTTTATGTCTTAGATATGAGTTCTTTGTCAGTTGTATGCATTGCTAATATATTCTCCCTTTGAGGATAGACTTTATCCACCTTAGCAGTGTCTTTTGCTATAATCTAATTTATCATTTTCATCTTTATTGTTATTGCTTTTTGTGATTGGCTTAAAAAATCTCATCTCTGCACATGTACCCCAGAACTTAAAGTATAATAAAAAAAAAAGTAGTGTATTCCAAGTTTATGATAACATTCAAGCTATTGATTTTTATATGCCATTCCTATATCTGGCCACCTTATTAAACTTTCTTATTGGTTCCAATAGTTCATAAGATGAGATTCTTGTTTTTTTACTTTTTAGATAGATAATCATATCATCTAAAAATCATTGACTATTTTGGTCTTGCTTTTCATATTTATTACAAAGTAACTGAAACACAGTTCTAAAATTAGCCTATATAACACAAGAATATATTATTTTATATACCAGGAAATTTCAAGACAGAGTCACTTCAGGTAGAGCATGTCAAGCCCCAGCTCTGCTTTTATGAAAGTCCCCTTGCTTTGCTATCCTCCTATATTGACTTTATCCTCAGGCTTTTGGCCAAATGTTGCTTAATCCTCAGGCTTAAGTCCAGGTTTGCTAAGAAATTTGTAGAAATTTCATCATGATTGAATGTTAAATATGATTAAATGCATTTTCTACAGCTATTGAGGTAATACTGTTCTATTTTTTAAAGTGCTAATTAACATACTACTATGGTCTTAGTATTGTGCCTCCCCAAAATTCCTCTGTTGAAACCTAATCACTAATGTGATGGCATTAGGAGGTATTGTCGTTGGGTGGTGATTAGATAATGAGAATGGAGCTCTCATAATTGAGATTAGTGCCCTTATGTTAAAAGACCCCAAAGAGTTGACTTGCTCCTTCTACCATGTGAGGACATAGTCAGAAAGTGCCATCTGTGAACCAGAAAGCAGGTCCTCACCAGATACTGAATCTGCTGGCACCTTGATCTTAGACTTTCCAGCCTCCAGACTATGAGAAATAAATTCCTGTTGTACATAAGCTATCCAGTCTGTGGTATTTTGTTATAGCAGTCTGAACAAAGACACATACCGGTTTCTAGTTTTGAACTATCCTTGAATTCCTCAGATATACGTATTCCTAATATTTTGTTCTTTTCATCTCCTGCTGGATTTAGTTTGCCAATATGTGACATAACATTTTGGATTCCTTGTTAATATGGAATAGGCTTATAATTTTCTTTCCTTGTGTGGTCCTTAGCTTAATTTAAAGTGGCATAATTCCTATGCCACTTTTCCTATGTCTTGGAGCAAATAGATAAATTAGCAGTTATAATCAATCTTTATTATTCATAGACTCTATATTTGTAATTTTGCCTACCAGCTACAATTGATCCGTAACCCCAAAATCAATATTTGTAGCACTTTGATGGTAATCTGTGAACATAAACAGAGTGGCCAAAAATTTGTCATTCTATGTTCATGTTCCCAGCTAAGGTCAAACAAGGCAATGCTCTGCCTTCTTGTCTCAGATCCCATACTATAAATAAGTATCTTTTTCGTGGTATACTTAGTGCTATGTTTTTTGCATTTTCGTTGGTGATGTTACAGTTTAAAATGGCCCTCAACTATAATGCTGCAGTGCTGTCTAGTGTTCTTAAGCAAGACAAATGGCTGTGATATGCCTTATGGAGGAAATATGTGTGTTAAATTACCTTTACTCAGGCATAAGTTTTAGTGCTATTGGACATGAGCTCAATGTTAATGAATCAGCAATATGTATCACAGGGTCTTTAAACAGAAACACACAGAAAATAAAGTTATGCATTGATCAGTTAGTGAAAATGTTGTGGCTAGAGGCTCACAAAAACCTAACTCTATATTTCCCCTAGGAACAATGGTTCAGGATTCACTAATTCAGTATTAGCAGCAACTTTACGGAACAAAACTACTGTGGATAATGAGAATTCACTGCGCCCGTTGTTTAAACAGTTAACAGCAGTCACTTTAGTGCCTTTTGTAGAGACAGAGCAGTAAGTACCATTTTTATTTCCTTTATGGTTTTAGTCTATTTAAGTAACCCACTGGGCCAATTTTAGCGACTCGTGTTTTCCTGCAAAGTGTCCATTTCATCAGCATATTCACATTTACTGGTGTTTCTTTTTATATTTTATTCCTCTGTGTATGATTCATTTTTGTTCCTTATCTTATTTGGGTGTCTCTTTTCCTTGATACTTGTCAATGTCTATCTTTATGTTTTCCTATGAGTATTTTCAAATAATGAGATTTTATTTTGTGATTATCTTTGCTGTTTTTATTTGCTTTCTGTTTTCTTAATATCGTCTCTTATCCTTATTGGCTCCTTTTTCTTTTTTAACTTTAAAGCTTAATCAATTTCAGTTCATTATTTCTTATTTTCTAAAATACTATATTTAAGACTTTAAATTTTCCCTTGAGTCTTTCTTTGGATGCATCTCATAAGATTTGATATGCATACCATGTTTTTGCTGCTGTTTAGTCCTAAATATTTTGCAGCTTATTTTGTTTCTTGAACCCAAGAGTTATTTGGAAATTTTTTCCAGGGTACAGATACTTTCTAAAATATTAATTTGTAGCTAATGCAGTAAATTTTACAATTTTACTGTATTGTGGTCGGTGAATGTCACATATATGGAAAGCTATTGAAAACTGTGGATATTTCTTATTTATGCTAATATATGGTTAATCATTGTGAATGAATCTGTATGTATTTGAAAAAATATACATTCTCTACTGTGAGGGGCACAAAGTTAAAGAGAAATCTATCAGGTCAATCTTGTTGATTATGTGATTGCAATCCTCCTCATTCTTACCTATCATTTGTTTTTCTAACTAGTCAATTTCTAAGGAAAGTGAAATAGAATTTCCTTTTACAATTGTGGATTTGTCAATTTATCCTTACAGTTCTATAATTTATTTATTTATTGTCATGGATAAATAATTCTCAAAATATATAATTAATCCTTTTATAGTACACAATTCAGAGACTTTCAGGATATTTAAGTAGATATGCAGTTCTAATTTCAGAATATTTCCACCTCAAATAAACCCCATTATCCATTAGTAGTCATTATCCTTTCTCTCCCCTCTCTGCAGACCCTGGCAACCAGTGATCCACTTCCTGTCTCTATAAACTTGCTTATTCTGGACATTTCATATAAATGGAGCAATACAATATGTGGACGCTGTCTGGCTTCTTTCACTTTGCATAAGGTTTTCAAAGTCCATCCATGTTGTAGCATGTTTCAGTATTTCATTCTTTTTTTTACATTTTAGGCTAGTGGAATAGTTGAATGGAAAAAGATAAGATTGATTTCTTTTTAACAAGAGTTTTTATTTTACTTTTAATTAAATTTTTAATTGACAAGTAAAAATTGTGTTTATGGTGTACAACATGATGTTTTGATACATGTATACATTGTAGAATGGACAAATCTCAAGCTATTTAACATACATGCATTACTTCCTATCCTTATTTTTTTACTATGAGGAAATTTAAAATCTACTGTTTTAGCAATTTTCAAGCATACAATACATTGCTATTAACAGTAATCAAGATGATATACGATAGATCTCTTGAACTTATTACTCCTGTCTAATTGAAATTTTGTGTCCTTTGACCAACATTTCCCTAATCTCTCTACCCTCAACCTCTGGTAATCACCACTTTACTCTCTGTTTCTATGAGTTTGACTTTTTTAGATTCCACACATAAGCGAGATCATGCAATATTTGTCTTTCAATGACTGGCTTATTTCACTTAACGTAATGTCCTCCAGGTTCATCCATATTTTTGTAAATGACAGAATTTCATTTTTTAAAGGGTATGTAGTATTCCATTTTATACATATATGCCCCATTTTATCTGTTTGTTCATTTATAGACATAGTTTCCATATCTTAGCTATTATGAATAATACTGCAATGAACATGAGAGTGCAGATGTCTGACTACTGATTTCATATCCTTTGGATATATACTCAGTAGTAGGATTGCTAGATCATATAGTAGTTCTATTTTTGATTCCTTGAGGAGCCTCCATACTTTGTTTCGGAATAGCTGTACTCATTTACATTCCCACCAGCAATGTAAAAGTGTTCCTTTTTCTCTACGTCTTCACTAACACATTAACTTTTGTCTTTCTAATAATAACCATTATAATAGGTATGAGGTGATATCTCATTGTGATTTCTGATTTTAATTTGCATTTCCCTGATGATTAGGGATGTTGAGCATTGTTTATATCCCTATTGGCCTGTTCTTTTTCTTCTTTTGAGAACTTTATTCTTTTGAATTGAAGAATAATATTCCATTGTATAGATAGACCACATTCATATTAGACATATATATACACAACATATATATACAACATATATATGTTATGCAACATATGTATACAACATACAATATATATACAAACATAAAAACACTGTACATATATACCTAAAGTATATGTATATTTGCGTCTGTATGTACACATATACGTACACACACACAAAGAAACACATATTTTTACATTGTTTGCTTTAAATACTGATAGTTTTTGTCAGTGAGATCTGCTGGACATAACCTTCTTTTATTTCAAAATTACATTCACAAATTCGTGTGATCATAATTAAAAGTGATATATGCTAAAACCAAATGGTGCAATCACTTCAATATGTGTCAGACACAAAAATTGGGTAATTCTGGCACCTGTGTTTATAACTGCTAGTAAATAAAACTGCAGACAAAGTTTCCTACTAATTACATCTCATTGACTATAAAGTCTGATGTGGTTTGGCTCTGTCTCCACCCAAATCTCAGGTTGAATTGTGATCCCTAGTGTTGAAGGTGGGGCCTGGTGGGAGGTAATTGAATCATGGGGGTGGTTTCTAATCATTTAGCACTACCCCGGAGTGCTGTCTCATGATAGAGTTTTCATGAGATCCACTTCCCTTTTTACTCTCTCTCTCCTGCCAGCTATGTGAAGATTGTGCCTGCTTCCTCTTTGCCTTCCACCATGATTGGAAGTTTCCTGAGACCTTCCCAGCAGCAGAAGCCTATACAGTCTGCAGAACTGTGAGCAGATTAAACCTCTTTTCTTAATAAATTACCCAGTCTCAGGTATGTTTTTATAGTAGTGGCAGAGCAAACTAATACAGAAAACACAATAAAGAAAGACTATGTATTAAATCATGTGATTATTCAACTATTTTTAATATGGAAAAGCCCAAAACTAAAATTTTTTTTCTAGGTGAAAATTATTTTATTTTTCCTTAGGTTATTGGGGTACAGGTGGTATTTGGTTACATGAGTAAGTTCTTTAGTGGTGATTTGTGAGATTTGGCTGCACCCAACACCCTAGCAGTGTACATTGCACCCTATTTGTAGTCTTTTATCCCTTGCCCCCTCCCAACCTTCCCCGCAAGTCCCCAAAGTCCATTGTATCATTCTTATGCCTTTACATACTTTTCCATTCCTGAATTACATCACTTAGAATAATAGTCTTCAATCTCATCCAGGTTGCTGCAAATGCTGTTAATTCATTCATTCCTTTTTATGACTGAGCAGTATTACATCATATATATATATATATATGCCACAGTTTCTTTTTTTATTATACTTTAAGTTCTGGGATACATGTGCAGAATGTACAAGTTTGTTACCCAGGTATACATGTGCCATGGTGGTTTGCTGCACCCATCAACCCGTCATCTACATTAGATATTTCTTCTAATGCTATCCCCCTGCTTGCCCCCAACCCCACAACAGGCTCCAGTGTGTGATGTTCCCCTACCTGTGCCCATATATTCTCATTGTTAAACTCCCACTTATGAATGAGAACATGTGGTGTTTGGTCTTCTGTGCCTGTGTTAGTTTACTGAGAATGATGGTTTCCAGCTTCATCCATGTCCCTGCAAAGGACATGATCTCATCCTTTTTCATGGCTGCATAGTATTCCATGGTGTATATGTGCCACATTTTCTTTATCCAGTCTGTCAATGATGGGCATTTGGGTTGGTTCCAAGTCTTTGCTATTGTGAATAGTGCTGCAATAAACATATGCGTGCATGTGTCTTTATAGAAGAATGATTTATAATCCTTTGGGTATATACCCAGTAATGGGATTGCTGGGTCAAATGGTATTTCTAGTTCTAGATCCTTGAGGAATTGCCACACTGTCTTCCACAATGGTTGAACTAATTTACACTCCTACCAACAGTGTAAAAGTGTTCCTATTTCTCCACATCCTCTCCAGCATCTGTTGTTTCCTGACTTTTTAATGATGGCCATTCTAACTGGTGTGAGATGGTATCTCATTGTGGTTTTGATTTGCATTTCTCTAATGACCAGTGATGATGAGCTTTTTTTCATATGTTTGCTGGCTGAATAAATGTCTTCTTTTAAAAAGTGTCTGTTCATATCCTTTGCCCACTTTTTGATGGGGTTGTTTTTTTTTTTTTCTTGTAAATTTGTTTAAGTTCATTGTAGATTCTGGATATTAGCCTTTTGTCAGATGGAGAGATTGCAAAAATTTTCTCCCATTCTGTAAGTTACCTGTTCGTGGTGATGATAGTTTCTTTTGCTGTGCAGAAGCTTTTTAGGTTAATTAGATCCCATTTGTCAATCATGGCTTTTATCGCAATTGCTTTTGGTGTTTTAATCATGAAGTCTTTGCTTATGCCTATGTCCTGAATGGTATTGCCTAGGTTTTCTTCTAGGGTTTTTATGGTTTTGGGTCCTACATTTAAATCTTTAATCCATCTTGAGTTAATTTTTGTATAACGTGTAAGGAAGGGGTCCAGTTTCAGTTTTCTGCATATGGCTAGCTAGTTTTCCCAGTACCATTTATTAAATAGGGAATCCTTTCCCCATTGCTTGATTTTGTCAGTCTTGTCAAAGATCAGATGGTTGTAGATGTGTGGTGTTATTTCTGAGGCCTCTGTTATGTTCCATTGGTCTATATATCTGTTTTGGTACCAGTACCATGCTGTTTGGGTTACTGTAGCCTTGTAGTATAGTCTGAAGTCAGGTAGCGTGATGCTTCCAGCCTTGCTCTTTTTGCTTAGGAGTGTCTTGTCTATATGAGCTCTTTTTTGGTTCTATATGAAATTTAAAGTAGTTTTTTTGTAATTCTGTGAAGAAAGTCAATGGTAACTTGATGGGAATACCATTGAATCTATAAATTATTTTGGGCAGTATGGCCATTTTCATGATATTGATTCTTCCTATCCATGAGCATGGAATGTTTTTCCATTTGTTTGTGTCCTCTCTTATTTCCTTCAGCAGTGGCTTATAGTTCTCCCTGAAGAGGTCATTCATATCTTTTGTAAGTTATAGTCCTAGGTATTTTGTTCTCTTTGTAACAATTGTGAATGGGAGTTTGCTCATGATTTGGCTCTCTGTTTGTCTATAATTGGTGTATAGGAATGCTTGTGATTTTTGCACATTGATTTTGTGTCCTGAGACTTTGCTGAAGTTGCTTATCAGCTTAAGGAGTTTTGGGACTGATACAATGGGGTTTTGTAAATATACAATCATGTCATCTGCAAACAGAGATAATTTGATGTCATCTCTTCCTATTTGAATACGTTTATTTCATTCTCTTGCCTGATTGCCCTGGCCAGAATTTCCACTACTATATTGAATAGGAGTGGTGAGAGAGGGCATCCTTGTCTTGTGCTGGTTTTCAAAGGGAATGCTTCCAGCTTTTGCCCATTCAGTATGATATTAGCTGTGGGTTTGTCATAAATAGCTCTTATTATTTTGAGATATGTTCCATCAACACCTAGTTTATTGAGTGTTTCTAGCATGAAGGGGTGTTGAATTTTATCAAAGGCCTTTTCTGCATATATTGAGAAAATCATGTGGTTTTTGTCATTGGTTCTGTTTACGTGATGGATTACGTTTATTGATTTGCATATGTTGAACCAGCCTTGCATCCCTGGGATGAAGCCGACTTGATCGTGGTGGATAAGCTTCTTGATGTGCTGCTGAATTTGGTTTCCCAGTATTTTATTGAGGATTTTCACATTGATGTTCATCAGGAATATTGGCCTGAAATTTTCTTTTTTTGTTGTGTCTCTGCCAGATGTTGGTATCAGGATGATGCTGGCCTCATAAAATGAGTTAGGGAGGATTCACTCTTTTTCTATTGTTTGGAATAGTTTCAGAATGAATGGTACCAGCTCCTCTTTGTACCTCTGGTAGAATTCAGCTGTGAATCCATCTGGTCCTGGGCTTTTTTTGGTTGGTAGGCTATTAATTACTGCCTCAATTTCAGAATTTGTTATTGGTCTATTCAGGAATTCGACTTCTTCCTGGCTTAGTCTTGGGTGGGTGTATGTATCAAGGAATTTATCCATTTCTTCTAAATTTTCTAGTTTATTTGCATAGAAGTGTTTATAGTATCCTCAGATGATAGTTTGTATTTCTGTATGCCACAGTTTCTTTATCCATTCATTGATTGATGAGCATTTGGGTTCGTTCCACAATTTTGCAATTGCAAATTGTGCTGCTATAAACATGCATGTGCAAGTATCTTTTTCATATAATGACTTCTTTTCCTCTGGGCAGATGCCTAGTAGTGAGATTGCTACACCAAATGGTAGTTTTAGTTTTTTAAGGAATCTCCACACTGTTTTTCATAGTAGCTGTACTAGTTTACATTTCCACCAGCAGTGTAGAAATGTTCCCTGACTACCGCATCCACACCAACATCTACTATGTTTTGATTTTTTGATTATGGCCATTCTTGCAGGAGCAAGATGATATTGCATTGTGGTTTTGATTTGCATTTTCCTGATCATTAGTGATGTTGAGCATTTTTTCATATGTTTGTTGGTCATTTGTGTATCTTCTTTTGAGAATTGTGTATTCATGTCCTTGGCACATTTTTTGATGGGATTGTTTGTTTTTTACTTGCTGATTTGTCTGAGTTCATTGTAGATTCTGGATATTAGTCCTTTGTCAGATGTATAGATTATAAAGATTTTCTCCAACTCTGTGGGTTTTCTGTTTACTCTGCTGACTGTTCCTTTTGCCATGCAAAAGCTCTTTAGTTTAATTAACTCAATTAAGTCCCGGCTATTTATTTTTGTTTTTATTGCATTTGCTTTGGGTTCTTAGTCATATACTCCTTCCCTAAGCCAATGTCTAGAAGGATTTTTACAATGTTATCTTCTAGAATTTTTATAGTTTCAGGTCTTAGATTTAAGTCCTTAATTCATCTGGAGTTGATTTTTACATAAGGTGAGAGATGCAGATCCAGTTTATTCTCCTACATGTGGCTAGCGAATTATCCCAGCACCATTTGTTGAAAAGGGTGTCCTTTCCCCACTTTATGTTTTTGTTTGTTTTGTTGAAGATCAGTTGGCTATAAGTATTTGGGTTTATTTCTGGGTTCTCTATTCTGTTCCATTGGTCTATGTGCCTATTTTTATACCAGTACCATGCTGTTTTGGTGACTATCGCCTTATAGTATAGTTTGAAATCAGGTAGTGTGATGCCTCCAGATTTGTTCTTTTTGCTTTGTCTTGCTTTGGCTATTCAGGCTCTTTTTTGGTTCCATATACATTTTAGAATTTTGTTGAATTCTATGAAGAACGATGGTGGCATTTTGATGAGAATAGTGTTGAATTTGTAGATTACATTTGTTAGTGTGGTCATTTTCACAATATTGATTCTACTCATCCATGAACATGGGATGTGTTTCCATTTGTTTGTGTCATCTATGATTTCTTTCAGCAGTGTTTTGTAATTTTCCTTATAGAGGTCTTTCACAAACTTGGCTAGGTATATTCCTAATTATTTTATTTTATTTTTTGGCAGCTATTATAAAATGGGTTGAGTTCTTGATTTGATTCTCTGCTTGGTCGTTGTTGGTGTATAGAAGAGCTACTGATTTGTGCACATAAATTTTGTATCCTGAAACTGCTGAAATCTTTTATCAGTTCTAGGAGCTTTCTGGAGAAGTCTTTAGGGTTTTTGAGGTAAACGATCATATCATCAGCAAACAGTGACAGCTTGACTTCCTTTTTATCTAACTAGATGCTCTTTATTTCCTTCTCTTGTCTGATTGCTCTGGCTAGGACTTCCAGTTCTAGGTTGAAGAGAAGTGATGACAGTGGGCATCCTTGTCTTGTTCCAGTTCTCAGAGGGAATGCTTTCATCTTTTCCCCATTCAGTATTTTTTTGGCTATGGGTTTGTCACAGATGGCCTTGAAGTTTCTCTAAAAATGAAAAAACTCTGTCCCAAGACTGCAGCATTAGATCTTACCTAACAGTTTGCAGCCTTCCATTATACCCTATAGATTTTGGACTTGCCAGTCTCCAAAATTACATGTCAATTCCTTGAAATAAACCTCTAATTACACACACATGTGAGTATATACATATATGAGTATCTCCTACTGATTTTGTTCCTCTGGGAAACCCTGATGAACATACTAACCTACTTCCTGACACAAGTTGCTCTAGCACCAAACTGAACATGAAGCATCTCAAAAGGTCTTGAAATGGTGCTGTTCTCCACCAGAAGATAGGCTTCACTGTTTGAAAATTTCCCTGTCCATCTGGTGATTCTATCCTTACCCCTTTACATAAGGGGTTGCCAAGCCCTACCTGTATGATGCTTTGCCCTTCATTAGGTTCCTCCCACCTCTAACACCCAGAGGTGGTCACTTCCTCTGAGGCAATTAATAACTTACTTTTTCTTTTGTCATAGCTCTATCTATATTTTACAGTAAAATTTGAAATTCAGTTTCCTATGCTCTGTTTTCATTATATTTATTTATATATTTATTTATTTATTTATTTATTTATTTATTTATTTATTTTTGAGACAGTTTCACTCTGTCACCCAGGCTGGAGTGTGGTGGCACAATCTCCGCTTACTGCAACCTCCACCTCCCAGGTTCAAGTGGTTCTCTTGCCTCAGCCTCCCGAGTAGCTGGGGATTACAAGGGTCTGCCACCATGCCCAGCTAATTTTTTTAATTTTCAATAGAGACAGGGTTTCACCATGCTGGCCAGGATGGTCTTGAACTCCTGACCTCAAGTGATCCATCTGCCTCGGCCTCCCAAAGTGCTGGGATCACAGGCGTGAGCCACAGCACCCAGCCCCTATGCTCTGTTTTTGAAAGTAAAAGAGAATTTTGAATTTAGAAACCCATTTTCTCTCCCACAAAATCCTGACCATGTAGTATTTTCTTACTAGAGATTCAGAAATCATAATTTGAGACTAGCAGTGACTTTATTGTTCTAGAAGACATATTTTCTAGTCCTGAAGCGCATAAGCTTATTGATCCAATAGAAGGGAAATCACATGGCATAACGATTTTAAGTGAATTAAAAAAATCTTGACATTAAAAAATACCAAATTGATTCTGATAGATTGAATTTCCTTATGATCCAGTTGGCCTAACTTCATTCAGTGGCTTATCGTCACCAGTTATAGTAAATTATATTATTTGTTCACCATTCTTTCTTCTCTCTTCAGCCCAGACACATATTTTAGCAGGGACACTTTCCAATGTCACTGGCTTAGTTTGACAAGGTGACTTGCTTCGGCTAATGGAATTTTAAAGAACATAATGTGAACCACATTCAATCAGAGGCTTTAAATGTTTATATATGGTTTGGTTTGCCCTCTTGCATTCTGTCCCGAAGAGATATTGTTCCAGGGAACCACAGCCTCTTCAATCCAAGTCCCAAAATGAGGAGACATATGAAACAGACCTAAATGCAGTCTGTATCCTCGTGCCAAGTCTAGCCAAATCTAGCCCAGCCAAGTCCAGCTGTGCCATACCCAATTCATGGGCCTGAGAGCAAACAAATAAGTTTCGTTTGTATAAGTCAACTGAGATTTGGGAGGTGGTTTTTTTTACACAGCATTATTGAAGCAAACAGCTGACTAATACAGCAGTTTTATAGTAAATTAGTCTTGCATGCTCTATATTTTACATGGTTCACAGCAGTTTTAATTCAAATTATATATCTGTGCAGTTCAACCAAGTATCTGTATGAATTAACAACATAAAATAGTATGAATTAACAACATAAAATAATTTGTAGTATGTAGTTTTTTCAACCACACTTGGATGAATGCAGTGGAAATATATCTGTGTCTTATTCTATTTCTGCTGTTATAACAAAACACCACAGACTGGGTAATTTATAAACAATGAAAACTTATTTTTTCACAGTTCTGGAGACTGGCAAGTCCAAGATCAAGGTCCTGATTGATTTAGTGTCTGGTAAAGACACTCTCTGCTTCAAGATGGCACCTCTTACTGCATCTTCACATGGTAGAAGAGGCAATTAAGGGGAACAGCACTGTGCCCTCACATGGCAAAAGATAAGGAAGGGTCAGGAAGCTCTCTGAAACTTTTTTTAGCCCTCATGACTTGATCACTTTTTCAGAGGCCTCACCTCTTCACATTATGACCTTGGAGTTTAAGTTTCAGCATATAAAAGCAATCTGCATCTTTCCATTAGGTCAGAAATATTACAATTGTTTTTCACCAGCAGGCCAGGAAACTAGC
Source organism: Homo sapiens (assembly GCF_000001405.40). Lineage (NCBI taxonomy): Eukaryota > Metazoa > Chordata > Mammalia > Primates > Hominidae > Homo > Homo sapiens. Next base: position 91,504,067 of record NC_000007.14, read on the forward strand.
AAGGTCTTCATACATGCAAGGCCTTCTACTTCACCTTGGAGTATAGCCATTCTTGACAGGCTTTATGTTGGCCAAAAATAACATACTATCCAGTGGGAAGATAAGTACAACAACTTCCTCATGACCAGCTGTTCACTTATGCAACTGCAGCACAAGCGCAGCCTCCTATCAATGTGATAAAAGAATAAACTAGGGACAAATTTTGGTATTCACATATTACCACAGATGTCTATCTCCTCTATCTTATGTTGACATCCGTGATGGCCTTTCTGAATAACTCAGGGCATCAGAGGGTTGCTCTCTCCTGCAAGCCAAGATAACGTTGGCAAACACATCTGTATAATGTGTGCACTGGGCACATTTCCTTGTTGAATTATTCAATTAAATCTGATAATGAGAGCACATTGACATAGTTAAACACTCAGGTGAATAAAAGATTCACTTTGAAGTGCAGAAATTTCTGGAGTCATCTGTATGTTAACAAGTGATGATACTCGCTACCACCATCCAGGGAGGGAGAAACTTTAGAAAAGGTAAGCTACAGTTGGGCATGCTGGAGGCTTTTTCTGGCATGATTTCAAGGAGATGAAAGGTGGAGGCAGTTTCCAGTGTTCATTTGAGCCATTGATCTTTTTAGAATAAATGAATTGAATTTTAAGAGACAGAAAAATACGACTCAGTTCATAAGTGAATCTTATTCTCCTGAACTCTAATGGGACATAGAAAGATGAACACTAGCATAGATATCAACACATCTGATATCTATCTTCCCTCTGCAAAGCCCTTCAACACTAGCATAGATATCAACACATCTGATATCTATCTTCCCTCTGCAAAGCCCTTCAAGCACAAACTTACAAAAACTTCAGATTTTCTCATCTCGATTCTCACCCTGTAAAATGGGAGAGTTTGGCTGGTCCCACATAATTACCATGGTACCTATTACAAAGTCCCCATAGAACTTTTTGCAAATAAAAGGGCCCCATCCATAAATGCAAATCTGGGCAGTAGCTGTTATTTAACTATGATGTTTACATTGTGAAACATCTGCCAGTCACACTGGCTGTCTTTAAAGCAGGGCAGCATCACTAACAGTGGTTTGGGACTTGAAAATGCTAGCTTGTATTTTCATTAGTTTGCCTCGTCTCTCCAACTACTCTGTATGCTTCTTACAAATAAAAAACATCTCTTAGTTCTTTTTTAACCTTCATTACTTAGCATAATACAGAAGGCACAAAGCTCATCAATAATTATAAAATGAAAGTAGTTAATAGCTGACATTTATTGATCCTCTTCCATGTTCCAGACCCTGCATCAGTCATGTTATATACACTGTCTCTAACTAATATAATTGTACAATAACCCCAAAAGAAAATATTATCCCAATTTAACAGATCAAGAAATGGAGGGTTCTAGCTGGTGCTGTAAGGCAAGAAAATAAAACCAAAAGGGATAAAAATTAAAAAGGAAGAGCCAAAATTACCAGTATTTATAGATATTTGGTTTTATACATTAAAAAATTTAAATAATCTACAGTTACATTATTAGAATTAAAAAGATAGCTGTGCAGGTTTTCAAGATAAAAAAAGCAATATACAAAAATCAGTTTTATTTCTGAATGACAAAATATAAAGAGCAAAAGTTAAATAAAGAGAGAATTTATAATATTAAAAAATATGAAGTACCAAGGAAAAGATCTGCCAAAAGACATGCCAGACTTCTACAAAGATAATTATAAAACTTCATTAGAAAAAGACAAAGACCTCAATAAATAATTGATAAATATTCTGTGTTTGTGATTAGAAGACCCAATATTATAAAGAAGTACATTCTCTTCACATTGATCTGTAAATTTAAGGCAATCCCAATCAAAGTCCCAGCAGGATTTTTGTTAGAACTTAAAAATCTCTTTCTAAAATTTAAATGGAATGACAAAGGGCAGAGAAGACCTACACCACCACTCTTGAAGAACAAGCTGGGAGAATTGCTGTATTGGAATTCAAGATTCCTATATTGTATTTCCTGACCTATGCAATGACTGCTCAGGTATTTAAAATATACATTAAGATATACGTCTATGTTTCTCCATTTTTTCAGAATAGACAATTTTTGTCATGTTACATTTCACAATGAAAGGGATATTTGAAAAAGAAAAAAAAAAAGGAAAGAAAATGAAGGTCAGAGAGGCTACGGCTATGAGACTAAGCCAAGACCATACTGCTGGTTAAATAAGCATGATCATACATTTAATGAACAATATATGTTTTAAATACTTACTTATATGTTCATGGTTAACAGTTTAGAAAAGCAAGAACCAAAATAAAGTATCACTAGTAATTGTTAATTGTTGACATATTTTACTGTCCTCATCACTATTTATTCACTGTTCACAGAACACAGAAATCAGTTCAATCACATAAGATGCTTGTCTGCCCTAAATCTTTCTTTCCAAATCCTTATATCAGACTTATTAAAGGGAAAATTTTTTGTCAAAGTCTTATGCTTACTTGCCATTGAGATAATGTCTACTCAATCATACCTCTATTTTATACATTATTTCCCACATTCACTCCAGAAGAAAAATGTAAAAACAAAACTAGGGAGAAAATGTGGAGCAAATGAGAAAACATACCTTTTTGAAACACTAGACCCATCTAAAAGTAGTAAATAGGAGGTGGAGCCAAGATGGCCGAATAGGAACAGCTCTGGTCTACAGCTCCCAGCATGAGCGAGGCAGAAGACAGGTGATTTCTGCATTTCCATCTGAGGTACCGGGTTCATCTCACTAGGGAGTGCCAGACAGTGGGCGCAGGACACTGGGTGCAGCGCACCGTGCACAAGTTGAAGCAAGGTGAGGCATTGCCTCACTCGGGAAGTGCAAGGTGTCAGGGAGTTCCCTTACCTAGTCAAAGAAAGGGGTGACAGATGGCACCTGGAAAATCGGGTCACTCCCACCTGAATACTGTGCTTTTCCTACAGGCTTAAAAAACGGCGCACCAGGGGATTATATCCCACACCTGACTCGGAGGGTCCTACGCCCACAGAGTCTCACCGATTGCTAGCACAGCAGTCTGAGATCAAACTGCAAGGCAGCAGTGAGGCTGGGGGAGGGGCGCCCGCCACTGCCCAGGATTGCTTAGGTAAACAAAGCAGCTGGGAAGCTCAAACTGCGTGGAGCCCACCACAGCTCAAGAAGGCCTGCCTGCCTCCGTAGGCTCCACCTCTGGGGGCAGGGCACAGACAAACAAAAAGACAGCAGTAACCTCTGCAGACTTAAATGTCCCTGTCTGACAGCTTTGAAGAGAGCAGTGGTTCTCCCAGCACGCAGCTGGAGATCTGAGAACGGGCAGACTGCCTCCTCAAGTTGGTCCCTGACCCCTGAGTAGCCTAACTGGGAGGCACCCCCCAGTAGGGGCAGACTGACACCTCACATGGCTGGGTACTCCTCTGAGACAAAACTTCGAGAGGAACGATCAGACAGCAGCATTCGCGGTTCACGAAAATCCGCTGTTCTGCAGCCACAGCTGCTGGTACCCAGGCAAACAGGGTCTGGAGTGGACCACTAGCAAACTCCAACAGACCTGCAGCTGAGGGTCCTGTCTGTTAGAAGGAAAACTAACAAACAGAAACGACATCCACACCAAAAACCCATCTGTACGTCGCCATCATCAAAGACCAACAGTAGATAAAACCACAAAGATGGGGAAAAAACAGAGCAGAAAAACTGGAAACTCTGAAAAGCAGAGTGCCTCTCCTCCTACAAAGCAATGGAACAAAGCTGGATGGAGAATGACTTTGACGAGTTGAGAGAAGAAGGCTTCAGATGATCAAACTACTCTGAGCTACAGGAGGAAATTCAAACCAAAGGCAAAGAAGTTAAAAACTTTGAAAAAAATTTAGACGAATGTATAACTAGAATAACCAATAGAGAGAAGTGCTTAAAGAAGCTGATGGAGCTGAAAGCCAAGCCTCGAGAACTACATGAAGAATGCAGAAGCCTCAGGAGCCGATGTGATCAACTGGAAGAAAGGGTGTCAGTGATGGAAGATGAAATGAATGAAATGAAGCAAGAAGGGAAGTTTAGAGAAAAAAGAATAAAAAGAAACAAACAAAGCCTCCAAGAAATATGGGACTATGTGAAAAGACCAAATCTACGTCTGATTGGTGTACCTCAAAGTGACAGGGAGAATGGAAGCAACTTGGAAAACACTCTGCAGGATATTATCCAGGAGAACTTCCCCAATCTAGCAAGGCAGGCCAACATTCAGATTCAGGAAATACAGAGAACACCACAAAGATACTCCTCAAGAAGAGCAACTCCAAGACACATAATTGTCAGATTCACCAAAGTTGAAATGAAGGAAAAAATGTTAAGGGCAGCCAGAGAGAAAGGTCCGGTTACCTACAACGGGAAGCCCATCAGACTAACAGCAGATCTCTTGGCAGGAACTCTACAAGCCAGAAGAGAGTGGGGGCCAATATTCAACATTCTGAAAGAAAAGAATTTTCAACCCAGAATTTCATATCCAGCCAAACTAAGCTTCATAAGTGAAGGAGAAATAAAATACTTTACAGACAAGCAAATGCTGAGAGATTTTGTCACCACCAGGCCTGCCCTAAAAGAGCTCCTGAAGGAAGCACTAAACATGGAAAGGAACAACCGGTACTAGCCACTGCAAAATCATGCCAAACTGTAAAGACCATTGAGGCTAGGAAGAAACTGCATCAACTAATGAGCAAAATCACCAGATAACATCATAATGACAAGATCAAATTCACACATAACAATATTAACTTTAAATGTAAATGGACTAAATGCTCCAATTAAAAGACAAAGAATGGCAAATTGGATAAAGAGTCAAGACCCATCAGTGTGCTGTATTCAGATAACCCATCTCACATGCAGAGACACACATAGGCTCAAAATAAAAGGATGGAGGAAGATCTACCAAGCAAATGGAAAACAAAAAAAGGCAGGGGTTGCAATCCTAGTCTCCGATAAAACAGACTTTAAACCAACAAAGATCAAAAGAGACAAAGAAGGCCATTACATAATGATAAAGGGATCAATTCAACAAGAAGAGCTAACTATCCTAAATATATAAGTACCCAATACAGGAGCACCCAGATTCATAAAGCAAGTCCTGAGTGACCTACAAAGAGACTTAGACTCCCACACAATAATAATGGGAGACTTTAACACCCCACTGTCAACATTAGACAGATCAACGAGACAGAAAGTTAACAAGGATACCCAGGAATTGAACTCAGCTCTGCACCAAGCGGACCTAATAGACATCTACAGAACTCTCCACCCCAAATCAACAGAACATACATTTTTTTCAGCACCGCACCACACCTATTCCAAAATTGACCACATAGTTGGAACTAAAGCTATCCTTGGCAAATGTAAAAGATCAGAAATTATAACAAACTGTCTCTCAGACCACAGTGCAATCCAACTAGAACTCAGGATTAAGAAACTCACTCAAAACTGCTCAACTACATGGAAACTGAACAACCTGCTCCTGAATGACTACTGGGTACATAACGAAATGAAGGCAGAAATAAAGATGTTCTTTGAAACCAATGAGAACAAAGACACAACATACCAGAATCTCTGGGACACATTCAAAGCAGTGTGTAGAGGGAAATTTATAGCACTAAATGCCCACAAGAGAAAGCAGGAAAGATCCAAAATTGACAGCCTAACATCACAATTAAAAGAACTAGAAAAGCAAGAGCAAACACATTCAAAAGCTAGCAGAAGGCAAGAAATAACTAAAATCAGAGCAGAACTGAAGGAAATAGAGACACAAAAAACCCTTCAAAAAATTTAATGAATCCAGGAGCTGGTTTTTTGATAGGATCAACAAAATTGATAGACTGCTAGCAAGACTAATAAAGAAGAAAAGAGAGAAGAATCAAATAGACACAATAAAAAATGATAAAGGGGATATCACCACCAATCCCACAGAAATACAAACTACCATCAGAGAATACTACAAACACCTCTATGCAAATAAACTAGAAAATCTAGAAGAAATGGATAAATTCCTTGACACATACACCCTCCCATGACTAAACCAGGAAGAAGTTGCATCTCTGAATAGACCAATAATAGAACCTGAAATTGTGGCAATAATCAATAGCTTACCAACCAAAAAGAGTCCAGGGCCAGATGGATTCACAGCCGAATTCTACCAGAGGTACAAGGAGGAACTGGTACCATTCCTCCTGAAACTATTCCAATCAATAGAAAAAGAGGGAATCCTCCCTAGCTCATTTTATGAGGCCAGCATCATCCTGATACCAAAGCCGGGCAGAGACACAACCAAAAAAAAGAATTTTAGACAAATATCCTTCATGAACATTGATGCAAAAATCCTCAATAAAATACTGGCAAACCGAATCCAGCAGCACATCGAAAAGCTTATCCACCATGATCAAGCGGGCTTCAACTCTGGGATGCAAGGCTGGTTCAATATACGCAAATCAATAAATGTAATCCAGCATATAAACAGAACCAAAGACAAAAACCACATGATTATCTCAATAGATGCAGAAAAGGCCTTTGACAAAATTCAACAACCCTTCATGCTAAAAACTCTCAATAAATTAGGTACTGATGGGACGTGTCTCAAAATAATAAGAGCTATCTATGACAAACCCACAGCTAATATCATACTGAATGGGCAAAAACTGGAAGCATTCCCTTTGAAAACTGGCACAAGACAGGGATGCCCAATCTCACCACTCCTATTCAACATAATGTTGGAAGTTCTGGCCAGGGCAATCAGGCAGGAGAAGGAAATAAAGGGTATTCAATTAGGAAAAGAGGAAGTCAAATTGTCCCTGTTTGCAGATGACATGATTGTATATCTAGAAAACCCTATTGTCTCAGCCCAAAATCTCCTTAAGCTGAGAAGCAACTTCAGCAAAGTCTCAGGATACAAAATCAATGTACAAAAATCACAAGCATTCTTATACACCAATAACAAACAGAGAGCCAAATCATGAGTGAACTCCCATTCACAATTGCTTCAAAGAGAATAAAATACCTAGGAATCCAACTTACAAGGGATGTGAAGGACCTCTTCAAGGAGAACTACAAACCACTGCTCAAGGAAATAAAAGAGGATACAAACAAATGGAAGAACATTCCATGCTCATGGGTAGGAAGAATCAATATTGTGAAAATGGCCATACTGCCCAAGGTAATTTATAGATTCAATGCCATCCCCATCAAGCTACCAATGACTTTCTTCACAGAATTGGAAAAAACTACTTTAAAGTTCATCTGGAACAAAAAAAGAGCCTGCATCTCCAAGTCAATCCTAAGCCAAAAGAACAAAGCTGGAGGCATCATACTACCTGACTTCAAACTATACTACAAGGCTACAGTAACCAAAACAGCATGGTACTGGTACCAAAACAGAGATATAGATCAATGGAACACAACAGAGCCCTCAGAAATAACGTCACATATCTACAACTATCTGATCTTTGACAAACCTGAGAAAAACAAGCAATGGGGAAAGGATTCCCTATTTAATAAATGGTGCTGGGAAAACTGGCTAGCCATATGTAGAAAGCTGAAACTGGATCCCTTCCTTACACCTTATACAAAAATCAATTCAAGATGGATTAAAGACTTAAACGTTAGACCTAAAACCATAAAAACCCTAGAAGAAAACCTAGGCATTACCATTCAGGACATAGGCATGGGCAAGGACTTCATGTCTAAAACACCAAAAGCAATGGCAACAAAAGCCAAAATTGACAAATGGGATCTAATTAAACTAAAGAGCTTCTGCACAGCAAAAGAAACTACCATCAGAGTGAACAGGCAACCTACAAAATGGGAGAAAATTTTCACAACCTACTCATCTGACAAAGGGCTAATATCCAGAATCTACAATGAACTCCAACACATTTACAAGAAAAAAACAACCCCATCAAAAAGTGGGCAAAGGACATGAACAGACACTTCTCAAAAGAAGACATTTATGCACCCAAAAAACACATGAAAAAATGCTCACCGTCACTGGCCATCAGAGAAATGCAAATCAAAACCACATTGAGATACCATCTCACACCAGTTAGAAAGGCAATCATTAAGAAGTCAGGAAACAACAGGTGCTGGAGAGGATGTGGAGAAATAGGAACACTTTTACACTGTTGATGGGACTGTAAACTAGTTCAACCATTGTGGAAGTCAGTGTGGCGATTCCTCAGGGATCTAGAACTAGAAATACCATTTGACCCAGCCATCCCATTACTGGGTATATACCCAAAGGACTATAAATCATGCTGCTATAAAGACACATGCACACGTATGTTTATTGTGGTACTGTTCACAATAGCAAAGACTTGGAACCAACCCAAATGTCCAACAATGATAGACTGGATTAAGAAAATGTGGCACATATACACCATGGAATATATGCAGCCATAAAAAATTGATGAGTTAATGTCCTTTGTAGGGACATGGATGAAATTGGAAATCATCATTCTCAGTAAACTATTACAAGAACAAAAAACCAAACACTGCATATTCTCAATCATAGGTGGGAATTGAACAATGGGAACACATGGACACAGGAAGGGGAACATCACACTCTGGGGACTGTTGTGGGGTGGGGCGAGGGGGGAGGGATAGCAATGGGAGATATACCTAATGCTAAATGATGAGTTAATGGGTGCAGCACACCAGCATGGCACATGTATACATATGTAACTAACCTGCACATTGTGCACATGTACCCTAAAACTTAAAGTATAATAATAAAATAAAAAAATTAAAAAATTTAAAAAAACTAAAAGTTCAATTCTCATAAAAAAAGTCAAATTTTGCTGTTAAACAAAAAAATAAAAATAAAAGCAGTAAATAAGTGTTTACTTATTCCATTAAGAGGTTAGAAAATAATCATTTTTTGCTTCAAATTGTGAAACGATGTTACCTCTAAATTTATATGTTGGGTGTTATTTCTCCACTGACCTCCTCGTGATTTCAACCTGATAATGTGGATGAGTCATTGAGATGAGTTTCCTCCTCATATTATCTCATTCCAGATCAGGAAGGACTATTTAGCTAACCACTTTTTTTTTTTTTTTTTACCTCTGAGGAAATTGCAGCCCAGACAGATGAAGTGACCAGATTGCGGTTGGTCAGCTGGCCAGTGTAGGAGCAGCAATTAGAGACCAGGCTTTCTCTCCATTATCCCAACTCCAGATTTCCAAATTGTACTTTTAAAAATCCAGTATCTTTTCCTAATGTAATAATTAAGAAATATCATATAAGCATAAGGAATACGTATTTTTCTTTATTAATTAGCCAGTGACTTGAAGAGCAAGCCTCTAAAAATAGGTAGTAAGTCTATTAAAAAAAAACCAAAAAACTAACTACTCTGTGTATTCACAGCACCAGGAGCTGGTTTATTTAAAAAAAAAAAATGCTCACGTTTAGTGTTTTATTTAGTTCTCACTGCAATCTTGTCAGCTGTTGTTATGAAGTTGACTTTATAGATGAGGAAACTTGATCAAAAAGACTAAATTATCCAGCTGTTAGATGGCAGATTCAGAACTCAAAAATGGCTTTATAAACTTGACTTTATTGCTTCCCCCATTTCAACACATTTCCTAATTCTTTTCATGACAGAGTTCCCCAGCTATCCCCCAGTGGCTTGGAGATTCCCATTTCAAGAGTGTAGAGTTCTACCCAGAAGGTGGCTGCGTGGACAGTGACTACATTCTCAGCTCCATGCCTATTTGGGTGAGGCCCTGTGATGAATGGTCATCAGTGGAATATGAGCAGAAGTGTTATGTGTCAGAAGAAGACATGCCTTCTCCATCCTTTCTTTTCCCCTACCCTCTGGTTTGTGTTGGTTTCCAGGGTGTCCTTGGGAGGGGTTTGGGCCATAATTTCAAAAGACACAGTGCTAAATACCACAATCCCAAATGTTGAAATCTGGAAAGATCAAAATCTCTAAAGGAAGGCACACATTTAAGATGGCAAAGCCACTGTGCCTTTGTCCCTAAATAAGAGTGGGGCAACTGTGCCTTTCACCACTCTGCTGTTAACCAGTTATACACACAATGAACTGTTACGTTAGCAAAAAAAATGTTTCTTGTAAAGGCCACTGAAATTGTGGAGTTTGTCTGTTACAGTAACTAGCAGTACTCTAACTAAAATGAGCGTCTTTCATAATAGAGATGAGAATTCAGATTTCTACTATTCTCTGACAAATCTCCATAACACTTATTTACCAAACCACTGATTTTAATTGTGCTGAACGGAAATGATCATGGAGAGTCACTTTTCCAATGACCTCTCTGTCCCTTGGTTTTCCATTGTTTAAGGTGAATGATAATTTCTATCTTTTATTTCTATTTGTGGTATCCAAACAAAATCATCATAAAAACTCCATTATGGCATAGTTAATTGTAAAATAAATATATATGACCAAAAAAATTAAAAAGACTTCCCTCTTTTAAACCTTTCCAAGCAATTCCCATCTTCAAAGGTAATTTTGAGGAACATGTACTTCTCTGACTGGGAAGCGGGTGGTGATCTGGAATTAATCAGTGAGGATTTATTGAGTTTCCTAAAGTGTATGACTTACGCATGGGTTTCCCTGCTCGTTGGCAACTCTCAAAGCCTTAACCCTGAGGATGCTCCCCCAAGAAAACATAGCACCTGTTTTCTGGGCACTGGTTCCAAAACATGGCCTGAAACACTATGCCAAGAGCTCAAATCTCTTGTATTTCCCACCACACAGATGGTCTGAGGCCTTCACTCCTCACCCTTCCTGGATGTGGTTGCGCCAGAGGTGAGTAGGAGAAAGAATGCTTTTGAGAAAGGTACCTTGAGAATTTATCTTGACAACTCCTCCTCATCCTAGGCTTTGCACTTTCTCTGTCCCTGAAACTTCAAGGTGTTGTTCCTCTTAATATTTCAAGTCTAAACCCTGAATCCAAGACCCGAAAGGAAAGGAAGTTTTGCCCACAAAGCAGCTCCCACAGCAAATGATGAATGCTCCAAGTGCTTTCTGGGGGGAAAAAAAACGCTGAAACAGAGTTTAGTCACTAGAGTAAATCCCCACAGAAAAAGAAATAAATCTCTGTGACATCTGCTAATGTCTGCCATTTCCTTAAACACCTCTACCTGTCCAGTTTCCGTACCTCTTTTCCCCTTTCCCCAATGCTGCTTTTGTTCTGTTTTTGGCCTTCAGGGGATGATTTAGTGAGCAGATGGTACCAGGAAAACCAAGGGTATTGCATCCAGCTGTGTGTACACAGATTGGTGAATTCAAGCCTCTGATCTAGGATCTGAAATAAAAATCAGAATAAGCGAAAAGATGGTTGCTTTTTTTCATGCCTTATTTGTTCATTTGCTCAAGAAGCGTTTGCTATTTGCCTATGGTGTTAGTATTGTTTAAGACAATAGAGAAACACAGATTAAAAAGACACCATCTCTGTTTTTCAGATGCAAGTTATGTACTTAAGGACCCCAAAACTATAAAACCAAACCATGAAGAATGAGAGATTTAGCACTAATAAAATGGAAAACATTCACACGTTGGAACACATGATACATTTGAGTCAGGAAAAGTGCGCTCTTGTTTTATTTATTTGCTTATTTGTAGGAGGATTTCCCTGGGATGAATTATGAGAAATATGACATTGGCCTAAAACACCTGGCAAAAGATCCTTGGGCTGCAGGTATTTTGAGTCAGACTCTAAGTATAACCCAAGGTTCAGATTTGTTCCTCTCAGTTTAAGAGGTGAATGAGGAATATAGAAGAACGCAGTGAAGATTCACAAAGGTGACAAAGGCCTGGAAAAGAAGGCTCTGACAGAGCCGATGGAAGCAATAAGAGGTCCCATTATAGCTGAATTTATAATCAGCTCTACCATGGATCAAACCCCAAATAGTCCCAAAGGGACTGTGCAGACTAAACTTCCACATAGAACTTCCACTCTTTGGTGGCTATTTTGATGTCAGAATGGGCCTATCCAAAGCTGCCACATGAGTCACCTTGAACTCTGCCTGCTTTGCATTATTGCCTCTGGATTCTCTTCCCTGGAGTTTCTTCAGGCAGCTGGACTGCATTGTGCCATGACATGCTCCTCATTTTCCCCATAAACATCTCTGATTGAAGGCAGATGACACACGACCTTTAGCTCACCCTTAGGAATCTTTGCTAAGCCTGGTTTAGTACAGCTAGGTTGTAGCATGGATGTTATTCCTATCTTCCAACCTTATGGGTCATGGGTTATATAGAACTCCATCTGTTGTGCATTGCCAGGAAGACCAGAACCAGACTGAAATGGTGTTTAAGTTAAACATCCAGATAATTAGACCCTGAACCCAACTATTGAGAAAAACCACACCTTTAGAAGTCTTTACGAACACTATAGACACTCACCTGTCTTAGATACTCAAATACAATTCCCCATAAAAAAGGATTTCTTGATATTCCCTCCAACACTGTAACTGAATAGCCCAAAAACACAGGTGCTGGCTTTTCTCCTAGTTTTACTTTCTACTTCGTCCATATGTTTGGAGAGTGTAGGAATAGATGGGATGTAATTAATCTGCAAATAAACCATAGGTATCATATAGCTCTTTCATGGGTCTGGAAAATGTCCCAGTAATTTTTAAATCTGGTTATCTCTTGCTCCATTTAAATTCATTTAATCAGCTTGATTCTTGTGGCATCCTCTTCTGTGTCTTCCATCATCTTCATCACCATTCCCATAATCATCACTGAACTATATTGAGTTCTCACTCTATGATAGATTCCATGCCAAAGGCTTTACATATATCATCTCTTATAAACCTCTCAATAACTCTATTAAGTACATGCTACTATTGTCCCCGTTTCGCATGTGAGGAAATAGACTGGAAGAGATTATGTGACTTATGCACTGGTAATGATTACATCTATTTTGGGGACTACCCTAAGGCATCCAATAAGTAACTATTCTTTTGACCTGGGGCCTCATATTTATGGAGTGATTTCTGCATTTCTTAAATTAATTTCAAGTGAATGAAATATGCTGAGCTCTTTACTCTCAAAGTCTCTATGCTACTCATTCCTCTCTGCTGTTGGTCTACTAGTTTAAATATTTCAGTATCTTAATATAGATATAATTTATGTTATTGCCACCTACTCTTCTCCTCTCTTGTCCTTGCTCTCATCTCTCAGTCTCATCTTTATTCTCACCACCCTCATGTATGAGACTTCTAGGCACCTCTCCTTCCACCTTTCTGCTCCCTGCTACTTACACAAGGTACAAAGCACATGACAAGGGTACAGAGGAGCCCTGTCTCATACAGGCCTGTATTACAGGGGCTTTATTTGCAAGAAGTCTCTTTATGACAAAGAAAGAAACTTTCCTGCTCTCAAAAACTACTGGGCAAGTTTCCAAACTCCCAATGAAGTAATTTATTCCACACACACAAAAAAGAAAAGAAACACAACTAACTGTCTCGAGCATTTTATGCACCTGACACCATCACATTAGTGGCATCAGATTACATATTCAGTAAGGACTTCTACCACATGCTGTTGTAATTAACCACATGGAAATGTGTAGGCCAGGACCCCTCAGTTACATAGTACAACACACAGAGCAGTAAGAACTAAAAAATGCCCTTGGAACAGAATGTTATATCTCATTAGGAAATGAAATTGTGACTTTCCTGGGAGTGACAGCTCTGGCAGGAAGGAATGGAGGTCTGGATTTCTAATTATCACCAGTATCACTACTCTTTAATCCTCCAGATCTCTGTCAGGTCTTTGATAAAGAATCTCTAAGAAAACGTTGAGATGGTTTCACTGAGGCATGGCCTAGGGCAGTACCTATAGATTTTTAATGCCTGATCAACCATGAGCACCCACTTGGGAACCCAGTATAGGGAATTCACTAGCTCTTAACCCATACATTGCATTGAGACCAAGGGAGGTCCGTCCAGTTATGCCTGTGGTACTTGACCCAAGGCAGCTAAAATAACACCTAGGAATTCTGCTGAAACGATTCTCCCTGCTTTCAACTTTTCTGAGGACCCTGGCACCCTCAAGCTCTCTGCATGCTGCCAAGGGCTCCCAGCCCTGTCTTCCTTCCCTGCTCAGAGTTAGATATCTGGACCTACTTCCCTCTCTCTGCTCCTACCACCTCCACCTGTTGAGAGCCTCATTCCTAACAGGTGCTTCTGATTTAGTTTTGGAATTGTTACTATCTGACTAGGAAAGTAGGAGGTTAAGAGGCATTATTTTCTAACAGATCTTTGCTGTCTTCAATTACAATGGGATATATTAACCAATAACTCTGCTGATTGATATAAGAAAGTGAAGGAACAAAACAACAATTGAGGAGCCTTATCATGGAATCTTGTGTTCTGACTCCCAATCAGCTGAAGGCTGCAGAGCCCTCAAAATATGTATAATTTTAGTACTGAGCAAATACCTGTTCTGTGGAAGCATGTATACAATCAATGCCAATTGTTAAATTATAAGTTGAGGAATAGGCATTGGTCACGAAGGTGGTATAGAGATGAATGGGCCACTGTCTACAAGTAACACACCCAGAAGCAGAACCAACACCCCTTGGGAAGATTAGCATGGAACATACTCTTTTTCCCATTTGTCAGTAAATATTTAAGTATCTGAATATAGATAGAATTTATGTTATTGCCACCTACTATTATATACTGTGGCAGAGACAGTGCTATGTGCTCGTGAATCCTTATTTCTTTTTCTTCTAGGCAAAACTAGACCACATTTTGCAGCTTCCCCTGAAGTTAGTGGAAGCCATATCAATGAGTTCTGGCCAACAGAATGTAGGCAGAGGTGATGCTAAGGCACTTCTTGACCTAGTCCCTAAACCAACCTCCTGTGTGGTCCTCCATGAGCTCTCTTTCTCCATTTACCAGCCTAATGCAGCAAAGGACAAACACTAAACAACAGCAGAGTCATGCTATAAATGGCACCCGAGGCCCTGAATAACTGTGTGGAGAAGAACACACACAACTGCCATTCCTTCCCCTCCTTACCCTTATTGGACTGTACTGTGAGCAAGAAAGCAACTCTCCTTGTCTCAAACATACCCCAAATATCAGTGGCTTGTTACAACCATTTTCCTGATTAACAAAATGGACTTCCCTTGTGTTCAGGAAGATTCACTGGGTACCAGTGGAATAATTAGTGCAGTGAGTGCCAGGACACAAATTAAAAAATAAATTACCATAGCATATGGCTTCTAGGTAGATGCCAATTATATCTTCCTTCTGAAGTAGGAAAATTTGAGCTTATTGTTGTGGAGAAATATTTGTTTTTCTTCCCATCTTCCTGTGTTCCTTCCTGAATAATAACGCTGACCCTCCTTGCGAGGCAGGGCTCTTTCTACCCACATTTGTGGCCTGATGAGACCCCGTGGCTGTGTGCAGGGCATTCTACAACCACTCAGTGGTTTTCGGCTGAATGAATTCAAACAAAAAGAATGTGGTGATGCAGGCAGTAATCTCAGCCCCTTGGGTTCCTTGGCCTTTCACAGAGAGCTTATGTCCACAGCCAAAGCACTTAGGATTCAAAACCCCTATGAGTGTATAGTGTACGGGAGGGAGGAAATGACTTAGATGAGGGTTTTAAGTTCAGCCTGTGCTCAACAGTTAAATTCAATTTAAAGACTTCCCAAAACCTTTCTGAAATTACAAAAGGGCCATGAGAAATCAGTTTCTTTCTTTTGTGGTTGCAGATTTAATTCTGCAGTTCATGAAGTTATGTCAAAGTGGTTGCATAACACTGCAAGCTGTCACTGATGGAAATGAGGATGATTTCTTCTTTTTGTTAAATAACTAGAGTTATCCCACAAACATTCAGTCCCCACTATTGTGTTAGACGTATGACCATGATTCCTGCCCCCAGAGAATTCTAAACGTGGTGAAACATCCGTTGAAAATGCCTTAGAAAGGAAAATGCCAATGGTAGAACTGGTGCCTCAGAGGTTAAACTTGAAAAGCCCATCCCTGGAAGGAAAGGCTTGAAAGTCTGAAGAAAATACTTGGGTAAAGTTACAGAACTGAGAGGGCTGCTGGTGACTGGAGACACCTTCTCCGATCACATTCCCTGCCTCTGCATGGTCAGCACCACAGAAAATCTGCCTGCTCCTAAATTGTTCCTCACAACCCAAGTGAAGGTTTAGGATTACAACCTGGGAGACAGCCAGCTCTAGCATCCTGAACCCCTTTATCCCTACTTGGTGTGCTGTACTATTTTTTCTTTAATACCAAAGGGTCTAACCTTAGATGTTAGAAATATGGTTCCCATCCCATAAGTCATTAGTAATATGACCTTGAGCAAGTCCCTTCTCTAATTTGTATTCTATGAACTGAAGGGTCTATTACATGAAGGCACATAATAAATGTGTTAATTTGAAATCCCCTAACTGCTCCATAATTTGTAACATCATTTAAAATGGAAAAGCTCTGTTAGAATACTGCTCCCTAACCTGGGAGTACATGAAAATCACCGAAAAAGAGGTTTTCTTAGTTGTGATAGGGACAGGAGGCAGGAGAATTCTGGGAAGAAGAGGGTGGGTCCCCAGTGAGGGCCCCACTCTCAAGCCTGGAACTGCAGCTCAAAATGAGAACATGCATTCCTGTTTTCCTGCTCAAATGTTGCCTTTTCCAAAACCACCCATGGGCCACCTGGCCCCAGATCCTGTGCCCATAAAAACCCCAGGCTCCACCAACAGAGAGCAGAGAAGAGAAGCAGCAGCTGGACGTCTGTGACTACAGTTGGATGTCAGAGAGAGGCAGCTTAATTTCAGAGGGTTGGCTTGATGGTGTTGCTTCAGAGAGGAGTCTGGTGGGAGACAGCTGGACTCTGAGGGATCATTTTCCCACTCCATCCCCTTTCAGCTCCCCTTCCTGTTGACAGCCACTTTCATTGGCAATAAAATCCTCCCTATTCACCACTCTTCAATTCGTTTGTGCAAGCTGATTCCTCCTGGATGCCGAATAAGAGCTCAGGTGCCACGGGTGTGGATGCTAAAGGCTGTCACACAGAACCTCTGCCCATGCTGGTGGAGAGCAACTGCCTCATACAAAAAGGCAGAGGGCCCACTAAGCTGTTTAACATTTAAGCCATTTGTGGACAGCAAAGTTAAAAGAGCACAGTAACATACACCCTCTGGGGCTTCAGGATTGCAGGCACCCACTAGATGCTGCCATGGGGCCCCACATGGAGTTTGCCCCAGCTGGCACCCAAAACTGCTCACTGCAGCTCCTGCACCCACTCACCTGGGCACTCCCTCCCACAAGGGGTGAAGCACAATGCGTCCAAGTGAGGGGAGTTTGCCCCTGCCAATGCCGAAGCAGCCAGCTAGATCCAGCACCAGTCCACTCCAGTTCCCGTGAGGGGGTCAGGGAAATTTCTTGCTTCAGTTGCCTTTTTGTTTGTTTGTTTGTTTGTTAAGATATAACTAACACACAATAAAATGCACAAATCTTTTTTTTTTTTTTTTTTTTGCTGGAGTGCAGTGGCATGATCTTGGCTCACTGCAAACTCCGCCTCCCAGGTTCAAGCCATTCTCCTGCCTCAGCCTCCTGAGTAGCTGGGACTACAGGTGCCTGCCACCATGCCCGGCTAATTTTTTGTACTTTTAGTAGAGACGGGGTTTCACCGTGTTAGCCAGGATGGTCTCTATCTCCTGACCTCATGATTCACCCATCTCAGCCTCCCATAGTGCTGGGATTACAGGCATGAGCCACCACACCCAGCCTAAAATGCACAATTCTTAAGTAGAGTCAATGTGTTTTGACAAATGTATACACCTGTGGAACTATCACCTCACTCCAAACAAAGCATTGCTAAAGAAGTTTCCCTTGTGCAACTGCCTAGTTAATCTCTTCTGACCCACAGTCAAACACCCTTTGACTTCTGTCACTATTTAAGTGGAATTAAAAGTCTGTATTCCTTAGTATCCGGCTTCTTTCACTCATAGTATCTATGAAATTCAGTCATTCATTTCTTTTTATTGTTTAGTAGTATTCCATTGGATGAATATCTTGCTATAGACAGAATGGTGTCCCCCAAATTTCATATGTTGAAGTCCTGTTCCCAATGTGATTGAATTTGGAGATAGGGATTTTAGAAGTTAATTAAGATTTGATGAGGTCACAAAGGTAGGGTCCTAATCCAATATAATTTGTGGCCTTGTAAGAAGAGGAAGAGATTCTCTCTCTCTCCTCTCCCATCATGTATGCACCAAGGAAAGGCCATGTGAGGACATAACAAGAGAGTGGTCATCTACAAGCCAAGAAGAAAGCCCTCCCCAGGAACTGAATTAACCAAGACCTTGATCTTGGACTTCACAGCCTCCAGAATTGTGAGAAATAAATTTTTGTTGTTTAGACCCTCAGTCTATGGTATTTTATTATGCCCAAGCTGACTAAGACAATACCACGATCTGTTTATCCATTCATTTGTTGATGGACATTTCAATTGTTTCTAGTTTTGCCTATGATTAATACAGCTATTAAAAATATTTGCATATAGGTTATTGTAAAATCATGTTTTCATTTCTCTTAGATAAATACCTAAGAGTAGAATTGTTGTGTCATGTAGTAAGTATATATGTAACCTTATTTTAAAAGCTGCTAATTTTTTAAAGTAGCTGTACCATTTTACATTCCAACCAGAAACATTTGAGAGTCCTAGTTGCTCCACATCCTCATCAACATTTAGCATATTACGATATTTTGTTTCAGCTATTCTTATGGGTGTGAAGCATTATTGCATGATGGTTTTAATTTGCATTTTTCTCTGAGGACCTATTGGTGATGAGCACTTTTTCATATGCATATTGGTCATTTGTATAACATTTCTTGTGAATTGTCTGTTCAAGTCTTTTGCCTATTTCTCTATTGGGTTCATTGTCTTTTTATCGTAGAATGATATACATTCTGTATATATTCTGAATACAAGTGCTTTTTTAGGTACATGTATTACAAATATTTCCTTCCAGCCAATGGCCTGTATATTCATTCCCTTGACTGTGTCTTCTGATAAGCAGTAATTTTGATGAATTTTGATGAAATTTTGATATAAGTCTAATCTATCAGTGTTTTCATTCATGGTTATTCTTTCAGCATACAGTCTAAGAAATCTTTACCAACCTCATAGTCACCAAGATATTCTCTTTTGTTTTTTTCTAATAACTTCATAGTTTAGCTTCTATTCTTAAGTCTATGATTCATCTGTAATTTTATGATGATGGGATGCAGAAGATCAATTTTTTCCATGTAATTATAAAAAATTACCATGTAAGGGTCATTTTTTTCATATAATTATCCAGTTGTTCTAGCACCTTTTATTGAAAACGCTTTGCTTTCCCACATTAAATTGCATTACTTTGTTAAAAATTTATTAAATGTGTAAGTGTAGGTTGATTATTGTACTCTCTATTCTGCCCATTTATCTATTTGTCTGTCCTTACACCAATAACACACTATCCTAATAATAGTAGCTTTGTATAAATCTTAAAATTTGATTCTGTAAGTCCTCCAACTTTGTTCTTTTATAAAACTTATTTTGGCTATTGCAAGTCCTTTGAATTATTTCATAAATTTTAAAATTAGCTTGTCAATTTCTACAAAAAAGCCCACTGGGATTTCAAAATGACATCCTAATAATGGTGCATCTTTCAACTCAATATATCTTTCTTTTTATTTGGAGAGCCTTGTTAAGTCCTCTCAACACTGTTTATTTTGATTACATATATGTTGTATAATTTTTGTTAAATTCAATCCTAAATATTTTCTGCTATGATGTTATTATAATTGGCACAGTTTTAAATTTTATTTTCCAGTTGTTCATTGCCAATTCATAGAAATAAAATTCACTTTTATACATTGACTGAAATCTTGCTAAATCATGTATTAGTTCTAGTAGGTTTCTTTGGTTTTTTTTGTTTTTAATAGACTTTATTTTTAGAGCAGTTTTAGGTTCACAGCAAAACTGATGGAAGATACAGAGATGTACCATATACTGCCTGCCCCAAAACATGCACAGTCTCCCCCATTATCAGCATCTCCCTCCGGAGTGGTACATTTGTTACAATATCAATGAACCTACATTCATACATTATCACTCAGCACCCATAGATTATATTAGGGCTCACTCCTGGTGATGTATCCATTCTTGGTAGGTTTGAAACCAATCTATAATGGCATGTATCTACCATTATAGTATCATACAGAGTAGTTTTATGTTCCTAAGATTCCTCTGTGCACCACATCATCCTTCTCTCCATATGTCCTACCACCTAGCAATCACTGTTATTTTTACAGTCTCTATAGTTTTGCCATTTCCAGAATGCCATATAGTTAGATTCACACAGCATGTAGCCTTTTCAAATTGGCTTTTTTCATTTGGTAATATGCATCTAAGTTTCTTTCACATCTTTTCATGGTTTTATTGCTTATTTCTTTTTAGCACTGAATAATATTCCATTGTCTGTATGTAACACAGAATTTATCCATTCATCTACTTAAGGATTCAACTCAAAATGAATTAAAGACTTAAATCTAGACCTGAAAGCATAAAATTCTTAGAAAAAAAATAGGAAAAAGTCTTCTTAACCTTGGCCTTGGCAATAATTTTTCTATTATTGCTTATGATAATAGATAAGCACAGGCATCAAAAGCACAGGCATCAAAACCAAGTTAAACAAGTGGGACTACATCAAGCTAAACAGCTTCTGCACAACAAAGGAAACAATCAACAAATGAAAAGGCAACCTATGGAACGCTAGAAAATATTTGTAAACCATATATCTAGTAAAGGTTAATATCCAAAATATATAAGGA
This sequence comes from Homo sapiens, assembly GCF_000001405.40. Taxonomy (NCBI): domain Eukaryota; kingdom Metazoa; phylum Chordata; class Mammalia; order Primates; family Hominidae; genus Homo; species Homo sapiens. The sequence continues at coordinate 91,524,945 of NC_000007.14, forward strand.
ATTCACACAACTCAATAGCAAAAGTACAAATAACCCAATTTAAAAATGGGCAAAGGACCCGAATAGGCATTTTTCCAAATAAGACATCCAAATGACCAACAGGTATATGAAAAGGTGTTCAATATCACTAATCATCAGAGAAATGCAAATCAAAAGCACAGGGAGCTATCACCTCATGCCTGTTAAAATGGCTATTATAAAAAAGACAGGAGATAACAAGTGTTAGAGATGATGTGACACAAAGGTAATCCTTGTATAATATTGGTTGGAATGTAAATTGGTACAGCTATTATGTAAGACAGTATGGTCGTTCCTCAAAAAATCCAAAATAAAACTGCCATATGATATAGCAATCCCACTTTGGGGTATATATCCAAAGGAAATTACAAGAGTATCTAAAAGAGATAACTGCATCCCACATTCATTGCAGCACTGTTCACAATACCCAAGGTATGGAGACAACCTAAGTGTTCATCAATAGATAAATGGACAAAAAAATTATGGTATATGTATGGTATATATACACATACACATAATGAAATACCATTCAGCCATAAAAAAGAAAATCTTGCCATTTGTAACAACATGAATGAACCTGGAGGACATTATGCTAAGTGAAATAAGCCAGACATAGAAAGACAAATACTGCATGATCTCACTTATATGTGGAATCTAAAAAAGTCAAACTCTGAGAAGCAGAGAGTAGAATGGTGATTACCATGCGCTGGGGTGTGGGGAAAATGTTGGTCAAAGGGTACAAAGTTTCAGTTACTCAGGATGAATATTTTCTGGAGATTAAATTTATAGGATAATGACTATGGTTAAGAATACTGTATTGTATACTAGACATTTTCTGGAAGAACAGATCTTGATTGTTCTTACCAAAAAAAAAAAAAAAAGGTAACTTTGTAAGGTGATTGATATATTAATTAGTTTGGTTGTGGTCATCATTTCACAATATATATGTATAACAAAACACCATGTTGTATACCTTAAATATATACAATTTTTATCTGTCAATTATACCTTAATGAAGCAATGGTAGGGGAAATACACTTGGTTCTTTTGTAGCAGTTTTCATTTCTTTCCTAAAATACCCCACCTGTCAATTTTGATATCTACATTTTATAAATTCTTTTATACATTTATAATATTTGTTTAAGGTCCTTGTTGATTAATTCTTAAAAACCAGTCATCTGTCTGGTTTCATTTATTATGCTCTCTCTTGATTATAGGCCACACTTTCCTGCTTCTTCACATCTTATAATTACTATTATATTCTGAACATTGTGTAAAATAAAACTTTGGAGACCAAGTATATTGTTTTATTTTGTTTATTTTCCTTTCCTCTGTATGGTGGTCATAGTAAGATATTAATGATTCAAATATCTTCTAAAGTTAACTTTAGATGGGATTGGGTCATAGCTTTAATCAGATTGATTTCATCTTTGATTAGCATAACCCCTCAAATTGATTTAACACTATAATTTCCATATGGCTATTTGTGTATTACAATTTCATTGAGAGACACATGATAACTTGCTCTACAGTCTTGAAAAGCAAATAGTTCCAAGAATTCTTCTGATCACAGCTTTTGGTCAGAACAAGAGCATCAACCACAATGTGAATATGTTGAACATCTACTATGTTATGGCATGAAATTATGTGGTGGGGATATGGACATTCCCTGCCCTCAAGGGCCATTAAAATCTAGCTGGGGAGACAGGGAAGATACCTAGAAATGTAAATAATGTGGTAAAGAAGAATTTTAAAAATATGCCAAATAGCTGGGACCAGCAATAAATGTAGCTCTCTAAAAAAGCAGTCACAGAAGGCTCTGGTGAGTAGAAAAGATTTCATGTGGGAGATGAGACTTAAGAAAATGTAAGGTAATTTAGACAGGTTCAGGGAGGCCTTTTTGAAAAAGGGAATGTCATGAACATAACATGGTGCATATTTGAGAGGAGAAGGCTAGAAGATTACAAAGATTAGGAGATGTTTTATTTTGGAGGGTCTAGGAATTTGGCTTTGCATGGGCATTAATGCAAATCCAAAGTCCTAGTATCAATGTAGTAGACATGGAATCAGAGCCAGACTATGAAAACATTGATTTTGCAGTAATCTGTGAATAGTGACCATGCTTATTTGCCCTCAGACCCATTTTTTTTGCCCTCCCCCTGTTCTGTATCATAGTGGGGCTAACCCCACTGGATCTACATAGCTACTGGATCTATTTGACCTGTAAAATTGAGGAGTGGGAATGAGGATTAAGATGGCAGACAGCAGACAGCACTAGCTTGCACCTCCCACTTGGATGGACAAAGCAGTGTGTGGAGATTTGCATCGTGAATTTTTGCTCCAAGAACTACCACAGGAACATACCAGGAAACCTGAGAGGACCCAGAGACCCTTTGAAGGAACTGTGATAACCACTACAGGCTCCCTGAGATGCTGAAAAACTGTGAATCTGCTTGCTTTCTCAATGAGAAGGCTTTTGGTTTCGGGCAAGTTTTCAGCCCTGGTCACCAGCTGCCTGGAAATAGACTCGGTGTTATTGCGGGGGACAGTGGGAGTGAGGCCAGCCTTTAGGACTGTGGGCTACATGGGAGTGGGGTGAGTCTGTGACTGCCAGCTTTCCCTCACTTCTTTGGTGACCTGTGTGACTCAGCAGAGACAGCCATAATCTCCCTGGGACTATCACTCCATTGGACTGGGAACCACACCACCATCCCCCACAGCAGCTGCAGCAAGCCCCGCCCAAGATGAGGCTGAGCTCAGACAGGCCTATCCCTGCCCCAACCTGCTGGTCTTTCTCTATCCACCCTGGTAGCCAAAGGAAAAGGTCATAATCTCTTCGGAGCTCTGTGGCCCTACCCACTGCCTACGAAACCTGAATACTTAACCAAGTATCCCTAGGGCGAATTTGAATCCTCCTTATAGGACTGGAGCTGATGCACTCTTGAAAGTGCCACCTCCTGGCTGGAGGGCAATCAACCTTAAAACCAGTGCACTAAACAGAAACACAACCAAGGACCCTCACCAGAGTCCACTTCACTCCGCTGCTATCTCCACTGGAGCAGGTGCTGGTATCCATGGCTGCAAGACCTGAAGACAGATTACATCACAGGACTCTTTGCAGACACTCCCCAGTACCAGCTCAGAGCCCAGTAGCTCCTCTGAGTGGCTAAACCCAGAAGAGAAAAAACAATCACTACAATATGGCTCACAGGAAGCCCCATTTGTAAGTGAAAAGGGAGGACACCACATCAAGGGAGCACCCTGTGTGAAAAAAGAATCTGATCAGCAGCCCTTGAATCCCAGATTGCCCCTCTGACATAGTCTACCCAAATGAGAAGGAACCAAGAAAACAATTCTGGTAATATGATAAAACAAGGTTCTTTAACATCCCCAAAAGGTCATACCAGCTAACCAGCAATGGATCCAAACCTAGAAGAAATCTCTGAATTGCCAGAAAAAGAATTCAGAAGGGTGATTGTTAAGCTAATCAAGGAGGCACCAGAGAAATATGAAGTCCAACTTAAAGAAATCAAAAACATGCTACAGGATATGAAAGGAAAATTCTTCAGTGAAATAGACAGCATAAATAAAAAACAATCACAACTTCTGGAAATCAAGGACACACTTAGAGAAATGCAAAATGCACTGGAAACCCTCAGCAATAGAATTGGACAGGCAGAAGAAATAACTTCAGAGCTCAAATGCAAGGCTTTTGAATTAACCCAATCTGCCCAAGACAAAGAAAAAAAGAATTTTAAAAAATGAACATTGGGAGGCCGAGGCGGGTGGATCACGATTTCAGGAGATCGAGACCATCCTGGCTAACATGGTGAAACCCCGTCTCTACTAAAAATACAAAAAATTAGCCGGGCGTGGTGGCAGGCGCCTGTAGTCCCAGCTACTCGGGAGGCTGAGGCAGGAGAATGGCATGAACCCGGGAAGCGGAGCTTGCAGTGAGCCGAGATCTCGCCACTGCACTCCAGCCTGGGTGACACAGCGAGACTCTGTCTCAAAAAAAAAAAAAAAAAAAAAAGGAATAAAGCCTCCCAGAAGTTTGAGACTATGTTATACGTGCAAACCCGAAGAAGAGAAATCTAAAAGTTTGGAAAACATATTTGAGGGAATGGTCTAGGAAAACTTTCCAGCCTTGCTAGATATCTAGACATCCAAATACAAGAATCTGAAAGAACACCTGGGAAATTCATCACAAAAGGATCATCACCCAGGCAAATAGTAATCAGGTTATCTAAAGCCAAGACAAATGGAAGAATCTTAAGAGCTGTGAGGCAAAAGCATCAGGTAACCTATAAAGGAAAACCTATCAGATTAACAGCAGATTTCTAAGCAGAAACCCTACAAGCTAGAAGGGACTGGAGTCCTACTTTTAGCCTCCTTAAACAAAACACTTATCAGCTGAGAATTTTGTATCCAGTGAAACTAAGTCTCATAAATGAGGAAAGATACAGTCTTTTCCAGACAAACAAATGCTGAGAGAATTCACCATTACCAAACTAGAAATACAAGAACTGCTAAAAGGAGCTCTAAATCTTGAAACAAATCCTCAAAATACAACAAAATAGAACCTCCTTAAAACATAAATCTTACAGGACCCATATAACAATAACACAATGAAAACAACACACAAGATATTCAGGCAACAAATAGCATGATGGATAGAATAATATCTCACATCTCAATACTAATATTGAATGTAAATGGCCTAAATGCTCCACTTAAAAGATTCAAAATGGCAGAATGGATACGAATTTACCGACCATGTTTCTGCTATCTTCGGGAGACTTAACTAACACATAAGGACTCATATAAATTTAAGGTAAAGTGGTGGAAAAAGATATTCCATGGAAATGGACACCAAAATTGAGCAGGAGTAGCTATGCTTATATCAGACAAAACAAACTTTAAAGCAACAGCAGTTAAAAAAGACAAAGAGAGACATTATATAATGATAAAAGGACTAGTCCAACAGGAAAACACCACAATTCTAAATATATATGCACCTAACACTGGAGCTTCCAAATTTATAAAACAATTACTACTAGACCTAAGAAATGAGATAGACAGCAACACAATAATAGTGGGGGACTTCAATACGCCACTGACAGCACTAGATGGGTCATCAAGACAGAAAGTCAACAAAGAAACGATGGATTTAAACTATACCCTACAACAAATGGGCTTAACAGATATTTACAGAACATTCTACCCATCATCTGCAGAATATACATTCTATTCATCAGCACATGGAACGTTCTCCAAGATAGACCATATGATAGGCCACAAAATAAGTCTCAGTAAATTTAAGAAAATCAAAATTATATCAAGTCCTCTCTCAGACCACAGTGGAATAAAATTGGAAATCAACTCCAAAAGGAATCCTCAAAAACCATGCAAATACATGGAAATTAAATAACCTGCTCCCGAATGATCATTGGGTCAACAATGGAATCAAGATGGAAATTTAAAAATTCTTTGAACTGAATAATAGTGACACAACCTATAAAGACCTCTGGGATACAGCAAAAGTGGTGCTAAGAGGAAAGTTAAATATAATTAAACACCTACATCAAAAAGTTTGAAAGAGAACAAATAGACAGTCTAAGGTCACACCTCACAGAACTGGTGAAACAAGAACAATCCAAACCCAAACCCAGCAGAAAAAAAGAAACAAGATCAAAGCAGAACAAAATGAAATTTAAACAAAAAAATACAAAAGACAAATGAAACAAAAACTTGATTCTTTGAAAACATAAATAAAATTGATAGACCATTAACGAGATTAACCAAGCAAAGAGAGAAGATCCAATAAACTCAATTACAAGTGATACAGGAGATACTACAACGAATACCACAGAAATACAAAAGATCATTCAAAGCTACTATGAACACCTTCATGTGCATAAACTAGAAAACCTAGAGGAGATGGATAAATTCCTGGAAATATACTACTCTCCTAGATTAAACCAAGAAGATTAGAATCTCCGAACAGACCAATAACAAGCAGCAATATTGAAATGGTAATTTTAAAATTGCCAAGAAAAAAGTCCAGAACCAGACAGATTCAGAGCTGAATTCTTTCAGACATTCAAAGAATTTGTATCAATCTTATTGACACTATTCCAAAAGATAAAGAAAGAGGGAATCCTCCCTAAATCATTCTATGAAGCCAGCATCACCCTAATACCAAAACCAGGGCAGGACATAACAAGAACAACAACAAAACCACAGACCAATATCCCTGATGAACATAGATGCAACAATCTTCAAAAAAACATACTAGCAAATAGAGTATCAAAAAGATAATCCACCAAGATCAAGTGGGTTTCATACCAGGGATGTAGGGAGGGTTTAGCATCTGCAAATCAATAAATGTGATATACCACATAAACAGAATTTAAAACAAAAATCACACAATCATCTCAATAGATGCAGAAAAGACATTTGACAAAATCCAGCATTCCTTTTTTGTTAAAATCCTCAGCTAAATTGGCATAGAAGGGACATATCTTAAGGTAATAAAAGCCACCTATGACAAACACAGAGCCAACATTATACCGAACGGGAAAAAGTTGAAAGCGTTCCCCCTGAGAACTGGAACAAGACAAGGACACCCGCTTTGACCACTTATATTTAACATAGTACCAGAAGTCCTAGCCAGAGCAATCAAGCGAGAAAGAAATAAAGGGCATCCAAATCGGTAAAGAGGAAGTCAAACTGTTGCTGTTTGCTGAGGGTTTGATCGTATACCTAGAAAACCCTAAAGACTCATCCAAAAAGCTCCTAGAACTGGTAAATGAATTCAGCAAAGTTTCAAGATGCAAAATTGGTGTATACCAAACGGTAGCACTGCTATACACCAAGAGTGACCAAGCTGAGAATCAAATCCAGAACTCAACCCATTTCACAATAGCTCCAAGAAAATAAAATACTTAGAAATATACCTAACCAAGGATGTGAAAGACCTCTCTAAAGAAAACTATAAAACTCTGCTGAAAGAAATCATAGACAACACAAACAAACGGAAACACATCTTATGCCCATGGATGGGTAGAATCAATATTGTGAAAATGACCATAACTTCAAAAGCAACCTTGCAATTTTCATCAAAGTAGCACCATCATTCTTCACAGAACTAGAAAGAACAATCCTAAAATTCATATGGAACCAAAAAAGAGCCCATGTAGCCAAAGCAAGACTAAGTAAAAAGAACAAATCTGGAGGCATCACATTATCCAACTTCAAGCTATATTCTAAAGCCCTAGTCACTAAAACAGCATGGCACTGGCATAAAAACAGGCACACAGACCAATGGAACAAAACAGAGGACCCAGAAATAAAGCTAAATACTTACAGCCAACTGATCTTTGACAAAGCCAACAAAAACATAAAGTGGGGAAAGGACACCCTACTTAACAAATGATGCTGGGGTAATTGACAAGCCATATGTAGAAGAATGAAACTGGATCCTCATCTCTTGCCTTATATAAAAATCAACTCAAGATGGATCAAAGACTTAAATCTAAGACCTGAAGCCATAAAGATTCTAGAAGATAACAACGGAGAAACCCTTCTAGACACTGGCTTAGACAAAGACTTCATGACCAAGAACTCAAAAGCAAATGCAACAACAACAAAGATAAATAAACGGGACTTAATTAAACTAAAAAGCTTCTGTACAGCAAAAGAAATAATCAGCAGAGTAAACAGACAATTCATAGAGTTGGAGAAAATCTTTATAATCTATACATCTGACAAAAGATTAATATCAAGAATCTACAAAGAACTCAAACAAATCAGAAAGAAAAAAACAATCCTAATCAAAAAGTGGGCTAAGGACATGAATAGACAATTCTCAAAAGAAGATATACAAATGGCCAACAAACATATGGAAAAATGTTCAACATCACTATGATCAGGGAAATGCAAATCAAAACCACAATGCGAAACCACCTTGCTTCTGCAAGAATGGCCATAATTAAAACATCAAAAAATAATACATGTTGGTGGGGAACACTTTTACACTGTTGGTGGGAATGTAAACTAATAAGTACAACACTATGGAAAACAGTGTGGAGATTCCTTAAAGAACTAAAAGTAGATCTACCATTTAATCCAGCAATTCCACTACCCAGAGGAAAAGAAGTTATTATACGAAAAAGATACTTGCACTCACATGTTTATAGCAGCAGAATTCACAATTGCAAAAATATGGAACCAGCCCAAATGCCCATCAATCAATGAGTGGAGAAATAAAGAAGAAAGAAAAGAAAAGAAGAGAGGGAAAAAAAGGAAAGGAAAGGAAAGGAAAAGAGGGAGGGAAGGAGGAAGGAAGGAAGGAAGGAAGGAAAAGAAAGAAAATGTGGTGTATAAAAAGCCATAAAAAGGAATGAAGTAATGGCATTTGCAGCAACCTGGATGGAATTTACTTTTTTTTTTTTTTTTTTTTTTTTTGAGATGGAGTCTCGCTTTGTCACCCAGGCTGGAGTGCAATGGCGTGATTGATCTCAGCTCACTGCAACCTCCGCCTCCCGCGTTCCAGCGATTCTCCTGCCTCAGCCTCCTGAGTAGCTGGTATTACAGGTGTGTGTCACCACGCCCAGCTAATTTTTGTATTTTTAGTAGAGACGGGGTTTCACCATGTTGGTCAGGCTGGTCTCGAACTCTTGATCTTGTGATCTGCCCGCCTCGGCCTCCCAAAGTGCTGGGATTACAGGCGTGAGCCACCACGCCTGGCCTGGAGACTATTATTCTAAGTAAAGTAACTCAGGAATGGAAAACCAAACATCGTATGTTCTCACTGATATGTGGGAGCTAAGCTATGAGGATGCACAGGCATAAGAATGATACATTGGACTCTGGAGACTTGGGGGAAAGGGTGGGGGCTGGCAAGGTATAAAAGACTACACATTGGGTACAGTGTACACTGCTTAGGTGATGGGTGCACCAAAATCTTAGAAATCACCACTAAAGAACTTATTCATGTGACCAAACACCACCTGTTCCTCAAAAACCTGTTAAAATAAACAAATTTTAAAAAAAGAAAAAAAAGATTGAGGAGTGAGTGGAAAGAAGCCAGGGTATATCTCCCCCTCCTTGTTTGCTCTGGATTTCTCCAGCAACAGCTAAATCGCTTTCTTGGCATGTCTTCCTAGCTACTCCTTGGTGGCCCTGGCCCCTGAGTTTGGGTAAACACTGCCCTTCCCTTCTTCCCTCAGTTAAGGAGCTTAGCAGCTTCTTGGTATTACTAATCACTGGGTTACCTCATCAAGCCCTGGTAAACTCCTCACCCTCTTCCATGGCTGCTATAATGAAGCACCTGCATTAAGTTTCTTCTGCTTTAAATAGCCACAATGGTTTCTAGCATTCTAATTGGATCTGGTTAGATCTGGGGATATGATTATAAGTGATTTCCACTTTTATGTATCAACATTTTAGTTTTGTGTTTTGAAAATTTTATGACAGATATTAATTTTGCAATCATAATAAAACCAATTTTTAAATAAAAATTAACATGAATGAGGTGTATTGGGTGGATTAAATTTAGGAGATATTTGATGCAAATTACGTAAGGCCTGAGTATGGGTAGTTCTGTGAATTGCAGTAATAGAAATCGAAGGGAAAGAAAATACTGACTCAATAAACCAAGAATAGAGGCAGCCACTAAAGCAGTGATTCCAAATCAAGGGAGAATATCAGAATCACCTGGGGAGCTTTATAAAAATATATGTTTGGGTCTCACCCCAGGCCAACTGAATCAAAATATTAGATGATGGGTTCAGGCATGACTATTTGGAAATGACTTCCTGAGTGGTTTGCATAAACTCCATCCTTATCCCTCACCCTCCCATCACCACTGAGAACCTTTAGCCATGAGGGAGCCACAAGGAAAAAGAACAGGCTCACTAGGAGAGAGGCAGAGGAAGAAGCAGAAGTAAAAGGATGAGGAGTGAGAGAAAAAAAAAAAAAACCTTTGCAAAGGAAAATAACATCCTATAAATTTATGTCTAGAAATTAACATTGAATAGAAAGATTTTATAAAAATGTTTCATGTTTGTCTAACATATTAGCTCTAAAAAGCACATTTCTCAAATATATTAAGATAGGGGAGGCTTTGGTGGAAGATAGTTTTAAAGATAAAGATTTTGCTGCTTAAAAATACCAAATAAAAGAAAGGGACCCCATTCGGAGCAATGCGATTTTTCTTTTCCTTTTTTTTTTTTTTTTTAATTTTACTTTAAGTTCTGGGATACTTGGGCTGAACATGCAGGTTTGTCACATAGGTATACATGTGCCATGGTGGTTGGAGCAATGTGATTTTTCTAAACCCTGAAGCTATAAAGAAGATGCAATAAACAACAGCATTTTAAATGCCAAATTTGAATGAATAAATAAATGACCTTCCCACAAGAAAGCAGGCTCCCTTGATATTTTAGCAAATAGAGTTGTAACTAACAGATTCCCTTATTCATGGAAAATGAAGCTTCATTAATATTGAACTTCTCAGTTATCTACATGAGTAACATAGATTTTTGTGCAAAGGAAGATGCACTTATTAGTATTTACCTCTTTGTATGGTACCCGTACCTGATAAGTTAGCATAACCATACCCTGAGAATGACCCCGTATGGCAGATACACCTGAATGTGTGTTTGGAGTGCCAAACTAAGGAATCTGGGAGTAGCCAACCTGGAGATTCATTCCTTACCTATGAGAAACACCTGAACACCCAGTTCATCCCATGGAATACGGGCCTACAGGAGATCGAGGCTCTCTTGTTTGGGTTAAATGAAGGTTGCCAGGTGGAGGTTTCTAGGGTGAGGGTGCTAAGTGAAATGCTATATAAACTGCATGCTTTTCACAAGCGGTGTGGTGCTCCTGCCCAGGCTGCTGCGACTGGTCTGTACAGTTCTCCTATCCAGCCCACTGCCACTGGACCATCCCTGTATGTAAGTTTCCCTCAATAAACCCCACATCTTGTTTACTGGCTCTGGGTCTCTTCTTTGGCCTCTTGAACCTGGCACGTTCCCTATTGAAGTTAATAGGGGTCTGGCATGACACTCTTCATTAAAACATATGAATAGCAAGAAAAAAAAATCAACTTAGTCTTGAATTCTACAAACCCAAAAATTATCTCCTATTATCAGAACACCTGAGAAGTTTAATAAGCATTTTATGAAAAGCATTTAACAAGCATGCCCAAGGTTTAATTGATGGGAAAATGTTATTATATTTAATAAGATACTCCCATCTCCATCCACAGACCTAACTTAAAAAACATGAGAATCTCTAAGCCAGACAAAGAACCAATCTAATGAGTAGATATTCTCCACAGGGACTGATGCAAGGTTGAGCAAACTTTTAAGAAATACACACTATGGCTCTCAAGATCTGGCCTTCCACTCCACCAGGGTTATTGAGAAGAATGGCTCCTCTCCCCACTTAAACATGCATGCAGATTCTGGCCCTCTAGTCTCTATATACAACAGATACCCTATGCACATGCCATGCCAGTGTGGGTTACGAGGACACTCCTATTGTGAAAGGCTAGAAATTGAGCTGGCAGGTGACAAAACAGTAGCGGGAGAGACAGACTGGGGCCCATGTGGCTCTGCAGTGCCTGGGAAAGGTAAGAACGAAAAAAAACAAAGGATACTTAAGTTAAATCTAAGGCAGTGGCTCCCAAACTTCTTCAGGTGCCAAAAATGCCTATTGGTCTGTTATATTCTAATGCACAAATTAGCATCTGTTTTAGTAGCAGAAAATATGACTTACATAGATATACATTTTGTGTACATATAAATATACCTGTGTATAAGTACATATACACAATGCAAAATTATTGCCACATGTCTACCAAAACAAGCTGCAAGCTAAACGCAAGGAGCTGCTCCTCAGTTTTCCTATTAACATTTTTCAGCTTGTTCATTTTGTCATCTGCTAGTATTCACAACCAGGCAAGTGGTTACAATTTCCAATGGCTTGAGAAATAATTTATGGAAGAAAAACATAAAATCAAGGAGATCATTCATTAACTTACATTTTCCTGAAAGTTGGAAAAAGACTATAATTGTATTTTAGAGGAAATTAGCTTGGTCCATCCTAAGAAACACTCATAATTGTTAAGACTCTTAGACTGTAAATAACTAAACTGGAGAGATTTTTGCTGTTTAAAAATACCAAATGAAAGAGAGGCTTCATTTGGAGCAATGTGATTTTCTAAATCACAAAAACTATGAGGAAGTTGCAATAAACAACAGCAAAGAGTTTTAGCTAACACATAGCTAAAACAAAAAAGGAAGAAATTTTAACATAAGAGTATCTCTTAGCATACGAAGGCGGAGATGAAATAAAGATTCACAAAGTATTTGGAAAAAAACCGAAGGCCAGAAGTACTCTTTCTCTTATCTGTTCTCCTCTGTGTGTCTGATACCCGCCCCCACTTCTTCTCCCTCTCCCTCCCCTTCACTAAACTAGTTATGTCTGCTTCTCCGTCTATAAAGCAGTTATGTGTGGTTAAATTTACATTTCTCAGGGTTACCAGATAGATTCTATTGTTTGCTACAAGGGAAATATATGTCTAGTTCACTACATTCAAACTGTAATCACTAATGAACTCTTTACTTTGGGACTGCTTTCCATTGTATCCTTAAGAAACAATAGAGAGTGAACATTATCTACTTAATGATGATCAAATCCTTAATCCTTTGTGCAAAGGACTTTTACTTAAAAATGCTTCGGCTATGCGTGTTTTAGCTTATGAAAGTGGCAGCAGGAACAGGCTGAGGTCCTGTTCTTATGCATCTGTTAGAAAGTTACTGCTCAGATGCAGATTTCAGATCTGCAAGCAACTAGAATTCCAGATTGCCTTACAGGGTACCTGAGGGAAACTGCTGCCCTCCCCACGGTGATGGTAAATACACAGAACAGCAGCTCATAGCCCCCAGCATGCCCTAATACAGGGCTCCACACACTTGGACTTTCCTATCAACAGGCAAAGAGCTATTATGTCCTCAGGACAGGACTAAGAAGTGAGGGTGAGTGATGTCTAATGCCTGGAGAAGGAAACCAGGCAGCCTCAGAGCTGGCTCAGCCTGTGCAGCCCGGCATGGAGGATTACACTGCTTCTGGGGCTTCAGAATTGTCCATATTTACAAAGAATTTGAAGTGAAAGAGTGACCTGATGTTGAACACTATAATCCATGCAGTTGGCACTGTTACATCTAACTTACCTGTGCGTGCTGAGCTGCCTAAGCAGATTAGGCAGCCGTCATGTACCACAGATGAGGCAGTCTAGCCATGATTTTTCATTGCTTCTAAAGGGGATCACCACGATTTGCTGGAGGTTTATTTTGGCTGGAGGAGAAGGTGGTAAAAAGATGATTGCAGTGTGACAATTAACAAATGGCAATTTTGAGCAGAGGAGAAATAACTCAATTTATACTTAATGCATATGTCAGGTGACTCCTGACTAGATTAGGTGGTCAACGGAGCAGATACCTTCAGGTAGAAGTGAAAAATTCTAGATGTTCTTGCTCCCATGTCTACATGCCCCATGATACAGATGTGTTAAACACAGACACTTCACTGGTGTCACACAGCCCCATAGCTCTTGTCATGCACCTTGAATGCCCCATGTTACATGGACCATTTTGAGTTTTCCCTCTTGGATGCCAGTGAGTCAGGATCCAGATTCCATTTCTGACTGAAGAACCTCTGCACATCAGCCTTATGCCCATGCACAGAGGTATGATGTAACAGGCAAGAGAATTCCACCTGTCTAAGAACATTTTCACATTAGCGTGCCATATGCCTGGAGTTCCTGCATATCTCTCTTCCTTTGCAGTAATGCCTCTTAAACTACCTGTCCTTTCCATTTGCCATCACCCCCATCCCCATTTGCCTTGGCTTTTGCAACCATTTCTCAACTAAAGTCTCTGCTTCCAGTCTTCCCTGCATAAGGAATCCATCCCATGACATGCTCCCAGAGGTGCCTCTCCAAACACATTTCTGACATGTAACAGCCCTACTCAAGAACCATCACCTCCCTGTGGCCTGTGAAGTGCCAGGCTGAGCTCAAAATCCTCTGCCTAGTATTTGAGGCCACTGTCAATGTGAAAATAATTTAAACTTACAATATTTTCTCTCATTGCTCCCCTGTGCTTACATGTACATTCCAAACAAAGTGTACTATTCTGTTTCTGGGATACAGTCTACACCATTTATTCTGCATATCTTTGTTTCTGTTGTTTCTGAGGCCTGGAATTCTATTCTTCCAAACTTCTCCTCACCCCTTCTTACCTTCAAACTGTTCTGCCTGTTAAACACCCATTTATTTTTTAAGGCCAATCTCCAGTGCCACTTCCCGAGGGCCAGTAATATGATAACATATGTTGTGTCCTTTGTAAACTATTAAAAATGTGACAGATACAAGGATGCAAAAAGTTATTTGCAAACACTTTAGTCTGGGAAGTTGTATTAGTTTGCTGAGGCTGACTTAACAAAGTACTAAAAATGAGGGGCTAAGGTAACACATACGTATTGTCTCACAGTTCTGGAGGCTAGAAGTCTGAGATCAAGGTGTTGGCAGGGCCGCACTGCCTCTGAAGGAGCTAAGGAAGATCTGTTCTAGGTCTATTGCCTGGCTTCTGGTAAGTCCCTGACTTGTGACAGCATAACTCCAATCTTCACATGGCATTCTCTCTGTGTGTATGTCTGTCTATGTCCAAATTTTCTCCTTTTTTAAAAGACACCAGTCATATTGGATTAGGGCCCTCCCTAATTGACTCCATATTTTAAATACTGCAGCTTTTACAATAGTACCTATCTATGGCTATGAGTGAAAAATGGGATTTGTACTCCAAGTCTGTTTGATTACCTCTCTAATGATGCTATCCCCAAATAAGGTCACATTTGGAGTTACTTGGGGCTAGAATTCCAATATATTTTTGTGGGGAGACACAATTAAACACGTAACAAAACTTAATGAATAATGCAACTTTATTATTTTGGCTGAAAGAAAGATCCTTGGTAGTAGATCATCCTTTCACCACCAAAACCAAAGAGCTATAACATACAGGTAGAAGTCTCTATTGACCCAACAGTCAGAAGTACTAGGAACTTCCTGCTTCATAGCACCTGCAGCTCAATCGATATGCTTGCCATGTCTAGAGATACAAAGGATTACTTTTCTTGTGCACTTGCAGATTCAAGAAGACAAATTCAGTATTCTGTGATAGAAGAGAACTCTATAAGAGAATAAACCATTGAAAAGCTATTATAAGGAAGACCAAGAAAGTCTATCGCATCTTCTGACACCGGACTTTGATTAAACTTAATGACACTCAAAAAATAGTATCACATTCAGGTGGCCCACCAACACTGTTGCATTAGGGATTAAGTTTCAACATGAATTTTGGAGAGGATGAGAACATTTAATTCATATCACTGTATCACTCACTGCCTAAAATTTATGTCCTCACATACAAAATACATTCATTCCATTCCACTAGCCTCCAAAAGTCTTATCCCAGCATCAACTTTAAAGTCTAAATCCAAAGTCTTATTCAAATATATGAGTGAGACTCAAGATACGATTCATCCTGGGGCAAATTCCCCTCCAGCTGTGAGTCTGTGAAATCAAACAAGTTGTGTGCTTCCAAAATACAGTGAGACAGACATAAGATAGACATTCCCATTCCAAAAAGGAGAAAGAAGAAAGAAGTAACAGGTCTCAATTCTAAAACTGAACAGAACAAACAACATTATATCTTAGGTCTGGAGAACAATCTTCTTTGATTTCATATCCTGCCTTCTGGACACACCAGATTGGGTTGGGCCTCCAAGGCTTCAGGTGACCCTTTGCCCATGGCTTTGTGGGGCACAGGCCACGATGCAGCTCTCATGAGTTAAAGTCAAGTGTCTATTTGTGTCAAGAGTCAAGCTAGTGTTGACTCTTTCCCAAGCTAGTGTTGCATGCTATGGCTCTACAGGTCTGGAGTCTTGAGGACAGCCCTATCTCCATAGCTCCGCTAAGCATTGACCTAATGGGGGCTCTCAGTAGTGGCTCCACCTCTGTGGCAAGTCTCTGCTTGGACCACAAAGCTATCCAATACATCCTTTAAAATATAGGTGGAGGTAGCCATGTTTCCACTACGCTTGCACTCTGCATGTCTGCAGGGACAGCTCCACGTGGATCCTACCAAGGCTCATCCCTTATGTTCTCTGGAGTGGCGGTCTGAGTTGAACCTGGGCCCACCTGAGCCTGGGTTGTTGAAGACTGCATTGGCAGAATGTGGGGCACAGAGACTTAAGGCGGCCCTGGGCAGTGAGCCCTGAGCTCCTGAAGGCTCCCTGAGTCACTCCATTGAAACTGTTCTGCCCTCAATTCCCTGGCACTATGGACCTGTTATGAACATGGCAACCGTGAAGATCTCTGAGGTGCCTTCAGGGTCATTCTCCCATTGTCTTGATGAATAGCACCTGGTTTCTTTCTATCCATACTTTTACCTCATTATCAAATGACTGCTTGGCGACACTCTTGGTTTTCTCTACTAAACACATTTTTTATTCTTTACATAGCCAAGCTGAGAATTTTCTAAATATTTACATTCTGCTTCCCTTTTGATTATAAATTCAGTATTTAAATGGATTATATCTTCTCATATTCTACTATAAGCAGTTAAGAGAAGCCACACAGCTCCCTCAATACTTTGTCCTGAGAGATTTATTCTGCCAAATATCCTAGTCCATAACTCTTAAATTCTGTCTTCTACAAAGTCCTAGGATGCAGACACAATTAAGCCAAGTTCTAGCCCCAAGTTCAGCCAGTATCAGCTCTCCCCTCATGACTCAGTCATCTCCCAAAAGCCACACATCCCAATACTGTTGCACTAGGGATTAAGTTTCAACATGAATTTTAGCAGGAACAAAAACATTCAAACCATAGCATACTCATTTTGTGATATTTGGATAACGCAGTCAAGAGGAAGCATCTATATCAATTTTTCTCAGAGCATTTTGTCCAAGTTTTTGAGGCTGTGCTATATTTTTTAGGATTTCTGAGATAATAATGAAGTCCTGTTTCTGAGAAAATAGTGAAGATAGTAGTGAAACACTCACAATCAATTATGAGAATAAACTCCTTACTGATGAAGCTTTTTGTTCAACATGGTACAATGTCTCTTTTGCTTCTTGGGGACAAACTGAGTGAAACAAATAGAAATCAGTGCTCCAAGCATTCTTGTCTTAGTAAAATCCCCAGATTGTCCATTGTATACACTGAGGAATTAAATGCTTACAAGTGGGAAATATATCAAATCACTTTAAAACGGAAAGGGTTTATTTTGCACTATGAAAGGGAATGAAGGAATTCTAGAATATCTAACAAAATAAATGATCTCAAAATGAGTAACCTATACCAGAGAAGTTATTGGTAAGATAAAACATTGTAAAGTTTATAAACTCAATCTAAAGTCATGATGATTAACCACATTCAGTTGAACCACATTCAATTCTGGAATTCATCTAAAGTACAAATGAACCACATTCAATTCAGGAACTCATCTAAAATACAAATGAGCAGGCCCTATCTTTCTTGTTCCCAACATTTAGGTATTGATCCCCGTCGAAAGACTGCAAGCTCCTTAAGATCAAGGACCATGCTTTATCCTTTTGTTACCCAAAGTAAATAAGAAAATGCTGAGGATATAAAAGGTGCTCGGAAAGTGATTTATGAATGCAGGCAGTCACTCTAATCCTTTGTGTTCTTGTTAAAATGAGGAAGGGTTGAGGGGAAAGGGAGTGAGTAAGCATTTGACACTCCGGGCCTGTGTCCTCAAAACGGCAAATGTAGAGAATCAAGAGTGGTGTTGCCAGGTCAATCGATCACAGATATCTGGACAGTGAAAAAACAGAGAAACAATAGTACAACCACTATGGAGAACAGTGTGGAGGTTCCTCAAAAAACTAAAAATAGAACTACTGTATGATCCAGCAATCCCATACCTAGGTATATACCCAAAGGAACTGGAATCAAGATATTGAAGAGATATCTGCACTGCCATGTTTATTGAAGCACTATTCACAAAAGCCAAGATTTGGAAGCAATCTAAGTGGCCATCAACAGATGAATGGATAAAGAAAATGTGGTACATATATACAAAAAAGTACTATTCAGCCATAAAAAAGAATCAGATTCTGTCATTTGCAACAACATGGATGGAACTGGAAGTCATTATGTTAAGTGAAATAAGCCAGGCACAAAAAGACAAACTTTGCATGTTCTCACTTATTTATGGGAGCTAAAAATCAAAATAATTGAACTTATGGACATAGAGAATAGAATGATTGCTACTAGAGGCTAGGAAGGGTAGTTGGGGGGCAGTGGAGGACTAGGGATGGTTAATGGGTACATAAAAATAGAAAGAATGAATAAGACATAGTATTTGACAGCACAACAGGTGATTATAGTCAATAATAATTTAATTGTACATTTAAAAATAACTAAAAGAGTATAATTGGATTGTAACACAAAGGATAAATGCTTAAGGGGGTGGATATGGATACCACATTCTGATGTGATTATTACACATTGCATGCCTATATCAAAGTATCTAATATACCCCATAAATATACACACTACTATGTACCCACAAAAACTGAAAGTAAAATAATAAACTTGAAAAAACAGAGAAACACCTCCTCTAGAGAAACCTAGCAAGCTAGCACAATTTTAATTATTTTGTGTATGTATATATGTATTGGTGTTCTTGTTATAAGAAGATTTGGATTACTCACAAGGGACAAAAACTGAAAAAGCCAATACTCTCTTCTGGCCATAGCAACTGATGACCTAGACTGTTCCCATAAATATGACATTGGAATCTCACAAAGGAATGCTCCTTGCACATTCAAATATTAGGTTACTAAGGGTGTAGACAGCTGAGAAAGTATTTTATATGCCTGGAGTACTACGCAGAAATCCCAGTATTTTGGGTCCTTTCAGTTCCTCTAGAGACATTTTGCAGTGACTATAAGATAGAGATAGGTTTTACAACAATTAAATGCGGTCTTATTGACAACTCAACAACAATCTATGATTTTAAAAAATTATAAATTGAATTCATGAGATAACTGAGATTTTTCTAGAATATTATACAAACTATAAAGAATGTCTACATTATATAAACTGTGAAGAAAGCTTTTAAGGATTTGAACCTATTAATTGCTTACAAATAGCTGTCACTACTTACAAATTAAAATTTAAAAATAATTTAAAAAGCAAAACACCAAGATTCCCTTCAATGGTTTCTACCCAGAAACTATTTTGGAGGAGTTAAGATACTGTATATACTTAAAAATTATTTCAAAAGAATTTAAGGTTCAAATTGTTTACTAAATTTAATTGCCCCTTTCCTTTTCCTACATCCATCCCTATTCATCTGAATCTATAAATTTCTGCTGTAATTTAATTTTCCATGATAATTTTTGAAGTTGTTAGTATATAACAATCTGCCATTCTGCTTGCATACAGAATAAATGGAATCATTGAGAAATTCTCCACTGTTTTCAAATACTAAATGCATTTTAAAATTGAAAAATATTTTATTGATATCTGAGTTTAAAGATAGTTCACTCATTAAGAGCCTAAGAGCTCTTCAATAAGTTGTAATCGTGTGGTATAAAAGCTTCATTCTGATTACTCAATCATGACTAAAATAACACTTAAGACACCCGATTCCTGCATTTCAGCAGCAACTTGCTGAATTATCTTTTCATAATTACTAATATGCTAAAGAGATATTATTGAGCCAAGAATTGATGCTGTTGCCTGACAAAAACAGCGTAGTTTCAGAAAAAGGTAATACCAAAACATAAATACTGTTTTATATTAAAATTTTTAAAATATAATGTTGCTTTGGTAGCCATGAAACTTGTCAATTTTTTATCATCACAAACATAACCATCACCGAAATTAGATTTTGCTGTTTCAGGTTACTTCCTGAAATATATAGATATTTATTTAGGGATTAGCAGAAACCCATACCCAACTTCATTTCTTCATGCTTCTCCTGAGAGAACAGACTGCTGCAATCCATGGACAAGAGAGACCTCAGGCTTTGTGGGAATCTTGATGGAGAGAATTTTCACTGTGGGTGACATGGAATGACTGAAGATAAGCAGATGCTCTCTTAATTTCCACAAAGTAGTTTCTGGGAAGAGCTTGGCTCAGAGACATACCTGCAGCCCAGAGAGGAAGATGAAACATGGTCTCCTGTAAATGTGTGGATCTTCCTCTCTGTAAGACACCAAGAAGAGCTGACTAGGTAGGCTGTGGCTTTTCTAAGCCAAGCTAGGAATAAAAAGAGACTAGGCTGCCAGGAGGCTTTAACCTAGTTGGGGGAAACAAAGTCATCTGCCCCTGCTTAAGGAACTAATGTGCTTAAGATACTGGATCTGAGTCTGAAGTAAAAAAAAAAAAAAAATTTTAAAGAGAAACCTACTTAAGAGAACGATCAATTGGAACAAAAAGAACATGTTACCAGAAAAGAGAGATGGAAGTAAAGAGATTTAAAAAAGAGCATGTGTGCAGAGAAAGACGGCTGCTGGATGACAGACAACAACTGAATTTTTAAAAAGAGGAAAAGAAAAAAATGAAGGAAGAAGAAATTTTCAACAAGGATGCCAAGGCAATTCAGTGGTGGAAAGAATGGTCTTTTTAACAAATGGTGCTGAACAAAACAGCCACATGGAAAATAATGAATTTGGACCTCTACTTTACACCACACACCAAAATTACCTCCAAGTGAAGTAGATTATGGACATAAATATGAAAGCTAAATACATAAAAATCTTAGAAGAAAACATAGAAGCAAATATTTATAACTTTGGGTTAGACAATGGTTTCTTACATACAACACCAAAAGCACAGCAAAAGAAAAAAAAAGGGAAAAAAGGATAAATTGGACTTCATCAAAATTTAAAACTTTTGTGCTTCAAAGGACACCATAATGAAAGTGAAAAGACAATCAACAGAATGGAAGAAAATATTTGCAAATTATATATCTAACAAGGGACTTGTATCTAGAATATATACAGCACTCTTACAACTCAACAATAAAAACAAAGCCCAATTTAAAAATGAACAAAGTACTTGCATGGACAGAACACCAAAGAAGATATGCAAATGGGTAACAAAGACATGAAAAGATGTTCAGTGTCATTAGTCATTAGGGAAATGTAAATTGAAATAATAATTAGATACCACTTCACACCCACTAGGATAGTTATAATGAAAAGGACAGAAAATAATTAATATAAATCACACAGGATATAAAATAAAACAAACAAACAAAAGCTTCTGAATGGAATAAGGTGTCTGAGATTCCAACTGAGGAACAAACCCAGTAAATCCTCTCAATTGGACAAAAATGTTAAGGGAAAGAAGACTACTAGTGTGGCTCTCCCTTTGAATCCTGATAAATCCAAGGAACCCACAATCAAGTACAGAAACAATGAGAGGATATGGAGGGGAGAAAGCAAAGAAATACAGCATAACTAGGAACCATGTCTAAAAAAAGTTGTGAGTGAGCTCTTTGAATATGAGGCTGACTGGAATCAAATACCTAAGAAGCTGGCCAAGTTTTGGAGAAAGTTGTACTGCCAATAGAACTACCAGCCTAATTAAAACAGGTTGCCATTGTAGTTTAAAAGGACCCTTGTGCTAGCAACATGAGAGGCACGAAGCAGGCTGAGGAAGCTGCTAATGCTCAAATAAGACATAATCTCCAAGGCTCACTTCAGATGTGACCAAGGAGATAATGGAGAAGGGCAAGCCTCTCAGAGGGAAGAGCAAAGGGCAGAATCAGGTCTAATGAAGGAACATTCTTTGCACCTCAGGGATGGAGGCTCCTGCCACCTCTGCCCAGAGGGACTTTAGAATTCCTAGGTGTATCCCATTCTTCCTCTTTCTGAATGTTAATATTTATTGAGTTTTTTCTATTCCTGTTCCACCATTATATATCAGGTGTATAGAGGGAACAAAACACATCTTTTAATTCACAGATCTCTGGCTTAAGAAGAACTACATCCAGACTTGATATAGCGACTACTGAATGTCCCTCAGAGATCCTGAGCTCTGAGCTTGATGCTCTCAATAGGTGGGACTTTTGGGTTGTTCTCCCCTGGGCACAAGGAGTGAACAAAACATATAGTAACCAGAGGGTGCACTGTGGTAGTCATAAGACCTTTCACAAACATTCCCAGCTTTTCTCCTTCCAGGCACATGGTAGACTTGCACTTCCCCCACCCTTTGAAGTTTGATGTGGCCATGCTACTTTCCTTAGACAGTAAAATATGAGAGAAGGTATGTGTGGTGCTATGAGCCGGTTCATGCTTTCCACATTCTCTTACCCCTAGTATAATGATCGTGAAAGTGTGTGCCAGGATGGAGCCTCCATCAGCCTCAATCTCCAAGTATCTACAATGAGCAGAAGGCTCTATAATGAACCACAAGAAAAATGCATGAGATAGACTTTTCTTGGGTTAAGATAAAGAGATTTAGGGGTTGTTTGTTACCATGACAAAATCCACTATATACTGACTGATGCACATGTCAAATTAAATTAGAACTAGCTCTTGCTGGTATAGGCATTGAAAACACTTGAAAAATAAGACCCTTATATCAAAAATGACTATACTTCACAATTTTTGAAAATTTTTAAAGTTATATTCATATTTCTAAATTCTTAATGATACCTTGGAAGAATCAAGAGAAAGTGTGTGTGAGGATCATAGTTTATCCTGCAGTCATAGTGGAAAGTAAATTCTTAAACACCTCTTTGAAGTCCTTATTGAAATGGATGCACTCACTCACACAGCCTCATCTTCCAGTTTGAGGAGTATCACAGATGGTTTTCCGCATACCCTCTGAGGTGCACTAAATGCTGTCCCAGTGAGCTGAAGGGGGGCAATCTACCCCAAATTCTTATTTCTCTTTTGGGACCCTCCTTTGCAGGATGATGTTTTTCTGGTCAAGAGTGAGAATAAAGAATGAGATCTGTAATGCCCAACCCTTTACATATTTCCAAACTAGTGGTGAAAGTGAATCTCTTCCCCTGTGAAATTTAGTAAAAGCTACAAAGACAGAAATAAAGGAATTATTATAAAACATAATGTTGGAGAGATAAGTGCATCACATCATAGCCACTGAAATATTTATTTCATTATTTACTGAAAAAGGGAAAACTCATAATGGACTGATTCTCTTCCCATGCAAAAGGAAGATGTGATGTGCAAATGTCTTATAGAAGAGAGCCGTCTGAAGTCCTAACTCTTCTCTGCATATGTTAAGGATCTTGACCCACCTGAGCTAAATAGTTTATCCCTGTAAGAGCATATATTCCATAAATGTTTGTTTTCTCACTCATCGAATCACAGAACCAGAATTGTAACAACAATATGTGTGGAGTCACCAGGTCAGGTTATTTTCCTTAGCAGTACTTAATTAAAGAGTCCTTTAGCTCAGTACTCTATGAGGGCAAAAACATTTTATTTAAATAAGAACTAAGCCATCTTTTTGGGTAAACTGTATACTGTTTTCTAAAGGCTAGCATATATATATTTATGGTGCGTGTGTGTGTGTGTAATACATGACTGTGTATGCATGTGTGTGTGTGTGTATATATATATATACACACACCAGGCAATTACAAACAAGATTTAGGCATAACTGCTGATTGCCCTAACATTAATCCTTAACTCCAGCATATATATGGAATGGTGAAGCCCTTAGCTCCAAGAGTTCTTAACAGTCCCCTTAAGAATTGTGTAGGGAGAATTTAGGGGGTCCATATACTTAGATGAGGAAAAAAATTACACCTTTGTTTTCATTAACTTCTAATGAAATTTAGCATTTCCTTCAAGTATTACAATAGACAACAAGCTACTGTTACCAATAGAAATCACACATATTTTCTCATCACATTATAGCTGTTGCAAAATCTCAAAAAGTAATTTACTCTCATTACCTTAAAATCATGTTAGTTATTAGATCAGTCTAGATCTTGTTATTGTCTACCTCAAGAGGCACATATATTGCTGTATCATAAATTTTTAAATATCTTGATAACTGTGTTTCTATAAATTGATATAAGTTGAAAATTGAATCAAAACTGTATTTTCATACATTTAAAAACACTATTAGAAGGGGTCCACAGGCTTCACCAGACTGCCAGAGGGTCCGCTGCACAGAAAAAATGTTCAGAACCTCTGCCAGAAGTGGCCATGATTTGTTGTTTGTATTTGGCAAAGTGAGCTATTTTATTTCCAACACATTTTGTTCTTTCTGTGTCCCAAACATTTATTCAACAAACATTTATTGACCCTCTATGTGTGCCAAGTACTAGATGCTGGACATTCAGAAGTTAGTAATATAAGTAACATCTTTACCTTCAAGGAGCATAATTCTAGTAGGAAGATGTGGGCAATAGAAAAGTAAATAAACAGTAGTTTTAAATTTAAAAAAAAGGTGCTGTGAAGGAAATAAACAGAATGTTAAGTAAATGGGTAAAGTGAGGGAGTCAGGAAACTCTCTCTGGAGAGTTGAGATCTGAAGGATGGGCATATGCCAAGCATGGGAAATGCTGGGAAATATGTATTCCAGACAGAGGAAAAAGGAATGCAAATACAGCAATAATGCAAAAATCTTATGTTGGCCCATGGTCGACTGGCTACATTCTGGTTAGAGTGCTGATAAACTAAGTTCAGATGGTTTTCTCCCTTGGTTTGCAAGTGCTCAACTTCAGCCTCTGTGCTCAGAGTTCATCAACTACATTTATGTTGCTCTTACTACTTCTCCATTGCACTTGCACACATCCATGTAAGACAGGAACCATGGGATTTGTAGCTCACTTATACAACTCTCAAATGCCTTTTAAAGGCTGACCTCATCATCTTCCAGCGTAAGTCCTACCTGAAGAATCCTGCTATGGTTTAAATGTTTGCCCCCTTAAACATCAGGTTGGAATTTGATCCCCAGTGTTGGAGGTATAGCCTCATGGGAAGTGTTGGGTCATAGGGGTGGATCCCTCATGAATAGATTAATGCCTCCCTTGGGATGGGAGTAGATGGGGAGTGAGTGAGTTCTCACTCTATTAGGTTCTAAGAGAGCTGATTGGTAAAAGGAGCCTGGCACTACCTCCCCCTAGCCCCTGCTGCTTCCTCTCTCTCACCATGGGATCTCTGCCCACCCTGATTCCCCTTCATCTTCCATTATAAAGTAGAAGTAGGCTGAGGCCTCACCCATTCAGATGCCCAATTGCTTTTTTTTCTTTATAAATTCTTGCCCAGCCTCAGGTATTCCTTCATAGCAATACAAAATGGACTAAGGCAAATCCCCTAATCTAGCTCTCATTATTTTTCTCAGTACAAATATTTCAGCTCAAGATAGAAAAGGTAAGAGCTGATAAAGAAGCACATTGTTACACTTTCAGTGTAATAGACCTCTGCACCCAGTTGAAAACTTCTGGAAACACTTTAGGTCTTTCATTACAATTAAATGTCAAGGTCTTTGGCTAATACTTCTCTGAAGTATGCACAAGTACAAAATGACATATGGATGTCTCTAAAACAGAAGATTAATAATCATACTTTGGGCTACTGTTTATTGTTAATGCTATTTAGAATGTTTGTATTAGCATATTTTTTCCTTTCTTGCTCCTATTAATGACTATGCTATGTATAGTAAAAACTAGGTTTTGGCCTCTGGCATCCATTCATCCTACTTCCTTTACTAATTCTCCTTTCTATTTTGAGTATCCTCTTTCCCGATGCTCCACTTACAGCAGGAATGGCAAAAAATGACTCCACGCTCAACTCCATAGATATCATGTGACCTAAGCCCAACTGAACAGAACTTCAGGATCTTCTGGCTACAGTGATTTGTTTGGAGAAAGACATCAGAGATGATGGGATGCCATTAAACTCAATGAAACTTCTGGATCTTAATTTAAACATAATGAGAGTAAATAATTGCTAAAGAATTAACCCAACATATAACAGAGAGCAGAGCCAAACCAACAGAGTCGCAGTATCCCTGCTAAGTAAAGCCTTTCCTGAAACCAGATATGCTTGGAATGTTTAGTTCCATTAGTGAATAAATTCCCTTTTGACTTAAACCAACTTGGGCTGGGTTTTCTGTCACAACAGAAATTGTCCTGATACCTGATAATTATTGAAGACAAATTCATTCACCAACTTGTCCAGTGGTTCTGCCACACTATATTATTATCTGCTGCTCAGCCTTTAGCCATATTGTATTCATCCTTAAATTGACTTATCATTGTCTTACATTAGAGTAGAATTATTTTCCCTTCCCATTTTTACTCCTCATTCTATTTGTTCACAGTATTCTTCTCGATTTAAGATCAAATAACCAAGCTTACTCTACATTAACTTGCTGTTTTGCATGTTTGAAGATAGTTCTTAAACACAATCTCCACAACCCCTTACTATGATTCACAGCATTAAACCATTAAACTAAAAGACCAATACAGATTTATAAATGCCAGGCAGGAAATAACTAGTAGCTGACTTCATGAGTCCAGTGCAGAGAAACAAGTTTCAAATAATACCTTCTATTTAAACTGTGTGGTGTTTATATTCCAAAGGGCAAACAGCAAAAGTCTGATATTATTACCTCACACACAAATGTACATGAAACGGTTTATATGAAAGTTTAATGAACTTAACTCCGTTCCAAAATCTTGCAGCTCAGCAGCCCACTTTGGGCTACATAATTTATCCATCTAGCTGATAACATCTCTAAATTGAAAATGGGTTTCTCTCTTTTACTAAAAATATTTGGGTTGCCTCTGTGCAAAGTGAATTTGCCATTTTCCACTTAATCAGAGTTAGACTACTGTTAGACTATGATGAAAACTCCAGATCAGGCAGCTGGGACTGCCTTCAAAATCTGTCTCCATTTGCTCATCAGGAGACCTGTAGAAACCTGTTTCTCTTGAGATCTGACTTCTCTACTGGGAGCTCAGAGACGATAGGAACACAAACTACCAGCCTCCTAGGGTCAGTGTAAGAATTAAAGGTGACGTTGGTCAACTAATGAAGCAATTTTAAATAATTATGAAAAGAGGGAAAGGTGTACTCTTTAACTTCTGATTTATTTTTATATATTTTTAAATCCTCCAAATTGTTTCAAATCAGTAATTTGGCTTAAGAAACAGCATTTTCTCATCAGTGAGATAGCTACATGATTGTCTTTTCTTCTTCTCTGCTCCTGACAGAGTTTGGAGACCCCAGAGCTAGAGTTTCTGGCAGAAATGAGACATTCCAGGCCTTCTGGGGACACAGTATATGTACCCTCATCTTGTGCAGAGAGTACATTACTGAAAAGCGCATGCTATGGGTGGGAAACAAAAACAACAGGCCCCAAATAGCCTCAAGCTGAATTCATTACCTGTGGATTCTGTGCTAATGATTTGGGGAATGCACTGATGCTTAATATTTTATCTGTTTAGCACCACTGTAAGAGCTGGGCTCTGAAGCAAGCCCCGCACTGAGAATCTAATGTCTGAAATTTGTTCTGGAAGACACTGAACTGGGCAGGAGTGAGGCACATTGGAAAAGAATCATTTTTCTCCTTGGCTCTTGCTGCTTCAAAAGCAAAGCCCAAGCCTTCAGGAACTGGGGCTGTCTCCCAGGGCATAGCTAGTCTGGGGTCTGGGAGGTGGCCTCCAAGGAGAGGGTTCAGGCTGCCATTCAGAGGCAGGTTCCCTGTCTGATGCCCATGGTCCTTTGTTCACCTGCTGCTGGGAGAGTGGCAGAATAGCAAGAATTTGAGGTTTAAACTCTGGGTGTGACTTTTGTCATGGATCCCACTGACAGCTTGAAGTCAGAGGCATTCAGGTAAGCTCTGTACACAATAGGCTGGGATAGGAAGGGCTCCAGGAGTGACAACTGAGTATTGGGTTATTATTGATATTATTCCTAATATTCACTTAAGCCCCAGCTGGCTTCAGTGGCATTACCACTGAGCTTAATGTTTAAGAAAGAAATAGGGAGACTCTCTGTTCACATGGAGTAAAGTAGAGAAACTGCCATGATCATCCAAAACAATTCAGGCAAAACAGCATTTTTACATAAAAAATCCAGATAATTAAAGTAAAAAATAGCATGTTGGTTGGGCTTAAACAGATAGTCACCTTAATTCTCCATTTAAATTTTCACATTTTAGAATTGTGTGTTTCCCATCTCTTCCCAAGATAATTTGAGGTAACTAAAACCTGCAGAGTAAAATACGATTTTTAAAGAGACCAATCAGGTTAATAAGAATAGTAGCTAACATTTATATAGAGCTTACTCTGTTCCAGGCATCATCTTAAACACTTTACATTTTTAAACCCCTCACCAGGACTCTAAAAAACAGTTACAATTATTGTCTCTATTTTAGAGATGAGAAAACTGAAGCACAGAGGAGTTAAGAAACTTGTTGGAAGTCATACACCCTAGAGAAAGCGATGGAGCAGAATTCAAACTCAGGCTGTCTGGCTCCGGAGCCTGTGTTCTTAACAGCGATGCTGTACTTCCTGTGAGAAGAGCAAGATGAAACTAGATGGAGGAAACACCAGAGACAGCCACAGGCAGTTACCAGAGGTGGGCCACAGGGGTGTCTGTGAGTCTTCAGGACCAAAACCAAAAGGGACCCTGGATAAGCTACAGTACTGATAAAAGGAGAACATATCAGATGCTCAGGACACACACACACACACACACACACACACACTCACACTCAGCCCAGCTGGGATGACTGAGTTCTTCTTCTAAAGTAGATGTTTGGGTGGGACAGAGGAGAGAGGTAGGCAACAATGCCTTTCACCACAGCCAGGCTGACAGCAGCAAATTACATAGGGCTATTTGTTTAACATGCCTTCAAAGCAGACCAAAGGTATAACATCAAAGCACCAAATTTGATTTTACAAATTCAGTAAAACCGACTCTTCAAGAGGAGGGAAAACCAGTAAGATGCAAATAGTCATTTCTCTGATGGTCTGGTTTGATACAGAGATAAAAATCAAGCATATCCAGTGGAATAAAATAACAGCATATCTTCCAGGCAATCCTCCATGAATATTATTTCTCATAGGAAAGCTTTAGGCAAATGTTGAACACAGACAAAAGAGGTAGAAACGTTGTATTGCTAATGAAATCTATATGCTTTTGAAAAATCAGCTATGGAGAAAGTAAAAAGGAAGTTCCCCTTAAGACACTAGGGGGATATGTCCCAGAGACTTACTGGTAAGGTCACTCAACTGCCCTTGTGGGTCAGCATATCTGCATTGCATCCTATATTTTATTTTTTTAAATGGAACCAATCTAAAAAAACAAGTTCTTATTTTAGAAGCCAACTAAAGTCATTTTTTAAAGTGTGAGATAGTATATTTGTATTTTTTAAAAACAAAATGTAAAAGCTGGTACTGAGGTTATGCATGAGTGCAAAACATAACAGGCAAGGAATATAAAATGTAGGCCACTGCTTTACTGCTGTTTGTTTTCAACTTTAATATTGCCTGTACTGCAACTTCTCCCATGGTGCTAATAACCCAAACTAAGGCCCTGCAGTTGTAAAAAATGGGTGATTTCACTTTTTTAAAAACCCAGGATAATCCCATGTCTGGCACCTTATAATTCAGTGTGAGATTTTTCTGAAAAATGAGATTTACAGATTAATAACTTTTCTGTCTCAATTATCCCCCCCACCCCCCACCACCACTTCCTCACCCTCCCTCCACATCAATGAAATTGTGACTTACTGGCCAAATATCAGTACAGTATCCCAGTCACCTTACATGCTAGGGTGCTCACCAACTTTGTTTCCTTAAGATTCCATAGGCTTGCCCCAGGAAACAGATTGCTGAATGCCTCACGCTGAATGCCTCACGCTGAATGCCTCACGCTGTTCTTAAGGAGACCATGTTTTTGCTCTCACTGCAAATGGCTGTAAATCCAGCCCAGCCTCATCCGGTCTTCAGGTGGACCTCATCAGTTGTAGGCATCTTATCAGCACGAAACAGCCTCTCCTAATGGCTTGATAAATATTCCTGCCTCCCCAGAATCAGTTATCGAGAGATTCAAATCATGGTCAGTACTTATAACAGCTATTACTACAGACTTAATGCCAGTTACCCTTTGTACTTATCTCTGTAACCAGAGAGGCTGAAAAGCTCTTGTTATGTCCCCACTCCTGGTCACTAAAAGCAGAGTTCATTCAAATTTTCCTCCTGCCTAGGAAGCTCGCAGGCCTGTTACAAAAATTGAAGAGGACATTTGTACGAATATAAAATAAAATGTATGTTTCCCTGGCATCCACTTTCTCCCCACAACCCTGCCCTAAATTTGGCACCAGGGCGAAGGAATGTTAAGTCTTAAATGGTGCGGCAGAATGAAGGTAGAAACAAACCTCACTGCCTTTGGGTTAGTTCCACATAAGAGAAAACGCTTTCAGGGGGATATGGTTTTTTCCCCTTCTGTCTCTTTGTTCTAATGAAATTGACCTACAGAGTCTGAAATCCAAAGAATGTAGGATTCTGGATTTATGAAATTTTACCAGCTGTCTATGGAAAACAAGTACTTTCTCCCGAATGGACCTAACAACATACAATTTACGAAAGTAATTATAAAACCTCAATTGTCAGGAAGATTAAGAGGAGCCGTAAGGTAAAACCTTCACTCCTCTTCATGGGAAATGGACACCATGTGATACATAAAGAGGGTCTGGGAACTCTTTTTTTCTTTTTTTGAGATGGAGTTTTGCTCGTCACCCAGGCTGGAGTGCAATGTCACGATCTCAGCTCACAGCAACTTCCACCTCCCAGGTACAAGCAATTCTCCTGCCTCAGCCTCCTGAGTAGCTGGTATTACAGGTGCATGCCACCATGCCCGGCTAATTTTTGTACTTTTTTTTTTTTTTTTAGTAGAGACAGGGTTTCACCACATTGGCCAGACCGGTCTCGAACTCCTAACCTCAGGTCATCTACCCGCCTCAGCCTCCCAAAGTGCTGGGGTTGCAGGTGTGAGCCACTGCACTCAGAACTCTTTTATAAGGAAAAATGGCAGTATATAGGGACAAGCGGTACCTCCTGAAGAAAGCTAAAAGGAATCTAAGGCTTATGAGGCCACCCTTCAAAAAAGTAAAACTGCACACACTTTCAACGGTTCTTTAAAGTGTTATCACTTACCGCTCTACAGAGAAACAATGTTCTACAGAACACCAGGCTTACAGCTTGATTTTTCTAGAATTCACACTTGTGTACAGCAGTTTTTGTGCTCAAAATTTTTCCTTTTGTGTCCTCTTGTTGACTCTCACAACAGCCCTTGGCACGAGGAAAATAGAAACATCCCCATTTCATTGATAATATCATTGAGGCTCAGGCAAAGTTAAACAGTTTGTCCAAGGTCACACAATCACGTAGTAATGGAGCATATATTTTGGTTTATGCACAGCTTACGGGGCTCTGCCACACTGCTACCAAGGGTAACAGAGCTGGGAGCTGATGGATGTGAGAAGAGGACTAGCCATGAACCAGAGTGTAGACTGACCTGCCAGTGGCCGTTTCTGAAGCACATACTTCTAATCCAGCCCAAACTTTGATTCATATCCCTAGTTGTCATTTTTGCACAAAAAGAAATGAACCCAAAAAGTATCTCCTTTTATATTGCTTATAAAAATGTCCCTTTTACAGGCCTTCATCTCCTTTCTTCATAGGGTCATGCTCTTTCCATAGTAAGCAGCTGCAGTCCCTTGGTGTCTTGTCAGTATCTGAGGCTGACCTTCCCCAGGAAAGTTTCAGGATCTGTCAGCCTTTGTCTAAACTCCAACGGTGTGTCAAGGTGAGAGGAGGGGGCAAGGGCTGAAGCAGAGATCTGTGTTCTGCTCTGGGTTGTGGAACTCCAGGCTCCTTGTCCTCTCCCAGGCCCAGAGACAAGCCCCTCTGACTCAGTTTATCTGCTGTGAAGCAGTGCACAGAACTACGTCCTACCTGAGGTCACCTGTGAGAACAGTCAGCAGAGATTGTTCTGCCACCTGTGGACAGCAAGTGAGCTCAAGGTTGGAAACTGGCCCCAGCATGCCTAAGGCCATGAAAACGTCTTTGCTTAATCTCTTGAAGAAAAAAGGTTAAATTCCTCCGGCCACTTTTTTCCTGTAAGTGGAAAAACTTGCTCAATCTGTGAGCCCGTGGTTGACAATTGTATAATTGTGGAACTGAATAGATGGCAGTAGATGTTCCTCTGGTTTTCAACACCTTTCAGTGCCATACTCAGGAGAGGAAAGTGCCATTCACTATTATCTTTCAACCCCTCCTGCCTCTTGCCCAGAATGGGGGAAGAAAATTCATGCTGGATTCTTCCTTCACACAGAGATGAAATGGTCTGATAGTATAGACAGGGCTGCATTCCAAGTCCTTCTGAGGCCATTTAGACGCGTTTCATCATTGCGACTGTTGTTTTAGGTCTCATTTGCTCACATCTCAGCCCCACCAACAAGCCTAGGCCTGCCCCATTTCTTTCCCTCTGAAGCTTTTTCCCCACAACAAGCCAGGGAACTCCTCACCTCCCCTTACACACTAAGGAACTAATGAAAGAACATGTCCTAACTCAGTAAGCAGCAGGCTTGGTGTTTCTCGTTTTTCCTTGGCATTCATACTGTCATCCCCAAATAAGATTTATCCATAAATATTTTATTTCTTCCTAACTCCACTGGAATATTTAGTTCATTTTTATATCTCATTTCCTATCTGGCACAAATTTTTTCTTATTGGTACATATCCCTTTTATGTGGTCCTTGCATCTATTTTTCAAAGTTGCCCTCCTCCCCACCCACCCCCAAAAAGAAACAATGTTTCTGTTAAACATTGTTTAACAGAAATTTCTGGGGCAGTATGTCAGCTGGCTTTTAGTTTTTGTTGTTTACTGTCTTCTCTAGATCATCCCAAGTGCACTTTCACAATGACTCTAACTCTCAGAAGACCTGGCTGAAACGTCAACTTCTAAATGAAATTAGTTCTTCTAAATGGTAATACATTCTCCAGCTCGCCCTGTGAGAGGCTTCCTTGGCAGGATCCCACGCAGGAGAGAACACCAATGAAGACAAGTCAGCACCATGACGACCTCCACAAAGACAATGGCGCTCTGATTCACGCCTGAAATATTTGTTGTTGATGGTGCAAATAAATGGTAAGACTTCTGAAAATGACTTTTCAGAAGATTGACTCATAAGTAGCTGAGTCAATCACCTGGGTAACTGGGCAAACAGACAGTCAAGGAAAAAAAGAAATTTAAACGTAAACCAGTGCCACCATCATGCCAATGGGTGGCAAAGAGCCTGAAGCAGTCGTAAAATAAAAATGTTGAATGGCTTTAAGAGAAAAAAAACAACATGCAAGGAGGGAACCATAACCTTAGGGCTTGGAGAAGAAGTTCCTTTAGCCTGTCCTGCTCTGATCCCGAATGTCTCGAAGTGATTCCTGAGCTTTTATTCAGATTATTTGTTATGTACCAGTTGAAACAAGGTGGGAACCAACCCAATCCATCTCACAAACCCACATCAGCCTTAGTCTTTCATGAGGTGTGGATTGTGCTAGTTCACTGTCCCAGAGGAAGACAGCTGGAGGCGAATGAATTCAGGATACTCTTCTTTTTGTCTTAAAGTCTCTCAAGCTTCGAGACAATTAAAATCCGACCTGGGGAAGCTTATTAAGGAGACGATGTTCTTGTACATTTCTAATCCCTACCACTCTACCATATATTCTGCTTGTGGCTAAATATTTTGTGATATTAATTACTTTTTTTTCCTCCACTTTTTTTCTGACTACCCCCTGCCCCATTTAAGTAGACTCCGCGTTGCTTTGCCCCAGGGGAAGTTCATTTTATAATCAGAAAGTAGAAAGTCTCAGGGCTTCCTGGCTTTGCTTTCCAAAAGCCTAAACTTTTAGAACGCAGTGAGTTCACTGGAGAGGGAAGAAGGAAGAGAAGGAAGTTTATAGGCAGAAGCAGAGTAGCTTTGGAGAAGCCTAGGAAGATACCAGAATAAAACTGATTTTTCCATGTCTAGAGGTAAGAAATCAGGGAACAGAGCAGTTGTCTGATTCCAGGGGGACAAAAACTTGGATCAGCTCTCAGGCAGCACCACAGGGAGGGGTGCAGAGAGGCGTGATCATGAGATCGATCTAAGAGTAGGCACAGTCTCTGATATTCCTTACCCATCTCTGCTCATGGACTGAATTTCAAATCTTCTCTTCCTGTGGTGACCTCATTAGACTTACTAAGAATTTTCACACAGCACAGGTGCTATGTGGATAGATTTCAGTGGCAAAATTGAGATCAGCAGAGAAAAAAAACCCTTTGAGGTTGACTTTTTGTTTTTTGTTTTTTTTCCTAGGTGGTGGGCTAGTTGTTCTATTGGTTTCAACCATTTGTTGACCCACACAAATGGCAATTTCATAAGGTTCACAAATTAATGAAAAGGTAGTCTATCCACCTGGCAGGTGCTGACCTTGCTGGATCAATGGGAGAGCTCTGCCCATTAAAGGGTTTCCCTGAGCAAAGGTCCTCCACATAAACTCTTGCTGTCCTCCTGACATACATGGAACACCCACTGATGAGGCATTGCTGTGAGTCCTGGCAGAGGAAAAGTGAGATCGGGTGTGAAGGAGAGTTAGGTGGCTACAAGCTGGGAGCAAGAAGGATCACAAATTAAAACACAAATCTACTTGGCAGCCTTTTGTTTTCTCTTGCAGAGGCTTGGCTTTCCTAAATAGATGCATTTTTCCATCTTTTTGTTTCCCATCTTCAAATGTATGCTTGTGTTTTTAAGTATATCTCTGAGCAACAATGAAGAATAAACTAACAATAGTCCCTTAGTTGCAGTGAAAGCAATAAAATAAAACCCTTTCATTGATGTCAAGAGAATAAAAGGCTCAGGCTTGGGATATTTTCAGAGTAAACCACTTTTAAAATATTAAGAAGTTAGAGTTGAATATATACCCATGAGATTCCAAGGAATAGTGGAAGAAAAGACGTATCTCCAAACTTGATCTCAGATCCCTGCTGACAAGCAAAGCAGAGTTCCACAGAGCCCATTTTATTTGGGCGTATTTTACTTTGTAACTGTCAGTCAGCTCCAAAGCCACCTCTCCCAGGAAGCCTTCCCTTATTTCTCCAGCTACAATGGATTTCTGCCTTCTCTGCTTTTCCATGAAACTTTATGTTATATAATGAGATTCTTCCTTGGGTTATTCAAACACCACTCATCTATGAACACCCATTATATTCAAGGCATGCCATATAAAGATGTAGAAAACACAGCCCTGCCCTTAAGATGCGTAAAGTCTAGAAGGTAGTTGTTTCGTGGGCATTTATTTTGGCCTGTGCCAAAGGTCTTGGCATATCTTAGGTCTTCTATTAGACTGCAAGTTTCTTAAGGACAGGATTTGTGTCCATTTCTCTCTCTCATGAAGTAGTGCCTAGCACTGTGCTCAGCACATACCAATACAGGGTTCCATAATGTTTGAATGGAATCCCCAGATTTAGGGGTGAACTTTAAAACTGGATGGACGGATTAAAAAGTACCTGCTCCACACTATGTCTCCCCCCACACCCATTTGCTTCTCTTTTCGGCCAGACTCCAGCAAGCTTCTGCAGTGAGGTTCAAAGCATTGAGCCCTTGCTCCTTCACTCACTCAGTCCTCCTAACCTTACAACCTAACCTCACACTAAACCTGAAGGCCATTCTCTATTGCAAAGATGTTACCAAGCACAGTCATTCCCTTTTCTCCTCTCTCCCCCTACCCTGCCTACTGCCAGGACATACGGTTTGCTTTGCCTTTAAGTGCATTTTCTTGAAGACAGTTGTAGAAAACTTTTCTCATTGTAAATTCTCTGGGTAACCATTTTGCTTCTACCCTCCTTATGGTGTGATTTTTTTTTCTTTTGTTAATGTTACCTGACTAGTGAAATACTACCTTCATTCATGAAGAATTTTATGTGCTGAAAATTCTATTTAATGCTCTAAATCTTGGGGGTGTATATCAAGCCAAGAGTTAGAATCATAGTGAGGAGGCCCAGTGTCTTAATTTGGATTCCTCAAATGCAGACTCTGAGACAAGGGATAGAATGCCAGGATTTGGAAGTTGATCCTAGGAGGCATAAGGAAGGAATGGGAAAGTGTCTTCATTTGTTCATTCTGCTATAACAAAACACCATAGACTGGGTCACTTATAAACTACAGAAATTTATTTCTCACAGTTCTGAAGCCTGGAAGTCTGAGATCAGGGTGTCAGCATGGTCATGTGCTGATGCAGGTGAACCTCCAGGTTGCAGACTTCTCACGTGGTTAAAAAAAAATGCAAGAGAACCCTCTGTGGTCCCTTTTTATAAGGACACTAATCTCATTCATCGGGGCTCTGTCCTCATGACCTAACTGCCTTCCGAAGGCCCACTACCTAATACCATCCCACTGGGGGTTAGAATTTCAACATATAAATTTGGGGGGAATACAAACATTCGGTTCATAACAGAAAGTGAAACAAGGAAGGGAAGGAAATCAACAAAGGATGTGTGAATGCTGAGGACCCTATAGGATACTGTGCAGACATGCCTCGGAATTGACTCACCTAGGGGCATGGAGGCTGGAGGATTTATCCACCAACTCCACTCCACCACTCTGGTTGAGGACTGCTTATGGGCATTAATACCCCTGCCTTGTCCAGCATGCTCCTGAAGCCAGGAAAAGCCCAGGCAGAGAGAAACAGGAGCTTGAGTTAAGAAATCTTGATATACACAGAAAGCTGAATATTGCAGATTCAGGTAACCTCTGGAACGGCTGAAGGGATATGGCCAGGCACCAACAGCATCTGCTACCCTCGCTGATGTAAAATGGAACTCAGCAGGTCCCACCATCTAGTGATGGAGATAATATTGCACCTGGGACTGCACATCCAGCTGAGGGTGAGAGTGGGACTGAAATCCAGCCCGTATTCTGTTTACCAAACTCTTTGCCCTGGCATGGGCCTGTGATCCACCTGCAGAAAGGAAAGCTGTTTTTCAAATTTGCACAAGAATAGCAAATAGGTTAGCAGTGGCCCTGATTACACTACCCCAATATTACAACAGATGCCAAAAAAATACAAGCGTTATAGGATCTGAGCTTACACACCACAGTTATTTTTTGATGTGGAAAAGAAAGCACACCAGAAAAATAAGGCAATATAGAGCAGCCAGATTTTGCAATAGATAATAATCCATTTTGGGAGAGGGAGGTGATTCTTAATGCAAATATAGTTTTTGCCAATCCATTCAAAGCAATTTTCCAAGATCTTCTGCAGCAATAATGAGTGTGTGCTTTATGATGAGTTTTTCTTCTATTTTCAGAGGAGAGTTCATCTTTTTGCCTAACAGAGATGTGGCCTTGTCTAATTGTGACTTTTGCCATCTTTGCTTATTGCTGGTGTTATCACTGGCTAATTGCTTTGCTTATCACTGGCTGTGCCTGACTCAGAGAGCATTTTTACTTGACCAGAATCTTCTGTTTCAAACCCAGCTCTGTGTGAGTGAATCTCATAGACTCCTCAGTGCTCCCCACTGGAAGGATTGACCTGGGTGTGATGTATCCAGTTATTGCAGTTTGGAATTTCAATTGGTGTTGAGGCTCCTGCTTCCCACATTTACAATGGACACGTCGACTTTGCTGAACATGTTTCCTGCACTTGCTCGTGCTTCTGCCCAAGGGTTTTTATGTTCTTTTCTCTTCCACAAACTGTGGTTTGCATGTTTTCCATCTGACTGCTTAATAGCAGGATGCCTTTCTCCACCTCATGAACAAATTGAATTTTCTGATCGTAGGTTATTTACTAAGTCTTTCAAATCCTATAACTTGTCCTATAACTTGCAGCATGAAAGAGCTGTAGTCTTGCATAACTGAACTTCAATCAAGAACCCTTTTAGTTCTAACAGCTACATGGCATTATGAAAACACCTTTAGAGGTTTTTCTTTCTTAACAATTGTTAACCTCCCAAAAATCACAGCAAGTTAAGGCTGGACAAGGCCTTAAAGGTCATCCCAAAGTAGCACCTCATGTCTGTAGCTTGCAGACTACAATATCTTGCCATGATGTGATGGGGCAAAATTATTTTAAGGAGGACCTCAAATATGTCCACTCTCTCATCACAGCTTTCCTTGAAATGGGAGGAGGCATACGGATGGTGAAGAGCAGTGATGCCTTGATGAATATCCTGGCATGTATTTGAGATTTTCTTTTGTTACCTTTTTCCTAATTTTTAATAGCTATTTTCCTGGCCTTAACTCTAACCTTGGGTGCCCTGCAGATACAGTTGGTAAGAGATGGCAATTTGGGCAAAAACACACTTTGAACTCAACAAAATGTGGTGAGAATCTCATGCACCAGATGGATTCTCCTATTTTCTGCAGACTAGGAATGGGGATGACAGTTTCACATTCTGACAATAGACAGAGAGCACTACTGTGTGGGCAAATGAGTAGATCATCAAGGAGCCCTTCCATTCCAGGTGGCTGCTTTTATATTTATTTAAGTTGAGGATTAAAATAGATGGACAAGCCC
Source organism: Homo sapiens (assembly GCF_000001405.40). NCBI lineage: Eukaryota > Metazoa > Chordata > Mammalia > Primates > Hominidae > Homo > Homo sapiens. Next base: position 91,563,629 of record NC_000007.14, read on the forward strand.
ATTTGGCTTTCTGCAGATGAGAAACAATTTTGTTCACTATTATAAAGTTTCTCTTGACAACATGTAACTTGTTACCACATTGCCATTCATGTTCCTAACTTCAAATTTAATCCTTCAACTTATATAATGACTTCTTGAATTTTAATGATTTAGTCACAGAGATTTTTATAATTGGAACCATTTGAAATAACTGAATAGTGGTTTTGGGGGTCAGACAAACCTAGGTTTAAATCCCACTGACTAGCTCTGTGACCTCAATCAAGTTATTTCATGATCTAAACTTCAATGTGCCCCCATCCGAAAGAGTTGGGCTGATAATACCGCATAAAAGTGTTGAAAGGGATAAATAAGATAAATGTACAAAAAAACTAATATAGTGTCTGATACATAATGAATCTAGATCCTTCCAAACATTTCTCTCTTTCTCTTGACTTTCTTATATAGTAAGAACTCTAGTATAACATTCAATATTTTTTTCAAGTTAAAAAAATTGTCCATGAAGATTGCTACTATTTTGCATATTTTCTCCAGCGCAGTACTTTTGTCCCTTGTGAGCCAAATACTGAGGTTCATATTTTGGAGTGTTGTGAGTAGGCCTGTTTCTCTCAGCACCCCTCCCAGTGCTAGATTCTGCATTGGTACAAGGAGAGTTCAGCAGGATTTCAGGTTCTAATCAATCAAAGGAATCATTGCTTCCAAATCTGAACTCCTCCTACCCTCTGTCATGAGGACAACTGAAAATACAGGAACTTTCTAACTCACCACTCTGACATTTGTGGGTGTCAGTTCTTTTAGCTGATGCCTTGATTTCAGAGATGTCATCCCATATTGTCTTGTATTATTTGATTCTCTCCCCATCCCTTTTATAGATGTTCTCTGTCCTTCCACTTGGTGTAGAAACTGGCAAAACAGTTCATCATCAGCCTTTTTCCACCTTGTTGATTGTGATTCAATGGCAAACACTGCTGGCCAGTATCTGGAGACATGGGAGGTGTTGGAGGGATTTATTTTATTTTATTTTTAATGTAATCATTTTGGAGCTCTGCTGAAAATTGTTGAAGAGAAAATGCAAATGTTCATCTTGGCAAATGCTAACATTTGTTGAGCATATCTAAGGAGTAGATAAGTAAAATTTCTTTGTTAAATCCTCAGTGTTGTGTCTGGAGACATATGTTTGCCTTTCCCTTCTCTCCCCCATGTGTGGAGACCTCTGTGTGAAGGGTCCAGCGTGTCACAACTGCTTTTGAGTCTGGATTCTCTTTTCTGTCTAGAGAATGCTGTGTGTGCCATGGAACCTTCTGGTAATGTAGCCATGTGCTCTGTGGACCCGTTCTCAGAATCATCTTTTTTAACAAGAATAAAATACAGTACATAATATGATGTCAAGGGAAACCAATTACATGAAAATACAGTTATCAAAGTATTTTATTATGATAATTGCCTCTTCATTAATGCATAAAATAATAAGATCTTATAGCAGGTTTAATAATTACTATAATTCCAGAACTGTGAGGGATAGAAATAATAATTTGAAGACATCTGAAACAGCAAAATAGCATTAAAATATCTGTAATTTTTATTAGTGACAAAGTCATAAGTATTACTAACATGACTATAGTTTGTTTCCCACATTTGTGATAGAAAGAATGCTAAATTTCAGAGATTATCAAAAATAAAGATTAAAGATGTCTCTTTTTTTCATCCACCTTCATGGAGCTCCCTGAATTCTATCTCCATGCTTCCTTAGATGTTCATGGCCGGCAGCTTAAGAATCCTAAGACCTCAACTCTCAGCATGTGAACCAAACTCTCCAGTTAGAGATTCCCACCCTCTGACCTCTCTTGTTGCCAAAGATGCAAGGATTCCAGGGTCAATTCCCTGCCAATGGCAAGAGGCAAAATCTGAACACTCAAAACCAAAGCTGTACTTAAGAGAAGGGCCTTTGTCTTTGCTGACAATGGAAGGGATTCATTGAAAAGATCATTACGTACCTTTAATGTTTGGTTAATGTGCCTTTGAAGGTTCTGGAGCACACCACTAGAGGAATTCATCCCCCACTGCACAGCAAATATTGAAAGAAAAAAGGCAGATCAATGTATTTATTTCATGGAGATAAACACTTTCCCAGTCTATGTCTCAGCAGCAGCGAAGGCCCTCATGCTACACCATGCTGTAGGCGGCCTGGAGGGAGAGAGAGAGGACTTGGGATTTTCCTGCAGGACACAGGCTGGCTGTTCCCAGCACTACCTTCTGTCTGTTTGTTCTCTGGTGTTTGTTTTTCTATCCCCATCCCTCCTCCTTCTCAGTCTGGCTCCGCTTCAGCTCTGAATTGGAGCACCAAACGGCTGAGACTGACTTCTTCTATGAAACCCTCCTGAAGCCACCCTAGGCTCTGCCAGGAGGAGACAGGAGTCACACCGCTGGGCATAGTCACCGCCACCTTCCTCCTTCCACTTTCCTCATACACCGAAGGTTCCCACCTCAGCTCCTGCCAAGCCCTGACAGCTCTGGAAAAGCAAAGAGGCTTCCTTTGACTCCCTCGCAGGTCTCCATGCTGTGCGCGGCTGCCAAGCCACAGGGCCAGCTCTAGGAATGTGTTTTTAATATTCATTGTTCACTCTGTCTGTTCCTGATGTGTGCGCTGCAATTATTGTAATTCTTTGCACATGTGTTGTTATGAAATGGGTGCCTTTTAAGCTATGCCAGGATATTTTTTTTTCCGAAACCCAAATATATTATTTCTACCTATGTTTCAGTTAGTTTGCCATGCTTCTTTATTTTATTTCAAAGATCAGTCTGGGCGGCAAAGAAAGAGTGCAGTGTGCACAAAGCAAGGTTCGCCTGCTTTCCTCATGGTAGAACAGTTGCTTTTGATTTAGGTTTGTGTGGTTTCCACCTCACTCTCTTGTTTTCTTCTTTCCATGTGCACAACTGAGCTGACTTTCAGACATACACAGCCCACATGTGCTGCTCCTGGAGTAGCCATCTGCACCCAGGAGAAAGGCACACATGCAGCGTGCAGAACACAGACATGCACACATGTGCATGCAGACAGCATTTGGGTGGAAGATTTCTTAATATTCATCTTGTATCCCTCTTAGTGGTGAGGAGGGAAAAGAAGTCTAGAAAAACTCCTTTCTTTTCTTTCTTCTTTTTTCTTTCTTTCTTGCTTTCTTTCTTCTAATTGAGGCTTTTCTGACACAATGTAGAAACTTCAGTCACCAGGGCACAAAAAGCATTATGTTTCTTCATTAATTCAGATTGAGGTGTTTTTTTTTCCTTGTCTTTTTTTTTTTAATCCAAGAAAAATAACAGATGTAAATCTGAAAGGCCAGATTTTAACATCCACTGACACATTTTAAGTTTCTTACGACAAGACAAAAACTTAGTAAATTAAGAATGACTATTGTATCACCTTTGAGAAGTTAGTCTTGAGATTCACAGAAGCTAAATTAAGAATAAAACGGCAGAGGAGTCCACCTGGCAAACACCACCAACTATCCCCATATACAGATTCCTTTCTTTAGAGATTCTCGGGCCACTGTCTGTTTTTGCTAGCAGAGAAATCTGACACAGTCACACCCCTGCCTGCTAAGCATTTTACTTTCATTGTTAACCATATCCATTTGTCACCATGAAACAGTATTATTTTAAGGTAGCAGGGAGGCAGGACTGCTTGTTGCATAATGGTGCTCTAGCTCTCATTGCCAAGAAGGAATCAAAGAAATGGACGGTGGTTAATGTGGGAAATCACACCAGAGAGAAAGAAACATGCAGAGAGAGACAGAGACAGGGTGTTGGTGGGAGGGAGGAAAGGGTAAAGAGAAATAGATAGACACAGACAGGCAGGGAGAAAGATATTGAGAGACAAAAAACAGAGATGAGACCTGCACAGAAAGGCTAGAATTTCCATGAAAAGATTTATAAAAGGATGATCTAGCTGTTGCTAGGGAGCTGGGAGAAGAGCAGACACACCCTCCACCTGATTTTCTGTATCGATCTGCATGTCTCTGTTTGCATCGTCTCTCCAGTGAGGGGGCTGGAGAAAGAGGAAAAGACATTTGACAAAACGGCCTTCTTAGAAACAGACTGCTCTACAGCACACTTTGTGCAGAGTGAATTTGAGCTGCTGTGTTGGGAGCATGTCTGAGGTCAAAGGGCACAGTCCCACACCCGAAAGTTGCAAGGCCAAGGCTGTACTCATCAAGCTATGTATGGGGAACAACCCACTCTCCTGTATGACAGCTCTTGGATGTGTGACCCAGACCAGGTGGGTCCTACCTTCCCCTGACTAAAGGACTGTATTGTGGTGACCTATTTGTGTAAACAGGGAGCTTGGTCTTATTGTTGCACAGGCCTGGAGTTGGGAAGAGGAATCTATACTGCCAGAAACCAGCAATGGCTCTGGGTGAGATTGGTGGGAAGTGGGATGGAAGTCATTGCCACTCCAGGATCACCTGCGTGGCAGCCTGTATGGGTCAGGGTTCTCTAGAGAAACAAAACAGACACAGCAAGAGGGAAAGCAAGAGAAAGAGATTTTAAGTAATTGACTAACAATTTAAGGAGCTGGCTAGCAGGGCAGGCTAGCAGCCTGGAAAATTTCAGGAAGGGCTGATGTTGCAGTCTTGAATTCAAGGGCAGCTGAGAGGCAGAATTCCTTCCCCTTCCAGCAAACTGTCTTTTCTCTTAAGGCTTTCAACTGATTGGGTAAGGCCCACCCACACTGCGGAAAGTGATCAGCTTTATCTAAAGTCTACTGACTTTAATTTTAATCACCTCTAAGAAAATACTTGCACAGCAATATCTAGACTGGTGTTAAACCAAACAACTGAATACCATAGTCTACCCAACTTGACACAAAAAAATTAACTACCACATAGCTCCATGACTGTGGGTGGATAATGTTCATCTATTTACTGAGCTAATATGTCAAAGTTCCAAAGGTCTGAAGTAGGCAGATCTGTACATTGGAGCCAGTGTGATAGAAGCTGGAACCTTCATCTAGCATAGCTGTTGCTTTGTTCTGTCACAAGAAAATTCCTTCCAGAATTAGGTCTTTGAAAGGCGGCTCCTCTAAGGAATTTATCTCCACCCTGAATTCACTTTTCCTATTTAGTCCAGACCCTCTTTAAAGTCTCAGCTAGATGATCAGACCACCACCATTGGAAACTTCACCCTATCACACCCCTGGGTCCATCCTTTGTCCACACTCCAGAAAAGTGCCTCATACCCAGGCCTGATGTTCACTGAACTGTCCTCCACTCCGCTGTGGGCTCCAGAAACCCTGGGCGTGTCAACTCTACTCCTACATGGTAAAGCAAATACAGGTGTCCTAATTTGTGCTCGGTCTCCCCAAAAGTGAGAGCTATGGCTGCTTACCCCAGCACAGTAAGGTTGTCAGATTTAGAGAAAAATAAAAAGCCCAACTAAACTTGAACAACAGATAATTTTTATTATAAATATATTCCATACTTGGGAAATACTTGCACTAAAAAATTATTCACTGTTGATCTGAAATTTATTCCATTAAATTTGAATTCCAGATCAACCACAAATAATTTTTAGTATAAATATCTCTCATTCAATATTTGGGACATAATTATAAAAAAATTCCTTGTTAATCTGAAATTCAAACTTAACTGGGCATTTCATATTTCATCTGGCAATCCTCCAAGGTGACCCAAATTACAAGGACACCCCTCCAACTCTTGCAATATTTTTGTCTCAGAGATAACATAGCCTGATTTTCTGTCTAGTAACAGATACGTTTCCATAGGCAAAGCTTTGGGTCTTGCTCCCTCTATAACAAAAGCTTCTGACCACCTCCCCTCCCAACACTAGCTGCCCTGGAGGGATGGAGCCACTCCAGCTTTATCCCTTCTCCTAATTGGGGTAGGGTGGGAGGAGTACCCAATTCATCCTGTTCAGATGGGTGGATGTTCAGAGAAGGGGTCATTGACATCCCCAGTCATTCGGGCTCAAGACTCCAGAGCCATCCTCAATTCTCTCTTTCCTTTGGTCTTCCCTTACAGTGCTTTATTCACAATGTCTTTTGTGTCTTCTCTCTTTCATCACAGCTATGCTTCTAATCCAGATTCATTATTTTTCACTTAGGTGACAACATGAACTTCTGAATTTTTTCTTCCTGCCTGTAGCATCTCTCTTCCACAGTCCATCTACCACACTCACTGTCCTGAAGTTCAGAACCATCATATCATCCAAACACTCCCAGCACTCAGAGGCACTTTGTCTCCAGAATGCCTGCCAAATGAAGTCATATATTTTGGCCTACATCAAGTCCAAACAGCAAGGCCATATATCATTCCCTTAAGCAACTGACTTTAAACAGAGGTCACAAACTTTTTCTCTAAAGAGCCAGATAGTAAATTTTTTAGACTTTGAGGGCCATACAAGCCTCTGTCACAATTACTCAACTCTGTTGTTGTGTGAAAGCAGTTATAGACAATACATTAATGAATGGGCATGGCTGTGTTCCAAATCAATTTTATTTATCAAAACAAGTGGAGGGGACAGTTGGCCCACTGTAGTTTACAATTCCCTTCTCTAGCTGCCAAATCAAACCTGTTCTCCAAGTGTCAGCTCAAGTACCTCTGTCTCTGTAAAGCTCCCTCTGATTCACCCAGTTTGAAGTGACTCCTTCCTCACTCCATGCACTTTATGCCTCTTTTATGGCAATGCGCATATTCTGCCTTGCACAGAGTCCTTGCCCTCTCTGTGTTGACAAGTTTGGCATTCCTTGCAGAGGCTGCCACAATCCTTTACTCAAGGTAGATATTTAATAATAAAGTATTGGTAGGAAGAATGATTGAAGGTCACTGGAGAGTAGGTCCACAGAAAGGGCAGAGGCTTGATCAACTACAGCTTCCTGCATCTCCTCTGGGAAAAGCGTGAGTTCCCTTGAAAGCCAATGCCTTCTAGAGGAGTCCAAATTCCAGGCCAGTCAGCCATCATTTAAAACACACAGAAGCCTGCCCATCAAAAATAAATTAGCTAAACATTCAATTCCCCAACCAGGAAGGTTGGTATTGCAAATGGATTTGTGCTGAAACCATTTTCCTTTTTGAAATGCACCCAAGTTTTAAAATAAATGGCTTCATCTGATCTGAACTGCCAACACATTCCTCCAAATCCATCCCTTGAGAGAACCTTGTTAGCTGCTTTAGCTCAAATCCACATGGCTCCAGAACATCTTAGCTTCTCATAGCAAGGCTGGAAACAGCCAGGCCCTGAGTGCCTCAGAAAAAGGTTTTCAGAGCTGGGAAGAATGAACTGAGGGACAGAGCAATCACACAAATATTTCTCCAGCAGAATAACTAGGAAAGTCTAAAAAAGGGGTTTTAGGTTAGTTATCGAAAATTGCAAGCAAATGTATTTCTATAGTTCTTTCGCATTATTTTCTTTCTTTCTTTTTTCTCTCTTTTTTTTTTTTTTTGTCTTAAGGATGGTTTGATTACATTACCACATGCTTGATTTTGGCTCTCTAATCATTTTAAGTGCATGTCATATCTCCTGTATTAATCTATAGGCTTCTCAAGAGAAGGATACACATTTTCTATTTCTTGCATACCTCCTGGCATTATAATACCAGGGCCACAGTAAATAGTAAACACACAATAAATATGTGAATAAATGGGGTATATTAATCTGCTAGAGTCCTTGATGGGGAAATTAAGTTATTCAAGTTAATTTTTTAAAAAAGAATTCCTCTCTCTTTAAAATCATGATTCCACCTCCTCTTCACCACCAACTAGTACCTCTAAATCCTTTGCAATTTCCAGAACAATGAAGGGAAAAACCAAAATTTTGCTGCTTGCAGCTAAATTTTATAAGAAAGTTATTTCGATGGTGAGACACAATGCACCAACACTCTCAAATAGATGAATAACAAAACTTTTTTCTGCTTCCAGCTGCAAATAAAAGAACAGAATGATGCCACCCAGGGCCACACAGGGACTGCACCTGAGGCAAGGCAACAGCAAGCTTGAGCTATAGCAGGCAGTTTGTGCATGGCAAGTTGGGTGGGGTTAGCTAGGTTTCCTAAGCTCCCTGTGAACTGGCTTATTTGAATAATTTCTCTGGCTCACAGGGGCTGTTCTTAGTTGTCTGGTACCTGGCCATGAGGCATTTAGAGATGTTGCACAGAGTTCCAGAATGTGAGAGCCTGATAAGGGAAGTCCTTGGGGGTATGGACTTAATCAGCGGCTCAGAGAGGGAAGCTGACCAGCCTCCAGCCAGTGCCTCAAAACTGGGTGAAGACAGCATTCCTTTTTAAAAAACTATATTTTAAACAATAACAGCAGTCACTGACAAAACTCTCAGCTAGTAGAATATTTGTTTCATAAAAACAGGTTCCTGCCTAGATTGTTCTCCTTGTCACTGTATCCCAATGCTAGTATGTTGAAGGCACCCCCCACATTTTCTTGAATAAATTGAATCCATCCATACTTTCAACCCTACAGCAGGGCAGAAAGGTGGCCCTGTTGGGCCAAACCACTGGCCCGGGCCAGGGCAGAAACCACAGGCCTGAGTTCTACAACACTTTCAGTAGATATTGAGGGCTCTACCGCAGGGGGAAAGACTGTAGTAAATCTATCCAGGAAAAAAAAAAAAATGGAAGTCAGGTCAATATTGGTCTGTCAAGAGATTATATCCATAATGTGGAATGTTTTCATTTTATTGAAATGACAGATATCATACTGATCAAATCTTGAGAGCAAAGTAACAATTGGGAGTAAGAGAAATGGGAATGAGAAAAACAGAACCTGGTCAAATGCCAGCTACGTTGCAATGGTTCTACTGTAGAGTAGAAGACAATGAAGCTTCAAAGATCAAAAATAAAGGGAAAGAAAAACATGAGACTGGTTCACAGAAGCTCAAGGGCTTTGGGAAGAGTGAGAGTCACTGATTTTAAAAGATCATGTGGCACTAAGCATTTGGAGGGACTATCATAGCTTGTTAGCAGAAAATAACTGAAAGAAAATATATCTAGATTAAATAAATATTATAGATAAAATAAACAGGAAATAATGTCTTGGACTGTAGGAAGTAAATCATTAGTCTAATTAATGCAAGAAAACAGACTTTAAAAATTATATTATAACCAGTTTAGTGTTTCTATGGGAAGTACCACAGGATGAGAGTTTCATGATAAATAGCTTTAGAAAATTCCAGGTTAAGCAATTCTAAATGATTTACTCATCACAGGACCAATCAGATTCTTTACTATGTTAACGTGTGTTGGGAACCACCAAGAGGAAGGTGTGATGTGAAGGTCTTGGCCAGAGAACCCTTCTTTCTTGGAGCAGCTTATATAATTCATTTTCCATGGCACACTCTTTAATAAAGCCTATGATAACATAATTTTTTTCTCCACCCCTGTTATTTTTGTAGTAACAAAAGTTATTTTATTCTGCCAGAGAATCTAGACAACTATGTTCCAAAATATATAACACCTACCTCTTAGGAAATAACTAGAAAATTCTTCAGTATACTACAGGCATCTATGTCTTTTGAGAGAATGCATCTATCTGGCCTCTCTGTGACATTCTTGGGGCAGACCAAATATATATGATGTTATCAGCTTTCCTCAGTGCTGAAAAAATAAACTCAAAAATAAAAATAAAACAGATTTGAAGCAGGCTGTGGTGAATGATGAGAAAACAATACTCCAAACTTAATGTTGACCCCTGTCCCATCCCACTCTCATCATCTGCTTAATTAAAAGCCTAGAAAAGAATTAACTTAAACTCTGGAACCAAAGCAGCAAGTGAAGGATAACATTAACTAGAATTTCAATTTCTGCAAGTCTTTGTAAAATTTGGCAGTGACTTGTATTGAATGAGCATCTGATTATGACATCAAATAATATCAAATATCAGCATTTAGTTACTTAGCTTGATATGTCAAGCAGAAGCAAAATGTGCAGTCAACATTTCAGGAACAGAAAACTGTGATAGGCAGGTCTTCACTTAGTGATTCACTCAGCGATTCTGTGACAAGTAATCAGTCTTTCTCTCTCTCTTTTTTTTTTTTTTTTTTTGCTGTAAACCTTCTTGCAAGGATCTTGTGACTCTGATGCCCTAATGCAGAAGTTATTCATTGATATTTTGAATGTTGTAAGGTCATTTTATAGGACCTTCAAGGAACTACTGACATTACTTTTTGATTATTTAAACTTCCTTTAAATATCTATTGAGTCATAAACACATAGCCATGAAAGCTGCTATAAGATCACTGATGTTACAAGGAAAACAGCCTAGAATTTGGTGACTTTCAGTAACAGTTCCAACAATGGCTTTTTTTATTGAAGTATTTATTGAATACATACCATGTGTCAGCTCTTTAGTCCCCTGGCCTGCTTAGCTCTACTTTATAACTAAATGACCAAGATGGCCTAGTCAACCAGGCAGTCTTTAAACTACTTTCAATGGCAAAAGGAATAGACTGAAGGTCATATAGTCACAAATAGCAAGCAGACATCCTGGGCTCATGTATTGCCATTGGCTAAAATGAACTCAAATCTAGGAAACTGTGCCTTTGGAAAACTCAGGTGCACTTGTATACCAGGTAGCAAAATTATGAATACCATTTCCAAAAGAGCAAAGAAAGTGAAGCTTCTTTATTGTTCTATAACTATGGTGACCAAAAGGGGGGTCATCCTAGCCTATACCTATTGTCCCAGTATCCCAATTGATCTAGCATTTGTCCCAGATTTTAAAATTTTAATGATTAATAATTACTAATAGTTGCATTGGTAGATCTCTACTTTGTGTATTCAGCTTCTGACATGATCTTGTATAACGGGAGATCAATGTGCAATGAACAAATTTTTTACTTTAATGTGTGATTGAAACTAAAAGATGTACATCAATAACCCATCTCCCTTTCCACTGTTTTGTCCAGGCTCACTATAACAAGCACTTCCCTTTCTTTTTTTTTCCATAAGTTATTGTGGTATAGGTGGTATTTGGTTACATGAGTAAGTTCTTTAGTGGTGATTTGTGAGATTTTGGTGCACCCATCACCCAAGCAGTGTACACTGTACCCTATTTGTAGTCTTTTATCCCTCACCCCTCTCTCACCCTTCCCCAAGTCCCCAAAGTCCATTGTATCATTCTTATGCCTTTGCATCCTCATAGCTTAGCTCCCACATATCAGTGAGAACATACGATGTTTGGTTTTCTATTCCTGAGTTGCTTCATTTAGAATGATAGTCTCCAATCTCATCTAGGTCGCTGCAAACACCATTAATTCATTCCTTTTTATGGCTGAGTAGTATTCTATCATATATTTATATGATACATCATATATTTATATGTGATATAAATATCATATATTTATATGATATTTAAGAATATATCTATCTATCTGTATATATATATATCTCACAGTTTCTTTATCCACTCATTGATTGATGGGCATTTGGTTGGTTCCATGATTTTGCAATTGCAAATTGTGCCACTATAAATATGCATGTTCAAGTATCTTTTTCATATAATGACTTCTTTTCCTCTGGGTAGATACCCAGTAGTGGGATTGCTGGATCAGATGGTAGTTCTACTTTCAGTTCTTTAAGAAATCGCCACACTGTTTTCCATAGTGTGCTAGTTTACATTCCCACCAACAGTGTAGAAGTGTTTGCTGATCACCGCATCCATGCCAGCATCTACTGTTTTTTTATTTTTTTGATTATGGCCATTCTTGCAGGAACAGGGTGGTATTGCATTGTGGTTTTGATTTGCATTTCTCTGATCATTAGTGATGTTGAGCATTTTTGCATATGCTTTTTTTCCATTTGTACATCTTCTTTTGAGAATTGTCTATTCATGTCCTTAGCCCACTTTTTGATGGGATTGTTTGTTTTTTCTTACTGATTTGTTTGAGTTTGTTGTAGATTCTGGATAATAGTCCTTTGTCAGATATATAGATTGTGAAGATTTTCTCCCACTCTGTGGGTTGTCTGTTTACTCTGCTGACTGTTCCTTTTGCCCTGCAAAAGCTCTTTAGTTTAATTAAGTCCCAATTATTTATCTTTGTTTTAATTGCATTTGCTTTTGGGTTCTTGGTCATGAAATCCTTGCCTAAGCCAATGTCTAGAAGGTTTATTTCCAATGTTACCTTCTAGAACTTTTATAGTTTCAGGTCTTAGATTTAAGTCCTTAATTCATCTTGAGTTGATTTTTGTATAAGGTAAGAAATGAGGATCCAGTTTCATTCTCCTATATGTGGCTAGCCAATTATCCCAGCACCATTTGTTGAAAAGGGTGTCCTTTCCCCACTTTATGTTTGTGTTTGCTTTCTCAAAGATCAGTTGGCTGTAAGTATTTGGGTTCATTTCTGGGTTATCTATTCTGTTCCATTGGTCTATGTGCCTATTTTTATACCAATACCATGCTGTTTTGGTGACTATGGCCTTATGGTATTTTTTGAAATCAGGTAGTGTGATGTCTCCAGACATGTTCTTTTTGCTTAGTCTTGCTTTGGCTATGCAGGCCCTTTTTTAGTTCCATATAAATTTTAGAATTTTTTTTTTCTAATTCTGTGAAGAATGATGGTGGTATTTTGATGGGGATTGCATTGAATTGGTAGATTGCTTTTGGCAGGATGGTCATTTTCACAATATTGATTCTACTGATCCATGAACATGGGATGCATTTCCATTTGTTTGTGTCATTTATGATTTATTTCAGCAGTGTTTTGTAGTTTTCCTTGTAGAGGTCTTTCACCTCCTTGGTTAGGTATATTCCTAATTGTTTTATTTATTTATTCATTCGTTTGTTTGTTTGTTTGTTTATTTTTGCCCCTATTGTAAAAGGGGTTGAGTTCTTGATTTGATTCTCTGTTTGGTTGCTGTTGGTGTATAGAAGAGCTACTGATTTTTGTGCATGAATCTTGTATCTGGAAACTTTGCTGAATTCTTTCATCAGTTCTAGGAACTTTCCAGGGGAGTCTTTGGGGCTTTTGAGGTAAACGATCATATCATCAGCAAACAGTGACAATTTGACTTCCTCTTTACTGATGATGCCCTTTATTTATTTTTCTTGTCTGATCGCTCTGACTAGGACTTCCAGTACTATGTTGAAGAGGAGTGGTGAGAGTGGGCATCCTTGTCTTGTTCCAGTTCTCAGAGGGAATGCTTTCAACTTTTCCTCATTCAGTATTATGTTGGCTGTGGGTTTGTCATAGATGGCTTTTATTACATTGAGGTATGTCCCTTGTATGCCAATTTTGCTGAGAGTTTTAATCATAAAGAGGTGCTGGATTTTGTCAAATGCTCTTTCTGCATCTGTTGAGATGATCATGTGATTTTTGTTTTAAATTTTGTTTATGTAGCATATTGCATTTATTGACTTGCGTGTATTAAACTATCCCTGCATCCCTAAGCACTTCTCTTTCAAAGACAGCATGCATGGCACTTTCTGATAAATGCAATGCAGTCAGACAAGAGAGAGCTCATGAAGCTAATTTACCAAAGTTTGAGTGGTCTTGAGAGGACTCAAAACCATTGCCTCTGCTGGCCATTGTTGGGCCAGTCAATTGTGCTGTGGCCTATGCCACACCCTTCAAAATGCATGAAACCACTGAGACATCAGTTGGCAGAGTCAGTAGAAATGTGGGACTTCATCAGTTAGTTGGGAAATATGAATGAGAACTAGAGGCTAAGCTATCTTGCCATAGAACTTAGAGAAAGTAGCCTTAGTATCCTCATTACATGTGTAATTTACTGTACGGTTTAATATGCATATCTCTATTAGTATTAAGTTATGCTGTTTTGTTTTGCAAAAAAATCTTTCAGCAGCAATCAAAAAAGCAAAAGTATGTATTTAGTGAAAAACCAAGCTCGAAATTTTGATTTCACAATGAAGTTGATGAATGTGGAACTTATAAAGAATATTTATAAACACAGTTTAACATCAGCCATGAAGGTTGAGTGACACACGACCATATGAAAACCAGAAGACACAAATCTTCTGAAAAAGCACCAGCATCTATTGAAAAGTTAGAAGTTACTTTAAGACTGTGTCCAATAACTAGACTGTTGAACATGTGTGCGTACAGAAGGTGTGTTTATATTACTCAGTGGAGCAAAACTTCCCATTTACCTAAAATGATTGTTCTTCTACATTACTGTCATCCACTTTGAATTCCAAGTTTCCTTTTGGATCTATAAAAAGTACAGTGATTACTGTTCACGTGTTGGCTTCATTAGCAGAAGAACTGCACAAACAGTTAAATAAGGCCAGTTTTTACCAGTGCCCTAGATACTTCAAAGAGAAAATCATTTGCAATAAAGATTTGTTTTTATTTATTAAATTCATGAAATCAAAATACATCTTTTGAATATTCATTCTGTTAAAATAAAATATTTGACATTATTGTGAATATGATTAGAGGCTCATGTAAAAAGTTCAACATTAAAGATAAAATTATTTGTTGTGTGGTATATCAACACAAATTTTGGCAGAGTGGATTGTTGTGGTAGAAACTGAATATTCTTACTAAATTAAGAAATTTTTGGAGCAGAAAGGTATTTGAAATTGGCTGTAGTACACATATAATTAATAATTACATCTTTAAAAGCTGTTATTTTCCACTGATCAAAATAGAAATTGTACTTGTCAAAATGTATATAAATATTATACACATACGAGCTCATGTACATGCAAAATCAGAGTAACCGAAGTACAAAACTTTCTATGCGGAAGATGGTACACAACATCATGATGAAATATACCCTTTCTTTGCTGCCCGCCATCCAGGTCAGCCCCTAATGTTTGCAGAACCCATCGCAAGAATATAAAAGAAAGCCCACATATTGTGAGTCAAAGGATTTATAAGTTATAAATCAAGGCAGCAAACTGTTTAATAAAATATATTTGATTCTACCATAACAAATATACTTTCCTAATGGCCTGAAAAGCCAGGTTATAATTTAGACTTTCCAGAGTCCTTCAAATCCCTGTGTGGGGAAAACACCCCCTTCCAGCCCCTCCCTAGCTCATCCTCCCTCCAGCTTCATCTGACACAGCAGGGGGCCTCCTCCAAACACATGAGGATATCCCAGACAAGCCCACATGTCCAAGCTCTGTCATGATGACTGCTCTCTCCACTCCCAAACAGCTGTTTCTTGGCCTACTCTTAGGCCCCAGGGTGGCCATGCTAGTAGTGAGACCTACCCTTGGAAGACAGAATCCAGGAAAGATATCTGCCTATCCCTGGAGCAGATCAGGGCAATCTGGGCAAGGAATTCTGGGGTCTAGGCCACCTGAGCGTATGTCTGGGTAGGCATGTCTCCTTGCCTGCTCAGATTCAAGTTGAGCTGGAAAGAAGCCAAAGCAAAGCCCTCTAAAGTACAGGGCCTTGGGCGGTGGTCTCTCTTCCTCAGTTTATACCTAAAGGTGACAATGACAGGATCAATTGGATTTTAGAAATGTTTGAGTTTTTAAAGAGCCATTTTGAAAATCAACTCAAGTGCTTAAAAATAGTGCGCACACACACAATTACCACATCCCTGAAGCTTTGAAAATGGAAGAAGAAACATTATTAAGTCAGAAAATGAGAATAGTGTGAAACTTCAGAGACCCCCTAAGCAGGGTCAGCTTCATGGGTGTGTGATCTATGCAGTCACACAGGGTCCCCAGGCTCAGAAGGGCCCTACATTGGGTTTCATGCTTGCCTGTCTCCTTGACCCTTTTAATAATTTGAACAAGAAACTCCATGTTTTCATTTTGCACTGGCCTCTGCAAATCATGTAGCCAATCCTGTTCTTAAGGGCTTTTACTCAGCAAGAGGATTTCCCATGAAATTTGTAGCTCGCATCCCTTTGAGAAAAAGTCAATAGAGCCAGCATCTCACCCTCGATTATTTCACTTTCACCTCTAAGTCTGGACAAAAACATAAGGGCAGAGGAGAAAATGATTTTTAAAGGGCACTAGAGTATTTGAAAACCTTGACAAAGGTTCCATTAGATGGTTCGGGTTGGTTCTTGTCATCTGGAATTGCCTCACCCACTTCGTGCCTAATCCCCGATTAAATGCCACCATTTCCAGCCTGATGTCTTCTTGCCATTTCTTCTGCCCCTAACCCTATCTCTTTCGATTGTGGAGGTTTGCTTTTTCCTTTGTGAATTATTTTTAATTCCCCTCTACTTTTTAGATTAAAGGTTAAGGGTAATATTATTATGAAAGCATAATTCCAGGCAGAGATAAGAAGCTCTCCAGCACATCGTTATTAATCCAAGGCAAGTCCATTTTTAAAGAAAGAAAAGAAAGGAGATTTGTAAAGGGCAAGGGCTAGCCTTGCAGATCCTCACAGCAGGGACAGAGCCTGATGCTCTGCAGAGGTGTCTGCAAGGAAACACAGAGCAAAACTGCCCTCAGCATAAAATCCCCCAATGACTAAGTTTCCGTTAGCTGCCTCCTCCCACTAGACCCAGCTCTTTGGCCCATGAACTCAAGTTTTGAGCTGTTTTTTTTTTTTTTTTTTTTTTGGGGGGGTGGGGGGACAGAGTCTCGCTCTGTCGCCCAGAGTGCAGTGGTGCGATCTCGGCTTACTCCGCCTCCCGGGTTCACGCCATTCTCTTGCCTCAGCCTCCGGAGTAGCTGGGACTACAGGCGCCTGCCACCACGCCCGGCTATTTTTTTGTATTTTTAGTAGAGACAGGGTTTCACCGTGTTAGCCAGGATGGTCTCGATCTCCTGACCTCGTGATCTGCCCACCTCAGCCTCCCAAAGTGCTGGGATTACAGGCATGAGCCACCGCGCCCGGCGTTTTGAGTTTCTTAATTCACTGTTGTCTTTGTCTGTTCAGGCTGCTAAAACAAAATGTCATTGACTGGGTAGCTTATGTTCATAAGTTGCCAGGCTACCTCTTTCAGGTAAGCATGAAGGTCCAGGCTGATGGACTTGAAACCTGGAAGCCTGGGAAGAAGCTGGCCTTCTGTCTCACCACCTAAAACAGAGTTCATATATCTCTCTGTTGAGTTGTTTTAAAAGAACCACAGATATTTGGGGTTCAGGTTTGAGGTACAATAAAAGCTGAAATGAAGATGGCTCAGAAACAAGGCTAGGCTTTCTGGACTATGTGGACAGGAAATCCCACCCCTCCATGCATTCACTCTAAAGCTCCCTCTGAAGTTCATTCTTCCAAGAAAGTCAGCCACAGGACAGAGACACAGAAATAATGAAAATGTTCTGCAGTGCTCAAAATGCCCCGGTCATCCTCCTTCTTGGACTTCTGTAAGTTTGCACATAGCTTATTCTGTACTTTTCTGAGACGTAATTCTCCAGTTCCTCTACTGAGCTTGTATGTAGGAGTGATATTATGAAAATTAATAACTGATAAGTTATGGGCACAGATCCAACAGAACAGGCCCTCTCTTTCGAGCTGGGAGGAAGGGAGTGGGTGGACAAGACATATACAAAAGACATGAGGCAGCAGCCATTTACCAATGGAAAAGACTAATATTTTAACAGCGGGACCTATCATCTGGGCTCTATTAATAATCTTCTTTGACTCAGATAAATATGGAATCAAACATATCCAGGTTGGAATCCTCAATCTTTCACTACCAGATATGGTAGTCACCTTAGATAAGTTATTTAACTTCTAAACCCTCAGCTTCCTCATCTGTAAAACTGGAATGACTTACATTAGTTCTCTTGTAACATTTACACGAAATAACATATGTAAAGCACCCCCACCACGACCCAACTTCTTCTCAATTCAAAATTCTGCTCATGGAGATTTTAAGAGCACATTTCTGGAGAGTGTGGATTTGGAAAAGAACAATAGGCATGATTACAGCTTAATTGAGCAGCCAGTGTGTGGGGAGCCTTGTGCTGGTGCTGTAGGCCTCTTAGCTGAGGAATTCCACAGTAACCCTATAAAGTAGGAATTTCCATCTCATTAATGTCCTTTTTTGTGGCGAATAACAACAAAAGCTAATATTTATTAAGAGCTAACCAAAATCCTAAAAGGAGTTGTATTAGTCAGTGATCTTCAGAGTAACAGAACTCATAGGAATATATATAGAAAGAGATCTGTTAGGAGGTATTGGCTCATGTGATTATGGAGGCTGAAAATCTCATGATCTGCATCCGCAAGCTGCAGATCCAGGAAAGCTGGTGGGATCATTCAAAGGCCTGAGAGCTGGAGAGCAATGGTGTATATCCCCATCTAAGTTTGAAGGCCTAAAAACCAGGAGCACAGGGGACAAGAGAAGATCTATGTCCCAGTTCAAGCAATCAGGCAGAGAGAAACCAAATCTAATCATCCTCCTTCTTTTTGTTCTTTTCAGGCCCTCAACTGATTGGATGATGCCCACCTTCCCTGAGGTAAGCTATGGGCTTTACTCAGTCCACCAATTCAAATGCTAATAAATACCCTCAGAGACACACCCAGAAATAATGTTTAATCAAATAGCTGGGCATTCTATGGCCCAGTTAGATTAACACATGAAATTAACCATCACAGAAATTTTTGTGCTGACTCCATTTACAAATCGGGAAACTAATTCAGAAAGAGTAAACAGTGATATATAGTGCACAAGCTGTGAATATTGCCATGGGAATCAGAGACCTTGGCTTAAATCCCAGCTGTGGAGAAGTTACCAAACCTCTCTAGGCCTCAGTTTCCTCATGCATAAATGAGAATTAAAAGGGCATTGAACTACAGTAGGCCCCCAGCATCCACAGGTTCTGCATTCATGTATTTGACCAATCACAGATTGAAAATATTCCTAAAAATAATTTCAGAAAGTTGCATCTGTACTAAACATGTACAGACTTTTTCCTTGGCATTATTCCCTAACAATAAAGTATAACAAATATTTACATAGCATTTACATTGTATTAGGTATTATAAGTAATCTAGAGATTATCTAAAGTATATAGAAGGATGATGTGCATACATTATATATAAATACTATACCATTTTATATAAGGAACTTGAGCATCCATGGATTTGGGTATCTGCAGGGCTCCTGGAACCAGTCCCCGATAGATACTGAGGGTCCTGGCAGGAAACAGATGGCACACTCCAACAGAAAAAATTGAGGATGATTTACAGAGCTATGGGCAGGATTAAGAGAAAACTACGTAGAATGGTAAAGTACACGGAGGCAGGGATGAGAAGGGAAGGACTAGCAGCAGTGGAGAGCCCTTCTCATCCTAGGCCTGAAGAGCAAAGGAGGGGAGTGGCCACAGGAACTCAATGAGTACTGAGACTTTAGCTGCTGCTGTAGGAGAGGCCACTGAGGAGCTCCAGCCTCAGGTAAAGGAACACAGCCACTGCCATCCTGCAGCCTTATCAGCAGAGAGCCAAGAAAATCAACATCCTAATCTCACTCTCATCCTGACTTCTGATCTCCTGCCACTAACTCTCTTTGGCCTAACCCACCCAGAAGCAGAGAGCAATGAAGCAGATGAAGCAAATTGATGCACATTTTAACAGTCACAGATGGGGCAGAAGGAAGTAGAGGATAGATCTGGAGGGGCAAACAATACTCAGCATCGGTCGTGGGTGTTGTATTGGTCAGGTTCTTCAGAGAAACAGAACCACTACTGAAATATATATACACACACAAAGAGAGAGATAGAGAGACTTACTTACAGAAATTGTCGGGGGAGGAGCCAAGATGGCCAAATAGGAACAGCTCCGGTCTACAGCTCCCAGCGTGAGCGACGCAGAAGACGGGTGATTTCTGCATTTCCATCTGAGGTACCGGGTTCATCTCACTAGGGAATGCCAGACAGTGGGCGCAGGTCAGTGGGTGCGTGCACCATGCGTGAGCCGAAGCAGGGCGAGGCATTCCCTCACTTGGGAAGCGCAAGGGGTCAGGGAGTTCCCTTTCGGAGTCAAAGAAAGGGGTGACGGATGCACCTGGAAAATCGGGTCACTCCCACCCGAATATTGCGCTTTTCGGACCGGCTTAAAAAACGGCGCACCACGAGATTATATCCCGCACCTGGCTTGGAGGGTCCTACGCCCACGGAGTCTCGCTGATTCCTAGCACAGCAGTCTGAGATCAAACTGCAAGGCGGCAGCGAGGCTGGGGGAGGGGCGCCCGCCATTGCACAGGCTTGATTAGGTAAACAAAGCAGCCAGGAAGCTCCAACTGGGTGGAGCCCACCACAGCTCAAGGAGGCCTGCCTGCCTCTGTAGGCTCCACCTCTGGGGGCAGGGCACAGACAAACAAAAAGACAGCAGTAACCTCTGCAGACTTAAATGTCCCTGTCTGACAGCTTTGAAGAGAGCAGTGGTTCTCCCAGCACACAGCTGGAGATCTGAGAACGGCCAGACTGCCTCCTCAAGTGGGTCCCTGACCCCTGACCCCCGAGCAGCCTAAATGGGAGGCACCCCCAAGCAGGGGCACACTGACACCTCACATGGCAGGGTATTCCAACAGACCTGCAGCTGAGGGTCCTGTCTGTTAGAAGGAAAACTAACAAACAGAAAGGACATCCACACCAAAAACCAATCTGTACATCACCATCATCAAGGACCAAAAGTAGATAAAACCAAAAAGATGGGGAAAAAACAGAACAGAAAAACTGAAAACTCTAAAACGCAGAGCGTCTCTCCTCCTCCAAAGGAACGCAGTTCCTCACCAGCAACGGAACAAAGCTGGATGGAGAATGACTTTGACGAGCTGAGAGAAGAAGGCTTCAGACGATCAAATTACTCTGAGCTACGGGAGGACATTCAAACCAAAGGCAAAGAAGTTGAAAACTTTGAAAAAAATTTAGAAGAATGTATAACTAGAATAACCAATACAGAGAAGTGCTTAAAGGAGATGATGGAGCTGAAAACCAAGGCTCGAGAACTACGTGAAGAATGCAGAAGCCTCAGGAGCCGATGCGATCAACTGGAAGAAAGGGTATTAGTGATGGAAGATGAAATGAATGAAATGAAGCGAGAAGGGAAGTCTAGAGAAAAAAGAATAAAAAGAAATGAGCAAAGCCTCCAAGAAATATGGGACTATGTGAAAAGACCAAATCTACATCTGATTGGTGTACCTGAAAGTGATGGGGAGAATGGAACCAAGTTGGAAAACACTCTGCAGGATATTATCCAGGAGAACTTCCCCAATCTAGCAAGGCAGGCCAACATTCAGATTCAGGAAATACAGAGAACACCACAAAGATAGTCCTGGAGAAGAGCAACTCCAAGACACATAATTGTCAGATTCACCAAAGTTGAAATGAAGGAAAAAATGTTAAGGGCAGCCAGAAAGAAAGGTCGGGTTACCCTCAAAGGGAAGCCCATCAGACTAACAGTGGATCTCTCAGCAGAAACCCTACAAGCCAGAAGAGAGTGGGGGCCAATATTCAACATTCTTAAAGAAAAGAATTTTCAACCCAGAATTTCATATCCAGCCAAACTAAGCTTCATAAGTGAAGGAGAAATAAAATACTTTACAGACAAGCAAATGCTGAGACATTTTGTCACCACCAGGCCTGCCTTACAAGAGCTCCTGAAGGAAGCACTAAACTTGGAAAGGAACAACCGGTACCAGCCGCTGCAAAATCATGCCAATATGTAAAGACCATCGAGACTAGGAAGAAACTGCATCAACTAACGAGCAAAATCACCAGCTAACATCAAAATGACAGGATCAAATTCACACATAACAATATTAACTTTAAATGTAAATGGACTAAATGCTCCAATTAAAAGACACAGACTGGCAAATTGGATAAAGAGTCAAGACCCGTCAGTGTGCTGTATTCAGGAAACCCATCTCACATGCAGAGACACACATAGGCTCAAAATAAAAGGATGGAGGAAGATCTACCAAGCCAATGGAAAACAAAAAAAGGCAGGGGTTGCAATCCTAGTCTCGGATAAAACAGACTTTAAACCAACAAAGATCAAAAGAGACAAAGAAGGCGATTACATAATGGTAAAGCGATCAATTCAACAAGAAGAGCTAACTATCCTAAATATATATGCACCCAATACAGGAGCACCCAGTTTCATAAAGCAAGTCCTGAGTGACCTACAAAGAGACTTAGATTCCCACACATTAATAATGGGAGACTTTAACACCCCACTGTCAACATTAGACAGATCAACGAGACAGAAAGTCAACAAGGATACCCAGGAATTGAACTCAGCTCTGCACCAAGCGGACCTAATACACATCTACAGAACTCTCCACCCCAAATCAACAGAATATACATTTTTTTGCAGCACCACACCACAGCTATTCCAAAATTGACCACATACTTGGAAGTAAAGCTCTCCTCAGCAAATGTAAAACAACAGAAATTATAACAAACTATCTCTCAGACCACAGTGCAATCAAACTAGAACTCAGGATTAAGAATCTCACTCAAAACCACTCAACTACATGGAAACTGAACAACCTGCTCCTGAATGACTACTGGGTACATAACGAAATGAAGGCAGAAATAAAGATGTTCTTTGAAACCAACGAGAAAAAAGACACAACATACCAGAATCTCTGGGACGCATTCAAAGCGGTGGGTAGAGGGAAATTTATAGCACTAAATGCCCACAAGAGAAAGCAGAAAAGATCCAAAACTGACACCCTAACATCACAATTAAAAGAACTAGAGAAGCAAGAGCAAACACATTCAAAAGCTAGCAGAAGGCAAGAAATAACTTAAATCAGAGCAGAACTGAAGGAAATAGAGATACAAAAAACCCTTCAAAAAATTAATGAATCCAGGAGTTGGTTTTTTGAAAGGATCAACAAAATTGATAGACCGCTAGCAAGACTAATAAAGAAAAAAAGAGAGAAGAATCAAATAGATGCAATAAAAAATGATAAAGGGGATATCACCACCAATCCCACAGAAATAAAAACGACCATCAGGGAATACTACAAACACCTCTACGCAAATAAACTAGAAAATCTAGAAGAAATGGATAAATTCCTGGACACATACACTCTCCCAAGACTAAACCAGGAAGAAGTTGAATCTCTTAATCGACCAATAACAGGAGCTGAAATTGTGGCAATAATCAATAGCTTACAAACCAAAGAGTCCAGGACCAGATGGATTCACAGCCGAATTCTAACAGAGGTACAAGGAGGAACTGGTACCATTCCTTCTGAAACTATTCCAATCAATAGAAAAAGAGGCAATCCTCCCTAACTCATTTTATGAGGCCAGCATCATTCTGATACCAAAGCCAGGCAGAGACACAACAAAAAAAGAGAATTTTAGACCAATATCTTTGATGAACATTGATGCAAAAATCCTCAATAAAATACTGGCAAAACGAATCCAGCAGCACATCAAAAAGCTTATCCACCATGATCAAGTGGGCTTCATCCCTGGGATGCAAGGCTGGTTCAATATACACAAATCAATAAATGTAATCCAGCATATAAACAGAGCCAAAGACAAAAACCACATGATTATCTCAATAGATGCAGAAAAAGCCTTTGACAAAATTCAACAACGGTTCATGCTAAAAACTCTCAATAAATTAGGTATTGATGGGACATATTTCAAAATGATAAGAGCTATCTATGACAAACCCACAGCCAATATCATACTGAATGGGCAAAAATTGGAAGCATTCCCTTTGAAAACCGGCACAAGACAGGGATGCCCTCTCTCACCACTCCTATTCAACATAGTGTTGGAAGTTCTGGCCAGGGCAATTAGGCAGGAGAAGGAAATAAAGGGTATTCAATTAGGAAAAGAGGAAGTCAAATTGTCCCTGTTTGCAGACGACATGATTGTATATCTAGAAAACCCCATTGTCTCAGCCCAAAATCTCCTTAAGCTGATAAGCAACTTCAGCAAAGTCTCAGGATACAAAATCAATGTATAAAAATCACAAGCATTCTTATACACCAACAACAGACAAACAGAGAGCCAAATCATGAGTGAACTCCCATTCACAATTGCTTCAAAGAGAATAAAATACCTAGGAATCCAACTTACAAGGGATGTGAAGGACCTCTTCAAGGAGAACTACAAACCACTGCTCAAGGAAATAAAAGAGGATACAAACAAATGGAAGAACATTCCATGCTCATGGGTAGGAAGAATCAATATCGTGAAAATGGCCATACTGCCCAAGGTAATTTATAGATTGAATGCCATCCCCATCAAGCTACCAATGACTTTCTTCACAGAATTGGAAAAAACTACTTTAAAGTTCATATGGAACCAAAAAAGAGCCCGCATTGCCAAGGCAATCCTAAGCCAAAAGAACAAAGCTGGAGGCATCACACTACCTGACTTCAAACTATACTACAAGGCTACAGTAACCAAAACAGCATGGTACTGGTACCAAAACAGAGATATAGATCAATGGAACAGAACGGAGCCCTCAGAAATAGCGCCGCATATCTACAACTTTCTGATCTTTGACAAACCTGACAAAAACAACCAATGGGGAAAGGATTCCCTATTTAATAAATGGTGCTGGGAAAACTGGCTAGCCATATGTAGAAAGCTGAAACTGGATCCCTTCCTTACACCTTATACAAAAATCAATTCAAGATGGATTAAAGACTTAAACGTTAGACCTAAAACCATAAAAACCCTGGAAGAAAACCTAGGCATTACCATTCAGGACATAGGCATGGGCAAGGACTTCATGTCTAAAACACCAAAAGCAATAGCAACAAAAGCCAAAATTGACAAATGGGATCTACTTAAACTAAAGAGCTTCTGCACAGCAAAAGAAACTACCATCAGAGTGAACAGGCAACCTACAAAATGGGAGAAAATTTTCACAACCTACTGATCTGACAAAGGGCTAATAACCAGAATCTACAATGAACTCAAACAAATTTACAAGAAAAAAACAAACAACCCCATCAAAAAGTGGGCGAAGGACATGAACAGACACTTCTCAAAAGAAGACATTTATGCAGCCAAAAAACACATGAAAAAATGCTCATCATCACTGGCCATCAGAGAAATGCAAATCAAAACCACAATGAGATACCATCTCACACCAGTTAGAATGGCAATCATTTAAAAGTCAGGAAACAACAGGTGCTGGAGAGGATGTGGAGAAATAGGAACACTTTTACACTGTTGGTGGGACTGTAAACTAGTTCAACCATTGTGGAAGTCAGTGTGGCGATTCCTCAGGGATCTAGAACTAGAAATACCATTTGACCCAGCCATCCCATTACTGGGTATATATCCAAAGGACTGTAAATCATGCTGCTATAAAGACACATGCACACGTATGTTTATTGCTGCATTATTCACAATAGCAAAGACTTGGAACCAACCCAAATGTCCAACAATGATAGACTGGATTAAGAAAATGTGGCACATATACACCATGGAATACTATGCAGCCATAAAAAATGATGAGTTCATGTCCTTTGTAGGGATGTGGATGAAATTGGAAATCATCATTCTCAGTAAACTATCGCAAGAACAAAAAACCAAACACCGCATATTCTCACTCGTAGGTGGGAATTGAACAATGAGATCACATGGACAAAGGAAGGGGAATATCACACTCTGGGGACTGCTGTGGGGTCGGGGGAGCAGGGAGGGATAGCATCGGGAGATATACCTAATGCTAGATGACGAGTTAGTGGGTGCAGCGCACCAGCATGGCACATGTATACATATGTAACTAACCTGCACAATGTGCACATGTACCCTAAAACTTAAAGTATAATAATAAAAAAAAAGAAAGAAAAGGTAAAAGTAACAAAACACAAAGTAAAAAAAAAAAAAAAAGAACACAAATATGAACATTTTTATGGGAACAGACGGGGCACTTGGATTTGTATTTAGACTCAGCATTAAATAAGTCTTAATGATGTAGTAAAAAAAAAAAAAAAAAAAGAAATTGTCATGTGATCTTGAGGCTGTCAAGTCCCAAACTTGCAGGGCAGGCTGAGCTACCAGGCTGGGAATTTAGGAAAGAGTTGAGTTTGCAGTCTTGAGTCCAAATTCCAGAGCATCAGGCTGGAAACTCAGGCAGGGTTTCTACATTGCAGTCTTCAGGAGAATTCCTTCTTCTTTAGGAAATTTCAGAGGCAGCAGCCAAGATGGCCGAATAGGAACAGCTCCGGTCTACAGCTCCCAGCATGTGCGACACAGAAGACGGGTGATTTCTGCATTTCCATCTGAGGTACCGGATTCATCTCACTAGGGAGTGGCAGACAGTGGACGCAGGACAGTGAGTGCAGTGCACCGTGCACGAGTCAAAGCAGGGCGAGGCATTGTCTCACTCGGGAAGTGCAAGGGGTCAGGGAGTTCCCTTTCCTACTCAAAGAAAGGGGTGACAGACAGCACCTAGAAAATTGGGTCACTCCCGCCCTAATACTGCACTTTTCCGACGGGCATAAGGAATGGCACACCAGGAGATTATATCCCGCACCTGGCTCGGAGGGTCCTACGCCCACAAAGTCTCGCTGATTGCTAGCACAGCAGTCTGAGATCCAACTGCAAGGCGGCAGCAAGGCTAGGGGAGGGGCGCCCGCCATTGCCCAGGCTTGCTTAGGTAAACAAAGCAGCCAGGAAGCTCGAACTGGGTGGAGCCCACCACAGCTCAAGGAGGCCTGCCTGCCTCTGTAGGCTCCACCTCTGGGGGCAGGGCACAGACAAACAAAAAGACAACAGTAACCTCTGCAGACTTAAATGTCCCTGTCTGACAGCTTTGAAGAGAGCAGTGGTTCTCCCAGCATGCAGCTGGAGATCTGAGAATGGGCAGATTGCCTCCTCAAGTGGGTCCCTGACCCCTGACCTCCAAGCAGCCTAACTGGGAGGCACCCCCCAGTAGGGGCAGACTGACACCTCACAAGGCCAGGTACTCCTCTGAGACAAAACTTCCAGAGGAACGATCAGACAGCAGCATTCGTGGTTCACGGTAATCTGCTGTTCTGCAGCCACCACTGCTGTTACCCAGGCAAACACGGTCTGGAGTGGACCTCTAGCAAACTCCAAAAGACCTGCAGCTGAGGGTCCTGTCTGTTAGAAGGAAAACTAACAAACAGAAAGGACATCCACATCAAAAACCCATCTGTACGTCACCATCATCAAAGACCAAAAGTAGATAAAACCACAAAGATGGGGAAAAAACAGAGCAGAAAAACTGCAAACGCTAAAAAGCAGAGTGCCTCTCCTCCTCCAAAGGAACACAGTTCCTCACCAGCAATGGAACAAAGCTGGACGGAGAATGACTTTGCCAAATTGAGAGAAGAAGGCTTCAGACGATCAGACTACTCCGAGCTACAGGAGGAAATCCAAACCAAAGGCAAAGAAGTTGAAAACTTTGAAAAAAATTTAGACGAATGTATAACTAGAATAACCAATAGAGAGAAGTGCTTAAAGGAGCTGATGGAGCTGAAAGCCAAGGCTCGAGAACTACGTGAAGGATGCAGAAGCCTCAGGAGCTGATGCGATCAACTGGAGGAAAGGGTATCAGCGATGGAAGATGAAATGAATGAAATGAAGCAAGAAGGGAAGTTTAGAGAAAAAAAAATTAAAAGAAACAAACAAAGCCTCCAAGAAATATGGGACTATGTGAAAAGACCAAATCTATGTCTGATTGGTTTACCTGAAAGTGACGGGGAGAATGGAACCAAGTTGGAAAACAGCCTGCAGGATATTATCCAGGAGAACTTCCCCAATCTAGCAAGGCAGGCCAACACTCAGATTCAGGAAATACAGAGAACACCACAAAGATAGTCCTCGAGAAGAGCAACTCCAAGACACATAAATGTCAGATTCACCAAAGTTGAAATGAAGGAAAAAATGTTAAGGGCAGCCAGAGAGAAAGGTCGGGTTACCCACAAAGGGAAGCCCATCAGACTAACAACGGATCTCTCGGCAGAAACTCTATAAGCCAGAAGAGAGTGGGGGCCAATATTCAACATTCTTAAAGAAAAGAATTTTCAACCCAGAATTTCATATCCAGCCAAACTAAGCTTCATAAGTGAAGGAGAAATAAAATACTTTACAGAGAAGCAAATGCTGAGAGATTTTGTCACCACCAGGCCTGCCCTAAAAGAGCTCCTGAAGGAAGCACTAAACATGGAAAGGAACAACTGGTACCAGCCACTGCAAAATCATGCCAAATTGTAAAGACCATCGAGGCTAGGAAGAAACTGCACCAACTAACGAGCAAAATAACCAGCTAACATCAAAATGACAGGATCAAATTCACACATAACAATATTAACTTTAAAAGTAAATGGACTAAATGCTCCAATTAAAAGACACAGACTGGCAAATTGGATAAAGAGTCAAGACCCGTCAGTGTGCTGTATTCAGGAAACCCATCTCATGTGCAGAGACACACATAGGCTCAAAATAAAAGGATGGAGGAAGATCTACCAAGAAAATAGAAAACAAAAAAAGTCAGGGGTTGCAATCCTAGTCTCTGATAAAAGAGACTTTAAACCAACAAAGATCAAAAGAGATAAAGAAGGCCATTACATAATGGTCAAGGCATCAATTCAACAAGAACAGCTAACTATCCTAAATATATATGCACCCAATAAAGGAGCACCCAGTTTCATAATGCAAGTCCTGAGTGACCTACAAAGAGACTTAGACTCCCACACAATAATAATGGGAGACTTTAACACTCCACTGTCAACATTAGACAGATCAACGAGACAGAAAGTCAACAAGGATACCCAGGATTTGAACTCAGCTCTGCACCAAGCAGACCTAATAGAAGTCTACAGAACTCTCCACCCCAAAATCAACAGAATATACATTTTTTTCAGCGCCGTACCACACCTATTCCAAAATTGACCACATAGTTGGAAGTAAAGCTATCCTCAGCAAACGTAAAAGAACAGAAATTATAACAAACTCTCTCTCAGACCACAGTGCAATCAAACTAAAACTCAGGATTCAGAAACTCACTCAAAACCGCTCAACTACATGGAAACTGAACAACCTGCTCCTGAATAACTACTGGGTACATAACCAAACGAAGGCAGAAATAAAGATGTTCTTTGAAACCAACGAGAACAAAGACACAACATACCAGAATCTCTGGGACACATTCAAAGCAGTATGTAGAGGGAAATTTATAGCACTAAATGCCCACAAGAGAAAGTAGGAAAGATCCAAAACTGACACTCTAACATCACAATTAAAAGAACTAGAAAAGCAAGAGCAAACACATTCAAAAGCTAGCAGAAGGCAAAAAATAACTAAAATCAGAGCAGAACTGAAGGAAATAGAGACACAAAAAACCCTTCAAAAAATTAATGAATCCAGGAGCTGGTTTTCTGAAAGGATCAACAAAATTGATAGACCGCTAGCAAGACTAATAAAGAAAAAAGAGAGAAGAATCAAATAGACGCAATAAAAAATGATAAAGGGGATATCACCACCGATCCCACAGAAATACAAACTACCATCAGAGAATACTGCAAACACCTCTACACAAATAAACTAGAAAATCTAGAAGAAATGGATAAATTCCTCGACACATACACCCTCCCAAGACTAAACCAGGAAGAAGTTGAATCTCTGAATAGACCAATAACAGACTCTGAAATTGTGGCAATAATCAATAGCTTACCAACTAAAAAGAGTCCAGGACCAGATGGATTCACAGCTGAATTCTACCAGAGGTACAAGGAGGAATTGGTACCATTCTTTCTGAAACTATTCCAATCAATAGAAAAAGAGGGAATCCTCCCTAACTCATTTTATGAGGCCAGCATCATCCTGATATCAAAGCCAGGCAGAGACACAACAAAAAAAGAGAATTTTAGACCAATATCCTTGATGAACATTGGTGCAAAAATCATCAATAAAATACTGGCAAACTGAATCAAGCAGCACCTCAAAAAGCTTATCCACCATGATCAAGTGGGCTTCATCCCTGGGATGCAAGGATGGTTCAATATATGAAAATCAATAAATGTAATCCAGCATATAAGCAGAACCAAAGACAAAAACCACATGATTATCTCAATAGATGCAGAAAAGGCCTTTGACAAAATTCAACAACCCTTCATGCTAAAAACTCTCAATAAATTAGGTATTGATGGGACATATTTCAAAATGATAAGAGCTATCTATCACAAACCTACAGCCAATATCATACTGAAAGGGCAAAAACTGGAAGCATTCCCTTTGAAAACTGGCACAAGACAGGGATGCCCTCTCTCACCACTCCTATTCAACACAGTGTTGGAAGTTCTGGCCAGGGCAATCAGGCAGGAGAAGGAAATAAAGAGTATTCATTTAGGAAAAGAGGAAGTCAAATTGTCCCTGTTTGCAGATGACATGATTGTATATCTAGAAAACCCCATTGTCTCAGCCCAAAATCTCCTTAAGCTGATAAGCAACTTCAGCAAAGTCTCAGGATACAAAATCAATGTGCAAAAATCACAAGCATTCTTATACAGCAATAACAAACAGAGAGCCAAATCATGAGTGAGCTCCTATTCACAATTGCTTCAGAGAGAATAAAATACCTAGGAATCCAACTTACAAGGGACGTGAAGGACCTCTTCAAGGAGAACTACAAACCACTGCTCAATGAAATAAGAGGATACAAACAAATGGAAGAACATTCCATGCTCATGGGTAGGAAGAATCAATATCGTGAAAATGGCCATACTGCCCAAGGTAATTTATAGATTCAATGCCATCCCCATCAAGCTACCAATGACTTTCTTCACAGAATTGGAAAAACTACTTTAAAGTTCATATGGAACCAAAAAAGAGCCTGCATTGCCAAGTCAATCCTAAGCCAAAAGAACAAAGCTGGAGGCATCACGCTACCTGACTTCAAACTATACTATAAGGCTACAGTAACCAAAACAGCATGGTACTGGTACCAAAACAGAGATGTAGATCAATGGAACAGAACAGAGCCCTCAGAAATAACGCTGCATATCTACAACTATCTGATCTTTGACAAACCTGAGAAAAATGAGCAATGGGGAAAGGATTCCCTATTTAATAAATGGTGCTGGGAAAACTGGCTAGCCATATGTAGAAAGCTGAAACTGGATCCCTTCCTTACACCTTATACAAAAATTAATTCAAGATGGATTAAAGACTTAAACGTTAGACCTAAAACCATAAAAACCCTAGAAGAAAACCTAGGCAATACCATTCAGGACATAGCCATGGGCAAGGACTTCATGTCTAAAACACCAAAGGCAATGGCAACCAAAGCCAAAATTGACAAATGGGATCTAATTAAACTAAAGAGCTTCTGCACAGCAAAAGAAACTACCATCAGAGTGAACAGGCAACCTACAAAATGGGAGAAAATTTTTGCAACCTACTCATCTGACAAAGGGCTAATATCCAGAATCTACAATGAACTCCAACACATTTAAAAGGAAAAAACAAACAACCCCATCAAAAAGTGGGCAAAGTATATGAGCAGACACTTCTCAAAAGAAGACATTTATGCAGCCAAAAAACACATGAAAAAATGCTCATCATCACTGGCCATCAGAGAAATGCAAATCAAAACCACAATGAGATGCCATCTCACACCAGTTAGAATGGCAATCATTTAAAAGTCAGGAAACAACAGGTGCTGGAGAGGATGTGGAGAAATAGGAACATTTTTACACTGTTGGTGGGACTGTAAACTAGTTCAACCATTGTGGAAGTCAGTGCGGCGATTCCTCAGGGATCTAGAACCAGAAATACCATTTAACCCAGCCATCCCATCACTGGGTATATATCCAAAGGACTATAAATCATGCTGCTATAAAGACACATGCACACATATGTTTATTGCGGCACTATTCACAATAGCAAAGACTTGGAACGAACCCAAATGTCCAACAATGATAGACTGGATTAAGAAAATGTGGCACATATACACCATGGAATACTATGCAGCCATAAAAAATGATGAGTTCATGTCCTTTTGCAGGGACATGGATGAAATTGGAAATCATCATTCTCGTAAACTATCACAAGAACAAAAAACCAAACACTGCATATTCTCACTCATAGGTGGGAATTGAACAATGAGAACATATGGACACAGGAAGGGGAACATCACACTCCGGGGACTGTTGTGGGGGGATGGGGAGGGATAGCATTAGGAGATATACCTAATGCTAAATGACGAGTTAATGGGTGCAGCACACCACCATGACAAATGTATACATATGTAACTAACCTGCACACTGTGCACATGTACCCTAAAACTTAAAGTATAATAATAATAAAATAAAATAAATTAAAAAATTTTTTAAAAAGGAAATTTCAGTCTTTGCTTTTAGGGCCTTCAACTGATTGGAGGCCCACCCACATTATGGAGGTTAATATGCTTCATTCAAAGTCTACTGATTTAAAAGTTAATTTCATCTTTAAAAAAATACTTTGTTAGTTGTGTGTGGTGATGCACACCTGTAGTCCCAGCTACTTGGGAGTCCGAGGTGGGAGAACAGGTTGTACCCTGGAGGTCAAGGCCTCAGTGAGCTGTGATTGCATCACTGCACTCCAGCCTGGGTGACAGAGCAAGACCCTGTCTAAAAATGAGAATACTTTCATAACAACCTCTAGACTGGTGTTTAACCAAATAACTGGGCACCATAACTTAACCAAGTTGTCACACAATATGAGCCACCACAGGTGTTTACTTCATATATCTGCATTGGTATCTACTCTATAGTTTGTGTGAAGGTAAAATAATATAACACACCCCTGGAAAAGTAAATATTCAGTAAATGTTAACTGTTATCATTATTGCTTGTACTTAAATCTTGACTGGGCTGCTTCAAGCTCCTGTTACTTTATAACAATGATTTAACCTTGAAGGACCTCTCTTTTCTTGTTTACATCTGAAATAGGCTGTGTGAGCTCGCTTTTAGTTCCTAAATACCATGGCAACCTAACGATTCATTGCTCATCACTTCCAAAAGGAGTGCAGGGAGGAAGTCAGTGCTAGGCTCAAGACTTCAAGGTGTGGCCAATTCTTCTCAAGTTTCTGGGGCACCACTTCTCAAATGAGCATTAAAGGAAATTGTTTCAGGATGTTTACACATGGGTCAGAAAAAAAATCTGCACAAATGCAGTTGTTTATTCAAGCATTAAGCATAATTAAATAGGTATCTTATTTACTGAGGAGACTTCCCCAGGAGCTTTATTGCACTTATACGGCCTTTAAATCTGCAGATGGGGTTTTAGGATACCGTTTCCTGAGTTTTTGCGTCTGCTGATCCCTTTGCTCTTCAAGAATGCATAAATGTCTTGGGGAGCTAGGATAGTAGGGAATGAGGTTTGGAAATGTAGACCCAGGGCCACCCTGACAGTTGTTCTAAAGATACTATTGGCCTGCTCTCTTCTTTCCTGCCCTGCTCTTCTAGTGAGGGAGAATCCTAAGGGAATGAGGATAAGCTAGTTTTGGGGAGACCCAGGTCTAGGACCAGCTACATAATTTGCAGGGCCCTGTGCAAAATGAAAATTAAAATGTAGCCTCTCTGTTTTTTTCCATTAGATGCCTGCTGTCCTGGAAAATCTTCTGGATCTATACAGTTAAACCCTCTGCAGCATCCCCATTAGGACCCCAAGATCATCAAATCCTGACCCCGGCCCTTTAGCCCTTTCCTGTTCTTACAGCCACACAGAAACTGAAAAGCAAAGGGAAGGGTGGCACCTTTTGAGGCCTCAGGAAGACTCTGGGCTATAGGCAGCACTCTGTCTGCTCATGGATAGCCATGGCTATCCTGGCTCTCTCATTCTGCCTGTGTGCCAAGATGAGCATAAGCAAGACTGCCTACTCCCGGAGTTATAGGTGGGGCTAACAGGACACAGTGCCTCTTCCTCTTAGAGGAAACTTTAATATAATTAGTGCCCTGTCACTGGGCAGGACAAGTTTCTTCTACTTTGGCATCTCCAACTTTCATCATGTCTTTAAACCCTGCCCTCCCAGGCTCACACTGACCTGCTGTTAAAGAATATCACTTCCCTCTAAACATCTCCCTCTTCTCTCTCTCCAGCTTAAAGTTTCTTTGGCTGTTTGTTCTGGTTTGCGTTTTGTTTGTTTGTTTGTTTTATGTCTTGGGATGGGGTGTGCAATTAGTTCAGCCTCATTGTATCATCTGTTGTCAAATCTTTTCTGT